>NC_000015.10:31761722-32064752 GCF_000001405.40 Homo sapiens | reverse complement strand
ACCCCCAGCCCCTCCCTTGTTTTGGTTTCCAGAGCTCTGACTGCCAGGCACATACTGCCCAGGTAGCATACTAGAAAAATTTTCTCTGGGAAATGTGATCCAATGAAGAGAAAAGACCTAATCATATTAAGGTCCCCAAAATACGTTCCCATCCAAATCATGCTATGATGAAGCCCACTTCTCCAACATCACCACCACTACCATACAGACATATGGGAACCCCCTGCCTGCACACACCACACACACACATACACACACATACACACACACTACACACACACAGCTTCTACCAAAGATCACCTATCATCATGAGAAAGGCTCTAATATGACAAATAGAGACCAAAATAAACAACAGATAAGGGACTTTGAGGATGCAGACAATACAGGAAGTAGAAGAAAAATTCCATAAAAAGCAAAAGCAAGAAGTAGAAGGATCAAGGAGCAGGAAGAAAATGAAGCAGCAGCAGAAGCAGAAGAAAGAAAGAAGAAGGGGAAGGGAAAGGGGCACGGGGAGGAAGAAAGAAGAAGAAGGAGGAAGACGAGGACAACTTCAGTACTATAACAGAGCAACGGCATTGCTTTAAAAATACTAACAAAAATCAGATACTTCCAACAAGAAACATTCAGAGAGCAAAACAAAGCTATTGGGAACTGGAACATTGGAATAAGAAAAGAAACAACAAAATTCTAAGAAAAAGTATTCAACTTATTCCTAGCCACACTATTCATCAAGTGTAAGGGTAAAAATAAGGTCTTCAAAATCCTGCTATGCTCCCTTTCCCAAACTGTAATAAAGGACACCATCCATCAACTGAGAAGATAAACCAGGAAAGAGGATCTGGATCCACAAATGGAGAATGGCAAGGGAAATTCTCTAGTTGATAGCTATTGAAATAATACAAAGTAGCTATTTGGTCTTTGTCCATGGTTCCTGACATAGAGCTTCAAAAACTCTTAGTGACAGAAATCAGAAATTCCTTGTTATGCTAATGAAGTGGCTCATGGAAGGGGTCCCTCAAGTGGTTTCAGGATGGAGGCTGGTTGCCAGAGAAACCAACCAAGTGATTGGAGAACTGGAACTTGAGGCTTAACCTCCAAGAAGGGGAGGGATGCTGAAAATTTAGCTCAATCATGTGGTCAAAAGTTTAATCAATCATGCATACAAAATGAAACTCCATCAATAACTCCAGACGGCAAGGCTTGGGGAAACTACCTGGTTGGTGAACACATCAATGTATGAAGAGGATGGCACTGCTGGTCTCCACAGAGACAGAAGACCCTGTGCTTAGGACTTCCTAGACTTTGTCCTATGTAACTTTTCACCTGGAAGCTCATTTGCATTTTTATAATAAAACAATAATCACAAGGACAATTATGTGTCACATAATGACATTTCAGGGAACTATGGACAGCGTATCTGAAAGTGGTCCCATAGGATTATAATGGCTAAAAAATTCCTATTGCCTAGTGATGTCATAGCTGTCATAACATCACAGTGCAATTACTTTTTTTTTTTAATTTAGTGTAGTCTAAGTGTACAGTGTTTACGAAGTCTACAGTAGCACACAGTAATGTCCCAGGCCGTCACATTTACTCACTACTCACTCACTGACTCACCAGAGCAACTTCCAGTCCTGCAAGCTGCACTCACGGTAACTACCCTGTATATGTATATCATTCTTTTATCTTTTATTCTGTATTTTTACTACACCTTTTCTATGTTTAGATACACAAATACTTACAATTGCATTACAATTGCCTACACTATTCAGTAAAGCACCATGCTGTACAGGTTTATAGCCTAGGAACAATAGGCTCTACCATATAGCCTAAGTGTGTAGTATGCTATAACACCTAGGTCTGTGTAAGTAGACTCTGATGTTTGTACAAGAACGAAATCGCCTAATAATGCATTTCTCAGAACGCATCCTCATCATCAAATGACTATTTAGCACCAAGTTCTGGGAGTTGTTATAGCAAATTAACAAATGTGAGGAAGTTGTAGGAAGCCCCAAATGTGTAGATGGCCAGGCAGAAGTGCAAGGTAGTGTCTGAATCGAACTGGGTCATAGAATACTCAGTTGATGTCAGAAAGCTGTTGACAAAAGGCAATCATAAAAGAAAATATCAGTCTGACAGCTGCAGAACAGAGCTAGGAAACAATCAATTTACATTCAAGCAGGAGGATAAAATGCTTCAAAAGATGTCTCTAACAACATGGAAGACACAGATCCACGTGTCTGAACATGGGGAGAGAAAATTACAGGTCTACTGGAGAGTTTGGGGATAGAATAGTGATCATTACATGAAAAATTCAACAACCGGCCAAAGATAATAGTATTAACTCTAAGGAAAAGGAATATAGCCTATTGCATGGCTCTCAGCTGTGAATCATGAGTTTACAGATTTTAATATAAACATTATATATTAATTTAAACAAAAATGATTATGTAATTTCATTAGGTAAATGTGATAAATGAAGGGAAGTGTGTTAATTATGCGTGGTAGTGGAGGTAGAGAGTGAACAGAGAACTAAGTCCTCACCTTCAGTATTGTGAGGTTCTCCATTGTTCAACAGAACTAAAGCAAAAAGTGGTAATATAAGCATTTTATTTCAAGATATGCACGTAAATCTCAAAGAAACAGCTAAAAGAGTTAGAATTGGTTGTCTATGAGAAATGTAAATGGAAGCAGAGAACAATAATCCTCACAGAATTATCTCAGCTTTTAAACTATGGGCAAGAGTTATATTACCAAAATGTTAATTTTAAAAAGTATCACCAATCATGAGTATTGTGACAATATCACAGGAATTATTATTACTTTAAAGAACAGAATGTAAGAGGTGTGGTAGCTTTCCCAAGCTCACATAATTACTGAGGGTCTCATCTTATTTGTTTTGTTTTGTTGTTTTTTTGGTGTTTTTTGTTGTTGCTGTTGTTTTTTAGATGAAGTCTCACTCTGTCACCCAGGCTGAAGGGCAGTGATGCAATCTCAGCTCACTGCAACCTCCGCCTCCCGGGTTCAAGCAATTCTCCTGCCTCAGCATCCCCAGTAGCTGGGACTACAGGCACCTGCCACCACGCCCGGCTAATCTCTATATTTTTAGTAGAGATGGGGTTTCATCATGTTGGCCAGGCTGGTCTCAAATTCCTTACCTCAAGTGATTCACCCCCCTCGGCCTCCCAAAGGGCTGGAATTGCAGACGTGAGCCACCGTACCTGGCCTTATCTCATTTTTAAATGTTGTTCTTGTGAATTCAAACATTTTGTCTCTCTCTGAATTGTCCTAATAGCCACATATAAATAAGTAAAGTATTTCGGTATTGTGGGAGTGCAAAAGGTTAATTCTGATGGGAAGGGATCTGGAAGTCTCTTTATGGACACCTCCATTTGAACCAGACCTTGAGCAATCTTAGGCTGTTCTTTCCACGCAGGAAACGTGCCTGGATGACTTTCCTTCCTCCTCTTCTGTTGCCACTACCTGGCTTCCTCCCAGGTCCGGGCTGGGTGAGGCTGGCACTTAAGTGAAGGGGTTTCCTGAGCCTCCACTGTTTGGCAGCTGTCTAGTCCCGCTGAGCATGGTGGTTCCACTCCTACAAGCACCATGAATCTGGCCAGCATTGGTATCCAATCAACAACATCGGGAGAATGACAGTACATCCAATGGGCTTGCCACAAGGACTGAGTGAGATAACATGCTTATTGTGAAACAGGGCTGCCATGCATCTCTTGCTCTTGTGATGAATCCAAAGCTCTCCTGGCCCACAATGCTCCTCGGGTAGGCAGCTCTGCATATCAGCCCTTGGTGGGTGTGCTCATCCTGTGGCTACGTGCTCTGTCCTCCTCTCGGACTCTGATGCCTGCTTCAGCAGCCAACAATGCCATCGCACCTCAGTGAAGACACGCCCTCCCGCCGCAGATGGTTTTCCTCAATTAGCCCCCATTACAGCAAGATACAGTTCTGTAACCACTGTTAATATCTGCTTGCTGCAGCTTTTCCCCATCTCCATTTGCCTATCTGCCTATTTACTTATTTTTGTCTGAGAATTTGTGATTTAAGTCTATCTCTTGAAAGTGGCCATAGCTGGAACATTTTCAACTGAAAATGTCCAATTCACAACATGGTGATTACGGATAAGATTGGGTTTCTGTTGTCATAATATGTTGCCTGTTTACCAGACTTTTCTTGTGTTTTCTTAAAGCATTTCTTAGTTTTATTGGATTGTTCAGTTTTCTTTGTTCCATTATTGCCCTTCAAGGTTTGAAAACTTTATATCCTATTTCTATTCTTACAGTGGTTATTTACAAGTTTATGTGAAAGTTATGTGAAAATGCATAATTTATTTTTTCTATATATGCCTTCATAAATCAGTCCATATGCGTGCGTGTGTGCGCGTGCACACACACACACAGGTATGTATATACAGGTATACATATAAATAGATGATATAGATATAGAAAAGTATCTTAGAATGCATTTCTTCTCTGCTTTTTCTACCTCTGAAATACACTACCCTCACTCCTCCAGGACCGTTTGTAGAGTGAATTCTGAAGTTTCAGTTATAGATTGCTGTTGATGTTTCATGGGATGTTTGACAACTGACAATTAGGCTTAATGCCAAATTTTCTGGACTCTAACTGCTTGGATTTATTATATCTCACTTATTCTGCTTAGAGTTTGATTTTGGTTTTGCATAACTGGATTACATTATTCCAGCAATTCTTTCAGATAATTTGTGGGTGGTAAACTTTGAATCCTTGCATACATGAAAACACTTTTTTTTTTTTTTTTTTTTTTTTTTTTTTGCTTTTCTACTTGGCGTTTCAGAGATCTTAGGATACTAATCAGTTTCTCATCGGAGCTTGGGCGTTATAGCCCTCTGTAATGTCCTAAATAGCCTTTTTTTCCTTACACCTGATGTACTGGAATTGAAGGATGAAGTGGGTCTGCTGCTTCTAAGTATGTGTTTGTGTTTTCCCTCAAATCTAGAAGCTTTTAGAAAACAAACAAAACAAAAAAAAATCATTTCTCTATATCTGTACTTCCCATTCGCTCAGTTGTCTCTTTCTGAGATATCTGTTAGACTCAAGTTGGAATTTCTTCCAATACCTCCTGTCAGTCTGTGGCTTCTAAATTTAATTTCCCACTGTAATGCTCCTTAGCAAAGGCAGATTCCAGTCTGTGGTGGGAGGTACACACAGTGAGCCCAGGACACCTTATTTTATTTTCTGCCAGGAAATAGAAGAAATGATTAAGGATCACAGTGACCAAAGCAAAACAATGCAGGAGCCAATCTGACAGTTCAAGCATCAGAAAGAATAACTGCAATGGAGTAAAACATATCAAATGCCAAAAAAATCAATAGTTCAAACTGAAAATAAAATCTCACTGGTCACCTATTTCAATTATCTTGGCTACTGCATAATCCATTCATTTAATGAGCAAATAAACAGAAATATCCTGAAAACAAAAAAATACAGCACTTCAGAAGGCCAAGGCGGGCACATCACCTGACGTCAGGAGTTCGAGACCAGCCTGGCCAACACGGTAAAACCCTATCTCTACTAATAATACAAAAATGTGCTGGGCATGGTGGTGTGCACCTGTAGTCTCAGCCACTCGGGAGACTGAGGCATGAGAATTGCTTGAACCCAGGAGGCGGAGGTTGCAGTGAGCCAAGATTATGCCACTGCACTCCAGCCTGGGCAACAGAGTAAGACTCTGTCCCAAAAAGAAAAAAAAAAATACAAAGAAGACCTGGGTTCAGGTCCCAAAATGTTCTCTGCCTAGACAGGTACAGTCATTAAGAACACCATTTCACATGATCATCAAAGAGACAAACATCAGTGAAAGTGCTTTAAAAATGTTAAAGTTCTTTAAAGTTATATACATATAGATGATGTTACTTTAGGGCTTTTTTCAAATATACACAGTGATATATGCATCCAAAGTCACACAACCAAAGCCACCTATTAGGAGGCCCTGAATACCAGCCCACTCTAGTTCTGCCCCCACAGCCCTTTCCAGATTTCCCAGATTTAACAATAAAGTAAGGAGGAAACTAATTTTCCTCCAAAAGAGTGGCATTTCTGAAATAAGTACAGCATTCCCAATCCAAACAATGCCACATTATGTATCCTACTCTGTGTTCATTTCCTCTATTTGAGACTAAGTTTCGAGCACTCTAACACTAAGTTTCAAGCACTAATTCAGTACACTTTCCAAGTGACACCTGGAAAAATCCAGGAAGCCAGTGGAAATCCAGGAAGCTGCCTTGTGCCGACACATCAATGACCAGCTGCTTCCCGCTGTTGCAAAACACCCCCGGAAAGGGAAAATTTCCTGTCATGAATATTCCTTTTCAGTTTTTACTTTAATCCAATGCCCATAACTGTCCCTGTCAGAAACAATGAAGGTACCATCTGTACACTGCTGTTTTAATGCATGACTGATGGTTACTGTCAAAGGATTGTCTTGGACCACGGAATTTGCATTAACTGCTTTGTGCATGGAAGAGGATGGAGGGTCCGAACAACCCTGCATGTTTCAGAGGGAAAGGAGGCAAGGAGGTGCACCCTGCAGCCACACATCATCTTCAACAGCATGATAGTCAATCCTAGAGTGCAGGAAGCAGAATTAAAAGCCTACTGCTCCTAGGACCACTAGTCAGTGTAAATCACTCCCTGGCCTAAATCACTAAGACAAAGGCCTCTGATACAGTTTCTGTTTAGTCTGAAGTTGTAAAATGCAAGACCGGTAATATAAAGAACAGGGAAGCCTCCAGGACAGATCTGGAGACATCTTCCTGCTTGAAACATTACAGGCTGTCTGAAATTTACCTGACTTACATGTATATCCTGATTTCTAGTTGTTTATAGGATGTGGCCCTGAAGAGTAACTACAAACACCTGAATGTCTGCAAGTATCAGGATTCTATGGACGTTGTCCATTTTTATCAACATATCTGTTATCCTTTCACTTTTAATCAAGAAATTTTCTTGATCTTTAACCTACAGATATTTTAGGCAAATTTAAAATATTGTCCTAAATGATTCAGTCACAAAGTTGAGGAGTGTCAACATTTGATCAAAGGCTTAAAAAGTAGCACTTTTTATTTTTAAAGGAAAACTCTGCAAGAAAGTTTTTAAATGTTGTTTTTAAAAAGAATGTTTTTAAAGCTTTTGGCCAATTGATTTTCAAAACCCGAAATATATTTCAGTGAATATATTAGCTATGGCTATAAAGTTGGGGTTTTCCAAGTTAACACACCAAAATGTTCATTACCTAATTACAGCCTATCCTTAAAATCAGTCAGTGTAGAAGGCTTTTGATTTGCTAAGAAACTTAGGGAAATTTTTTTCTTTTCCTTCAGAGTCAGATAGGCATCCAAACAAAAACAAACAAAAAAACCCATCTCTATCTCAATCATTAGCCAACAACCTTCATCATCAGATCCTGATTTGAGGGACACACTGCCATTCCTAATAAACAAACTGCTAAATGAAATAAGCAGAAGGCCACTGGCTGGAGACTATCTCCCATCTTTGAGTTCCTACTTAACAAAGGCAACCTAATTTATTAAGCAAACAAACCAAAACCTAACTTAGGACTATAACAGCAGAGTTTCAGCTAACCATGAACAGCTAGATTTCAGCCAATCACAGGCAGCCAATTCATCACCCCATGCCAAGTAAGACAAGTGCCTAGTGGTAGCCAATCAGATTATCTAATTTGCTTCTGTGTTCAGCCTATAAAAGCTGGTTGCTCACACTACTGAGTCAAGCTCTCTGAACCTCTTCTGGTCCTGAGTGCTGCTTGATTCATGAATTGTTCTTTGCTCATATAACGTCTGCTAAATTGAATTTGCCTAATGTTTTCTTTGTTAACAAAATCCCTCCTAAAAATAAGAACATCCATACTGAAGATATTTAATTAAAGGCATTTTAATTTCAGTAAAGGTCCAGAGAATTTGATATTTTAATCAATCAAGAAATAGAAACATAAGCAGAATGTTAAAATATTAGTGATGACCTGAAACAGAGCCTGTTAAAAGTACCTGTCTTAGGATGGTGATGGGAAACCTGGGGCCAGGGGCTAGGGCTTCTCATAAGCCCTTCTTTACTACTGACTTTGTAAATAATGTGTGTGATGTCAACATTTTTAAATATTAAAAATTTCCATTACCCATACATTATTTTCATATCATACACACATTAAATAATTAAAATGTCCATTAGGGCACAGGCATAGTGGACAATACAATGTCCAAATGTGATACAGTTAAACAATCATGCATTAATTCCACTAACAACCCTTTCACAACTCTTGAAAAACAAAATAAATTAGTCACCAGTCCAATTTCCATAAAACTGCTTAAAAGTGATACACTTTATACACAAAAATCAATTCTAGGTGGGTTATAAACAAACATGAGAGGTAAAACAGTAACAAAAATTCACTAAAACAACAATGGAAAGCTTCTAAAAAATACAGAAAAATATCTTCATGAACTTGGGGAAGGGAAAGACTTTTAAAATATGACACTGTAAGCACTAAATGTAGAAGAAAGGATTTCTAAACTAGGCCACACTAAAATTAAGAATTTCTGTTCACCAAAAGACACCATTAATCTGTAAGCATGTCATACTTCAATTGAAAGTTTACAAAAGGAGAAAAGAAAGAATGTCAAAAAGTAAAACAATAAGCCAAAGAGTCTAAGATACCTGCAAAACATATAACTGCAATGGTTTTGTTTTTTGGTTTTTTTTTTTGATACAGAGTCTCGCTCTGTCACCCAGGCTGGAGTGCAGCGGCATGATCTCAGCTCACTGCAAGCTCCGCCTCCCGGGTTCACGCCATTCTCCTGCCTCAGCCTCCTGAGCAGCTGGGACTACAGGCGCCTGCTACCACGCCCGGCTAATTTTTTGTATTTTTAGTAGAGACAGGGTTTCACTGTGTTAGCCAGGATGGTCTCGATCTCCTGACCTCGTGATCCGCCCGCCTCGGCCTCCCAAAGTGCTGGGATTACAGGCATGAGCCACCACGCCTGGCCAACTGCAATGGTTTGAATGTTTGACCCCTCCAAAACTCATGCTGAAATTTAATTTCCACTAGGATGGTATTGGGAGACAGAACCTATAAGAGATGCTTAGGTCATGAAGGCCCCACCCTCCTGAATGGACTAATGCAGTTACCTTGGGAGTGGGTTCATTATGAAGGGAGCAGGTTTAGCCCTCTTGCTCTCTCTCTCTCACACCCACTCTTTGCCCTTCTGCCATGTGATGCCTTCCACCACGTTGTGAAGCAGCAAGATATGCCAGATACTGGCACCTTGATATCAGACTTTACCATCCCCAGAACTATGAGAAATAAATTTCTATTTTTAATAAATTACCCAGTCTCCAGTCTGTTATAACAGCACAAAACAAAGACAATGACTACGGGTTTATATCTGTAATACAGAAAAACTCATACAAATCAATAAAGAAAAAAACAAACCAACACAAAACAAAAAAAAAAGAGAGAGAGAAATAGTAAAGAGACACGATTAGACACTTCTCAAAATAATATATCAAAATGGAAAATAAAAAAATGAAAATCTCCTCAACCTTAGCTGTAATCAGGGAAATGCTAATTAAAATCACAAGAAAATGTCACTCCACACCCACTAGAATGGTAAATTTAATAGACTAAAAATGCCAAGCGTTGGTGAGTATGTAGAGCAACAAGAATTTTCATACACTGCTGGTGGGAATGCTAATTGGTATAACCATTTTGAAAATTGTTTAGCATCATCCAGAAAAGTTAAAAACACGCTGCCCTATGGCCCCGCCAATCTACTTTTACGTCTGTATCAGAGAGAAATGCATACTCCTGTCCGTCAGAAGACATGTAACACATTCCTTGAAGTGTTCTTGAAAGCAGACAAAATCTAGAAGAAATCTAAATAGCCATCAATATAATAATACATGTTGTTATATTCATACAATAGAAATGAAGAAAGAAGAGCTACAGACAACAACTTGGGTGGCTCACAAAAATAAAAATGAACCAAAAAAGCCAGATCCCAAAGAACGCATGCTGTGTGCTTGGGTGATTCCTCTTATACAGAGTTCCAGAGAAGGGCAAAACTAGACTTTGGTGTTTGAAGTAAGGCAAACAGTTTAGCTCTGGAGGAGCGAAGGTCTGTATTGGGTGGTGACAGCTTAACGGGGTTCACTTTGTGGTAACCCACTGAATTGGTTTTGATATCGTGCCACATTAGTGTATATCTACTCTACTACAATTTAAAGTTTTAGAATAGGGTTAAAGAATAACTTCCAAAATAAGATGTGTGTCTCTCTACGAGAGACCTTTAACACAGTGTGTTAAAGGTTACTTCAAATGACAATAAAACTTCTTAATGGAGAACTTAAACAAACTGTTTCCTGACTAGTGATTTCAATTGTAAATTTCATCCATTTGCACTTAATGAAATATACTTTGGCAATCAGTGAGCAGCCTTACCCTAATTTGCTTAATCTAAATCTCTGATCATAATATCTTCTCTGTGTGGACTTCTTAAAATAGATACTTTAGATTATAAACTCATTTAACAATCCTGAAATTTGAAACCAACTAAAGAGTTAGCCTAACACGTGCCTTCTCTCCACAAAATAAAGTAAATAAGTTCTCCTCCCTCTCTAAGTCCTCTCCCCAGAGTATAGACACCATGGCTCTTTTATCCAAGACAGGAATATTTACAGACAATTCACTTCCAATGATGCAAGAGTAAATTTCCCATGCTGAGAATCTCTCACAGGTGGCATTCATTAACCATGACAACTGCAATTTCCTACTCCTCGTCCACTGCCACCTACAGCTTAGACAGGTCAGCTCCTACACCTACGAGCTGACGCAGAGCCAGTAGTCAGCCACACATCCAGGCCTTTCCCACAGCCCATTCTTCTGCACTAATTTTTAACCCGTAATACAAGATTTTGTATAATTCATTGCTTAATTTCTTATTAGTTTCAGTCCATTGTTTTGGCTACCTGGGAGCTGTGACTCCAAGGCCTCTGCGGTATCTTCAAGCTTTAGATCTTGGAAACTTAATTAGCATAGTACATGATACCTTGTCTTGAGATATCAAAAATAAAATCAACAAGGAGAGCTAAGGATAACAGGGGTGTGTGTGACTGAGTGTGCATTTACACACACATAAATATGCCCAAGTACATACTATTTTACAATACTTTTTGAATTTCTTTGGCTATAATGGTTTATAACTGATGTTAACTGAATAAGGAAATCACTGAAATTAAGAGCATGGGAACTGCAAGTAGAAGATGCCAAATGACTTCCCTCTTCTTTGAGGAGGAGTAAAACACTACCTAATCCTGATTTTAAAAATAAATCAATAAGGCAGCAGAGATTTTCGTTGGCCTTCCTCCATGACAAGACTATTTCTCTTCCTTTAACAGCATGTCAAAGATGAAACGAGAAGCTCTGAGAGAGCTGAACCCTTCAGGGAATATCTTCAGTGGTAGCCTTGAAAGGCAACATTTACAAGAAAGATTCCTTTAGTAAAAGTGCTTACAATTCTCAGTCTATACAGATTAAAAGAATTTTGTGGGTTTATCTCCCACAGCCCTCTTCAGGGCTCTGTCTCCTAAACCTCTTCAGGTTTTAGGAGACAAAATTTCAACCATAATAAATTGGTATCAATTATAAAGGTGCATTACAGATTTTTTTATTTATATCTAATAGCTGTACATATTTTGGAGGTACATGTGATATTTTGATACCCACAGACAATGTGTAATGATGAAATCAGTATCATCGGGGTATCTACCACCTCAAACATTTATCTTTTATGTTGGGAAAATTACAAGTCTGCTCTTCTAGTTATTTTGAAATGTACAATAAATTATTGTTAACTATAATTTCTCTACTATACTATTAAATACTAGAACTTATTCCTTCTATCTAACTATATCTTTCATCTAACTTTTTTATTTAATTGTATTTATTTATTTATTTTGAGATGGAGTCTCGCTCTGTCACCAGGCTGGAGTGCAGTGGCGCGATCTCGGCTCACTGCAACCTCTGCCTCCCGGGTTCAAGCGATTCTCCTGCCTCAGCCTCCCGAGTAGCTGGGACTACAGGCATGCGCCATCACCCCCAGCTAATTTTTGTATTTTTAGTAGAAATGGGGTTTCACCATGTTGGCCAAGATGGTCTCAATCTCTTGACCTTGTGATCTACCCTCTTTGGCCTCCCAAACTGCTGGGATTACAAGTGTGAGCCAACGCACCTGGCCTCTTCCATCTAACTTACTCCCTTTAACCAACTTCTCCTCTCCCCACTGTCTTCCCAGTCACTGGTAACCACCACTACACTCCCTACTTCCGTGAGATCCACTTTCTTAGCTTCCACAAATTAGAGAGCACATATGATATTTATTTCCACTTAGAATTTCTGTTCTGCTATCAGTGATGATCAACTAGGTGGTTCTCATCAACTCTCCAGTGAGAACAATTAGAAGAGCTTGGGGAAAAAAAAAAAAAAAAATCATGCTTAAGGGCACCAGAATACTAATAGAGCAGTGAGGAATTGCAGGGACAAGATCCAGGAAGAGAGGGGAGCCCTGAGAGAATACCAAGATTTGAGGCCACCTTTCCAGAGCCTGTGGTGATTATTTAATAATGCTTAAGAGGCTAAAATTTTAAGCAAACCTTGACAAACTTAAGAGAAAAGTGGAAAATTTTGAGCTCAAGACTTACTGAAGAGAGGGCCAGGTGCAGTGGCTCATGCCTGCAATCCCAGCACTTTGGGAGGCCAAGGCGGGCAGATCACTTCAGGTCAGGAGTTCAAGACCAGCCTGGGGAACGTCTTGAAACCCCGTCTCTACTAAAAATACAAAAATCAGCCAGGCATGGTGGTGCATGCCTGTAATACCAGCTACTTGGGGAGGAGCCAAGATGGCCAAATAGGAACAGCTCCGGTCTACAGCTCCCAGCCTGAGCAATGCAGAAGACGGGTGATTCCTGCATTTCTATCTGAGCTACCAGGTTCATCTCACTAGGGAGTGCCAGACAGTGGGCGCAGCACAGTCGGTGCAGCGCACCATGCACCAGCCGAAGCAGGGCGAGGCATTGCCTCACTCGGGAAGTGCAAGGGGTCAGGGAGTTCCCTTTCCTGGTCAAGGAAAGGGGTGACAGACGGCACCTGGAAAATCGGGCCACTCCCACCCCAATACTGCGCTTTTCTGACGGGCTTCGGAAACGGCACACCAGGAGATTATATCCCGCACATGGCTCGGAGGGTCCTACGCCCATGGAGTCTCACTGATTGCTAGCACAGCAGTCTGAGATCAAACTGCAAGGCTTCAGCAAGGCTGGGGGAGGGGCGCCCGCCATTGCCTAGGCTCGCTTAGGTAAACAAAGCAGCCAGGAAGCTCCAACTGGGTGGAGCCCACCACAGCTCAAGGAGGCCTGCCTGCCTCCGTAGGCTCCACCTCTGGGGGCAGGGCACAGACAAACAAAAAGAGAGCAGTAACCTCTGCAGACTTAAATGTCCCTGTCTGACAGCTTTAAGGAGAGCAGTGGTTCTCCCAGCACGCAGCTGGAGATCTGAGAACGGGCAGACTGCCTCCTCAAGTGGGTCCCTGACCCCTGACCCCCGAGCAGCCTAACTGGGAGGCACCCCCAAGTAGGGGCAGACTGACACCTCACACGGCCGGGTACTCCTCTGAGACAAAACTTCCAGAGGAACGATCAGACAGCAGCATTCGCGGATCATGAAAATCCGCGGTTCTGCAGACACCGCTGCTGATACCCAGGCAAACAGGGTCTGGAGTGGACCTCTAGCAAACTCCAACAGACCTGCAGCTGAGGGTCCTGTCTGTTAGAAGGAAAACTAACAAACAGACAGGACATCCACACCAAAAACCCATCTGTGCATCACCATCATCAAAGACCAAAAGTAAATAAAACCACAAAGATGGGGAAAAAACAGAACAGAAAAACTGGAAACTCTAAAAAGCAGAGTGACTCTCCTCCTACAAAGGAAGGCAGTTCCTCACCAACAACGGAACAAAGCTGGATGGAGAATGACTTTGACGAGTTGAGAGAAGAAGGCTTCAGACGACCAAACTACTCCGAGCTACAGGAGGAAATTCAAACCAAAGGCAAAGAAGTTGAAAACTTTGAAAAAAATTTAGACGAATGTATAACTAGAATAACCAATACAGAGAAGTTCTTAAAGGAGCTGATGGAGCTGAAAGCCAAGGCTCGAGAACTACATGAAGAATGCAGAAGCCTCAGGAGCCGATGCGATCAACTGGAAGAATGGGTATCAGCGATGGAAGATGAAATGAATGAAATGAAGTGAGAAGGGAAGTTTAGAGAAAAAAGAATAAAAAGAAACGAACAAAGCCTCCAAGAAATATGGGACTATGTGAAAAGACCAAATCTGCATCTGATTGGTGTACCTGAAAATGACGGGGAGAATGGAACCAAGTTGGAAAACACTCTGCAGGATATCATCCATGAGAACTTCCCCAATCTAGCAAGGCAGGCCAACATTCACATTCAGGAAATACAGAGAACACCACAAAGATACTCATCGAGAAGAGCAACTCCAAGACACATAATTGTCAGATTCACCAAAGTGGAAATGAAAGAAAAAACGTTAAGGGCAGCCAGAGAGAAAGGTCGGGTTACCCACAAAGGGAAACCCATCAGACTAACAGCGGATCTCTCGGCAGAAACTCTACAAGCCAGAAGAGAGTGGGGGCCAATATTCAACATTCTCAAAGAAAAGAATTTTCACCTAGAATTTCATATCCAGCCAAACTAAGCTTCATAAGTGAAGGAGAAATAAAATACTTTACAGACAAGCAAATGCTGAGAGATTTTGTCACCACCAGGCCTGCCCTAAAAGAGCTCCTGAAGGAAGCACTAAACATGGAAAGGCACAACCGGTACTAGCTGCTGCAAAATCATGCCAAAATGTAAAGACCATGGAGACTAGGAAGAAACTGCATCAACTAACAAGCAAAATAACCAGCTAACATCATAATGACAGGATCAAATTCACACATAACAATATTAACTTCAAATGTAAATGGACTAAATGCTCCAATTAAAAGACACAGACTGGCAAATTGGATAAAGAGTCAAGACCCATCAGTGTGCTGTATTCAGGAAACCCATCTCACGTGCAGAGACACACATAGCCTCAAAATTAAAGGATGGAGGAAGATCTACCAAGCAAATGGAAAACAAAAAAGGGCAGGGGTTGCAATCCTAGTCTCTGATAAAACAGACTTTAAACCAACAAAGATCAAAAGAGACAAAGAAGGCCATTACATAATGGTAAAGGGATCAATTCAACAAGAAGAGCTAACTTTCCTAAATATATATGCACCCAATACAGGAGCACCCAGATTCATAAAGCAAGTCCTGAGTGACCTACAAAGAGACTTAGACTGCCACACAATAATAATGGGAGACTTTAACACCCCACTGTCAACATTAGACAGATCAACGAGACAGAAAGTTAACAAGGATACCCAGGAACTGAACTCAGCTCTGCACCAAGCAGACCTAATAGACATCTACAGAACTCTCCACCCCAAATCAACAGAATATACATTTTTTTCAGCACCACACCACACCTATCCCAAAATTGACCACATACCTGGAAGTAAAGCTCTCCTCAGCAAATGTAAAAGAACAGACCACAGTGCAATCAAACTAGAACTCAGGATTAAGAAACTCACTCAAAACCGCTCAACTACGTGGAAACTGAACAACCTGCTCCTGAATGACTACTGGGTACATAACGAAATGAAGGCAGAAATAAAGATGTTCTTTGAAACCAACGAGAACAAAGACACAACATACCAGAATCTCTGGGATGCATTCAAAGCAGTGTCTACAGGGAAATTTATAGCACTAAATGCCCACAAGAGAAAGCAGGAAAGCTCCAAAATTGACACCCTAACAGCACAATTAAAAGAACTAGAAAAGCAAGAGCAAACACATTCAAAAGCTAGCAGAAGGCAAGAAATAACTAAAATCAGAGCAGAACTGAAGGAAATAGAGACACAAAAAACCCTTCAAAAAATTAATGAATCCAGGAGCTGGTTTTTTGAAAGGATCAACAAAATTGATAGACCGCTAGCAAGACTAATAAAGAAAAAAAGAGAGAAGAATCAAATAGACGCAATAAAAAATGATAAAGGGGATATGACCACCAATCCCACAGAAATACAAACTATCATCAGAGAATACTACAAACATCTCCACGCAAATAAACTAGAAAATCTAGAAGAAATGGTAAATTCCTCGACACATACACTCTCCCAAAACTAAACCAGGAAGAAGTTGAATCTCTGAATAGACCAGTAACAGGAGCTGAAATTGTGGCAATAATCAATAGCTTACCAACCAGAAAGAGTCCAGGACCAGATGGATTCACAGCCGAATTCTACCAGAGGTACAAGGAGGAACTGGTACCGTTCCTTCTGAAACTATTCCAATCAACAGAAAAAGAGGGAATCTCCCTAACTCATTTCATGAGGCCAGCATCATTCTGATACCAAAGCTGAGCAGAGACACAACCAAAAAAGAGAATTTTAGACCAATATCCCTGATGAACATTGATGCAAAAATCCTCAATAAAATACTGGCAAACGGAATCCAGCAGCACATCAAAAAGCTTATCCACCATGATCAAGTGGGCTTCATCCCTGGGATGCAAGACTGGTTCAATATACGCAAATCAATAAATGTAATCCAGCATATAAACAGAACCAAAGACAAAAACCACATGATTATCTCAATAGATGCAGAAAAGGCCTTTGACAAAATTCAACAACCCTTCATGCTAAAAACTCTCAATAAATTAGGTATTGATGGGATGTATCTCAAAATAATAAGAGCTATCTATGACAAACCCACAGTCAATATCATGCTGAATGGGCAAAAACTGGAAGCATTCCCTTTGAAAACTGGCACAGACAGGGATGCCCTCTCTCACCACTCCTATTCAACATAGTGTTGGAAGTTCTGGCCGGAGCAATCAGGCAGGAGAAGGAAATAAAGGGTATTCAATTAGGAAAAGAGGAAGTCAAATTGTCCCTGTTTGCAGATGACATGATTGTATATCTAGAAAACCCCATTGTCTCAGCCCAAAATCTCCTGAAGCTGATAAGCAACTTCAGCAAAGTCTCAAGATACAAAATCAATGTACAAAAATCACAAGCATTCTTATACACCAATAACAGACAAACAGAGAGCCAAATCATGAGTGAACTCCCATTCGCAATTGCTTCAAAGAGAATAAAATACTTAGGAATCCACCTTACAAGGGATGTGAAGGACCTCTTCAAGGAGAACTACAAACCACTGCTCAATGAAATAAAAGAGGATACAAACAAATGGAAGAACATTCTATGCTCATGGGTAGGAGGAATCAATATCGTGAAAATGGCCATACTGCCCAAGGTAATTTATAGATTCAATGCCATCCCCATCAAGCTACCAATGACTTTCTTCACAGAATTGGAAAAAACTACTTTAAAGTTCATATGGAACCAAAAAAGAGCCCGCATCACCAAGTCAATCCTAAGCCAAAAGAACAAAGCTGGAGGCATCACGCTACCTGACTTCAAACTATATACTACAAGGCTACAGTAACCAAACAGCATGGTACTGGTACCAAAACAGAGATATAGACCAATGGAACAGAACAGAGCCCTCAGAAATAACGCCGCATATCTACAACTATCTGATCTTTGACAAACCTGACAAAAACAAGCAATGGGGAAAGGATTCCCTATTTAATAAATGGTGCTGGGAAAACTGGCTAGCCATGTGTAGAAAGCTGAAACTGGATCCCTTCCTTACACCTTATACAAAAATTAATTCAAGATGGATTAAAGACTTAAACGTTAGACCTAAAACCATAAAAACCCTAGAAGAAAACCTAGGCATTACCATTTAGGACATAGGCATGGGCAAGGACTTCATGTCTAAAACACCAAAAGCAATGGCAACAAAAGCCAAAATTGACAAATGGAATCTAATTAAACTAAAGAGCTTCTGCACAGCAAAAGAAACTACCATCAGAGTGAACAGGCAACCCACAAAATGGGAGAAACTTTTCGCGACCTACTCATCTGACAAAGGGCTAATATCCAGAATCTACAATGAACTCAAACAAATTTACAAGAAAAAAACAAACAACCCCATCAAAAAGTGGGCAAAGGATATGAACAGAAACTTCTCAAAAGAAGACATTTATGCAGCCAAAAGACACATGAAAAAAGGCTCATCATCACTGGCCATCAGAGAAATGCAAATCAAAACCACAGTGAGATACCATCTCACACCAGTTAGAATGCCAATCATTAAAAAGTCAGGAAACAACAGGTGCTGGAGAGCATGTGGAGAAATAGGAACACTTTTACACTGCTGGTGGGACTGTAAACTAGTTCAACCATTGTGGAAGTCAGTGTGGCGATTCCTCAGGGATCTAGAACTAGAAATACCATTTGACCCAGCCATCCCATTACTGGGTATATACCCAAAGGACTATAAATCATGCTGCTATAAAGACACACACACACGTATGTTTATTGTGGCCCTATTCACAATAGCAAAGACTTGGAACCAAGCCAAATGTCCAACAATGATAGACTGGATTAAGAAAATGTGGCACATATACACCATGGAATACTATGCAGCCATAAAAAATGATGAGTTCATGTCCTTTGTAGGGACATGGATGAAATTGGAAATCATCATTCTCAGTAAACTATCCCAAGGACAAAAAACCAAACACCACATGTTCTCACTCATAGATGGGAATTGAACAATGAGAACACATGGTCACAGGAAGGGGAACATCACACTCTGGGGACTGTTGTGGGGTGGGGGGAGGGGGGAGGGATAGCATTAGGAGATATACCTAATGCTAAATGACGAGTTAATGGGTGCAGCACACCAGCATGGCACATGTATACATATGTAACAAACCTGCACGTTGTGCACATGTACCCTAAAACTTAAAATATTAAAAAAAAATACCAGCTACTTGGAAGGCTGAAGCAGGAGAATCACTGGAACCCGGGAGAGAGAGGTTGCAGTGAGCCGAGACTGTGCCACCATATGCCAGCCTGGGTGACAAAGTGAGACTCTGTCTCAAAAAAAAAAAAACTTATTGAAGAGAGAGAAGACTCTAGTAAATTCTCTGTATTTATGCCCTAGAATGTATATGCAAGAACCAGAAACAAACCAGCGCTTAAAGGGACTGAAGCCCATCTTCGTATCTTCTCAATCCCTAATCTAATTAAGGTTATGTGTGGTTGCTGGTACCCATGGGGTGGCTGTTGTCAGAAGCAAATATTAACAGGAGTAAAAGTGTTCTCCGTTCTCTCATCTCTACCATTTTTCCCATACATTGTCTGGGACAAACTACAAACACAACCAGGCTCAGAAGGAGCACAGACCATGTAACAGAAAAGCAAAAAGAGCCATCACTAATAAAAACAGAGGCACAAAGTGTCTTAAGAATGGAATTATCAGACAGGGACTATAAAAAAAAGTCTTATTAATATATTTGAAGAAAATCAGAACAAGCTTGAGAGCTAGAAAACATCGTAAGAACCAAAAGGAAACTCTTAACACTAAAGCATGCAATATCTGAAACTTTAAAAAGGAGTCAATAAATGGGACTAACAACAGATAGACACAATGAGAGAATTCAAGGACTGAATATTGAATATATGTCAACAGAAAACGGACCGGATGAAGCATGGAGAGACAAAGTAATGGGAATTGCCGCAAAGAATAGGAGGCATATGGAATAAATTAGTCTTCTCCATCTCAGCACTGTTGAAATTGGGGGCCAGATAATTCTTTTTCTTGAGGAGTCACCCTATGCACTATAGGTCATTTAGTAGCATCCCTAGCCTCTTCCCTGTAAGTGTCAGTAGCATCTTTCTCCCCAGTTGGGGCAACTGAAATTTTTTCAAGATAATGCCAAATATTCCCTGGGGAGAGACACTGCCCCTGGTTGAGAATCACTGAGATAAAGTGAAAGCTGTGGTGAACATGTAATCATTGTCCCAAAAAGGGAAGGCAGAAAAAATAGAGCAGAAGCCATATCTAAAGAAATATCTAGGCCGGGCACAGTGGCTCACGCCTGTAATCCCAGCACTTTGGGAGGCTGAGGCAGGCGGATCATGAGGTCAGGAGTTGGAGACCAGCCTGGCCAATATGGTGAAAACCTGTCTCTACTAAAAATACAAAAATTAGCCAGGCGTGGTGGTGCACACCTGTAGTTCCAGCTACTCGGGAGGCTGAGGCAGAAGAATTGCTTGAATCCAGGTGGCAGAGGTTGTAGTGAGCCAAGATCGTGCCATTGCACTCCAACCTGGGCAACACAGCGAGACTCCATCCCCAAAAAAAGAAGGAAGGAAGGAAGGAAGGAAGGAAGGAAGGAGGAAAAGATCGATCGATCTGGCAACAATTGTCCAAAACTTGTGAATGAAACCAAGGAACAGATTCAATAAGTCATTCTGAATCCCAAGCAGGTAAAACAAAAGAGCAGAAACATATTCTTATCATAGCAAAACTGTTAAAAATCAAAGACAAAGAATAAAATTTAAAAGTGACCAAAGAAAACAAGAACAGAGAAGCAACAGTAAGGCATACAGCTGACCTCTTAAGAGAAGTACTGAAGTCAGAAAACACTAGGGTAATCGACTATAGACACTATGCTGTATATAAAAGTGCTGTAACTAACCGGCAACACAAAGTCTGTATTTCTGAATTATCACACAAAAATTAGGCAATATAAATAAGTTTTGAAACAAACATGGAGAAATTGTGCTACTTCCAGACTCTCAAGAAAGAGAAGTCTAAAGGGCAGAAGGAAAATTATCTCAGATGAAAGTTAGAAGATACAGGGAGGAATTAAAGTAACAAAAAAGGTAAATATACGAGTAAATCTAAAAGAATACTGACTGTAAAAGACAATTATAATCTTATAAGGTTTAAATATATTTATAGAAATAAAATATATGACAATAACAGTAGATAAATTGGAATTATGGAATTAAAGTGTTGTAAAGTCCTCACATTGTACAGAAAGGTTGACGACTTTCACTAGACTTTACTTAGTCATGGATTCCTATTGTAATCTCCAGATCAACCACTGTAAGACAAAAAGAAAGAAATATGACTAACAAACTAATAGAAGAGAAAATTAGAATAATATAAAATGAGCAATTAATCCAGAAAAGTGTAAGAAAAAAGAGGAAAAAAAGAACATAGAAGAGACAAGGGTAAGTGGAAGTAAACAGTGAAGGATAGATTTAAAACCAAATAGATCAGTAACCACATGAAGGATAACTAAAATACAAAGATTATCAAATTCAATTTTTTTAAAAACCCAACTATGTGTTACTTATAAGTATCATCATAAATCATTTAAACACATTTTTAAAATGGTTTTTAAATTACAAAAGGAATATAGATTGAATATGCAGTGATGGTAAGAGTTAATGAAGAAAACATATAAATGTATTTTAAAATCTGTATTTGTTTACTAATGGGCCTAAGTGTACCACTTTAAAATCAATGCCTGTTAATACTGCTTAAGGCACCATACATCATGTTTATACCTTTTAACTTTTAAATATTTAAATATTTCTCTACACATCTATAAACATAAAGAAAAGATAGCATGAACTCTGCCAGAATGCCTTGTGTGTGCTGATTTTTACCCCCTTGATTTTCAACTTCTTGATTCTTTTTTTGGTTTGTTTAATTTAGCTCCTGTACAAACACATATTACTTTTGTCATTTTAAGAAATGTATCTTATAAAAACATTATTAGATCCAGTTCCTGGTTCCTGATGCAAGAAGCTCAGAATGAACTTTGTCCTAACAAGTAAAAAGGTGAACACACTAGAAAAACAACAGCTCTTCTTGGAGCCCAACTAAGAGGGGAACACACAGGATGAACTTCTGCTCTCAAGATTAGGGGGACAAACAGGGACATACAGAGAGCCAGGACTTTCCAGAGCAGAGACTAATCAGCAAAACCACCACAGGAACCAGCAGCAGAGTAAGAAAACCTGAAACTGGAATTGGCAAATTCCTGGAGGCTCAGTGTGTACAACTTTGAAAGTTAAAAATTCCAAAAGGATTCAATCATAGGGGGTTCCCAAATATCATGAGATTTACCTCCAGAAGCTCTACCAGGTTCCCACAGGAAATACTGAAGAAATGTTCCCTCATCCTTCCACCAGAGGGAAGTGAAAGAAACCACTTGGAAATGTGCCAGAATTTTCTGTTGTTTTTAATAAGGCCTGCCATCAGGAGAAATGAATTAACCAGAGTCTAACCCTCCGGGGTATTATGAGAGCTTACCTGACACAAGGGAAGGGAAATACTGAACTCCACCCACTCTAGCCATCCTATCGCACTCAAGTGGGGAGAAACAAACTGAGAAACACCTATGAAGTTCGTGTCCAGAGGGAAAGGCTCACTAAAAAACTGAGACCTAATCATAGGAGTATAGAATGCTTCCCCTCCCTCCACACCTTAACACTACATTAGTAACTTATTAATTTACAGCAGTTCCTTTTACCTGGTACATCACAGCCACCAATCAAGAAAAAATTACAAAGCATACTAAAAGGCAAAAAACAAACAAAAAACACAATTTGAAGAGACAGAACATGCATTAGTACCAGACATAGCAGCAGTATTGGAATTATCAGATCAGAATTTACAACAACTATGATTAATAAGCTAAAGGCTCTAATGGAAAAAGCAGACATCATGCAAGAACAGTTAAACAATGTAAGCACAGAGATGGAACTCCTAAGACATAACCAAAAAGAAATTCCAGCAATCAAAAATAATGTAACAAAAATAAAGAATATATTTGATAGGCTTACTAGTAGGTTGGATACAGCTGAGGAAAGAATCCCTAGTATGAGGAATATCAATCGAAATTTTGAAAACTGAAAAGCAAAGAGAACAAAGACTGAAAACAACAGAATAGAATATCCAAGGATTGTGGGACAATTACAAATGGTGTAACATATGTGTGATGGGAATGCGAGAAGGAGAAGAAGTAGAGCAGGGTTCCCCAACCCCCAGGCCACAGGCCAGTACCTGTCACCTGGACTGTTAGGAACTGGGCCACACACCAGGAGGTGAGGGGCAGGTCAGGGAGCATTACTGCCTGAGCTCCGCCTCCGGTCAGATCAGCGGCAGCGTGACATTCTTACAGGAACACAAACCCTATTGTGAATTTCACATGCAAGGGATCTAGGTTGCACGCTCCTTATGAGAATCTAATGAATGCCTGACAATCTGAGGTGGAACAGTTTCATCCCAAAACCATGGCCCCCGACAGTCTATGGAAAAATTGTCTTCCACAAAACAGGTCCCTGGTGTCAAAAAGGTTGGGGACTGTTGAAGTAGAGAAAGGAACAGAAGTATTTGAAACAATGATTGAGAATTTCCCCAAATTAGTGTCAAACACCAAACCACACATCCAGGAATCTCAGAAAACAGCAAGCTGATACATGTGGGGGAAAAAAAATCCAACATCTAAGTATATCATTTCAAACTATAAACAAAGATAAAGATAAAATCCTGAAGGAAGCCAAAGGCAGACAAAAAACCCTTCCCTTTAGAGGACCAAAAAGGTAAGAATTACATCTGACTTACATGAAATCATGCAAGCAAAAAGAGTAGAGTAAAATAATTAGTGTTGAGAGAGAAAGTCACAAATCTAGAATTATTGAAATCATCCTTCAAAAGATAAGGAAAAAAAATACATTCTCAGGCAAAAATTGAAGAAATTTGTTTCAAGCAGACCTGCCTTGAAAAAATGTTAAAAGAAGTTCTTTAAAAAAAGGGAAACGATACAGGTTGAAAGTCATATCTAAATTAAAGAAAGAACCACTGAAGAAGGAAAAAGTGAAGGCAAAATAAAAACTTTTGTTTTTCTTATTAATTTATCTAACAGATAACAGTTTGTTCAAAGTAACAATAGCAAAAATGTATTTTATTATACTTTGTGTATATATAATATATACATATATAATACATATACACACACACACATACACACATATACACACACACACACGCACCTTATAAGAAATAAATGGTACAAGGGACAGGAGGAAGAAATTCATGTTATTTTGCATTATAAAGTGCTCTCATTATGCATGAAGTGGTATAATGTAACATGAAAGGTGACTTGGGTTAGTTGTAAATGTATATTGCAAACTCTAGGGCAACCACTAAAAAAGTAAAAAAAGAACTATAACTGATACACCAAGAAAGGAGGGAAAACATAACCATATAAAATGTCCAACTAAACCATAAAAGTCAGAGTGGAAAACAAAAACTGAAATAAGGAACAAGGACAACAAAAAAATCAGTAACAAATATGATAGTTATTGATCCAACTATATCGACAATCACTCTGAGTGGTCTAAATGCATCAATTTAAAGAGACTGTAAGAGTAGAACAAAAAACAAGACCCAACTGTATGTGCCTACAAAAAACCCACTCTAAATATAAAGACACATATAAATTAACAGTGTCTTATGGATGGAGAAAAATATACCATGCTAACACTAATCCAAGAAAGCAGGAATAGCTATGTAAATTTCAGATAGAGCGTACTTCAAAGCAAGGAAAGTTTCCAGGGATAAAAAAGGATATTACTTAATGATAAAAAGACCAGTTCTACAAAAAGACATAACAGTCCTTAATGTGTATATGCCCAAAAACACAGCATCAAACTAATGAGGCAAAAACTATTAGACCTACAAGGATAAATAGGTAAATCCATTTTCACAGTTGGAAACTTTAACACCCCTCTACCAGAAATTTGAAGAACCAGCAAGCAGAAAACCAGTATAAACATGATTGAACTCAAAACATTGTCCATCAATTGGATATAAGCAACATCTATAGACTATTTTATCCAACAACAGCAGAATACACATTCTTCTCAAGTTCACATGGAATATTCCCCATAATTGTGCCACAGAAAGAGCCTTAACAAATTTAAAAGAATAGAAATTACACATTGCCTGCTATCAGAATACAAAGAAATTATACTAGAAATCAGTAACAGAAAGATTACTGAAAAATCCAAAAATACGTGGAGATTAGACAATATGCCTTTAAATAATATATGCCTCAAAGAAGAATTCTCAAGAGACATTGAAATATTTTAACTGAAATGAAAATGAAAACACAACTTATCAAAATTTGTGGGATGCAGCAAAAGAAGTCCTTAAGCGAAAATCTATAGCCCTGAATACAGTATTGAAATGTACAGAAATGAAAGATCTAAAAATCAGTATTCTAAGCTTCTACTTTAGGAAACTAGAAAAAAGAGCAAATTAAGTCCAAAATAAGCAGAGAAATACTAAAAATTAGAGTAGAAATCAACAAAATTGTAAACAGGAAATCAATAGAGGAAATGAACAAAAACAAAATCTGTTTTTTGAAAAATGATCAATAAAATCAATAAGCATCTAGCCAGGCTAAATAAGAAAAAAATGAGAAAGGACAAAAATAACTAATATCAGAAGTAGAAGACATCATTACACAGCCCATGGGCATTAAAAGGATAACAAATAAATACTATGAACAATTCTATGCTCACAAATTTTATAACCTAGATAAAATGGACTACTCCTTGAAAGACAAAATTTCTCAAAACTCAAACAAGAAGAAATAAACAATTTGAATGGGCCTATATCTATCAGAGCAATTGAATCAAATAATAATAACCTTCCAAAACAGAAAGCAACAGGCCCAGAAGGGCTCACTGGTGAAGTCTACAAATTTAAAAAAGAAATTATACCAATTATCTACAGTCTCTTTCAGAGTACACAAGCAGAGGAAATACTTCCTAAAACATTCTATGAGGCCTGCATTACCCTAATACAAATGGCAGATAAAGACATTCTAAGAAAAGATAACCACAAACCAGTATCACTGATGAACACAGATTCAAAAATGCTCAACAAAATATTAGCACGTTGTGGTGGCTCACGCCTCCAATCCTAGCACTTTAGGAGGCTGAGACAGGCAGATCAACTGAGCTCAGGAGTCCAAGACCAGCCTGAGCAACATAGTGAAACCCCGTCTCAACCAAAAATTTAAAAATTAGCAAATTTATCTCAACAATGTACAAAAAGAATTATACACCATGGTCAAGTGAGATTCATTCCAGATATTCAAGGCTGGCTCAACATTAAAAAATTAATATAATCCATTACATCAACAGGCTACAAAAGAAAAATCATATGATTATATCAATAGATGAAAACAATTTTGACATAATCCAACTCCTATTCATCACAAAAACTTTCAGTAAACGGAATAGGGGAGAACTTCCTCAACTTGATAAATATATATATCATTAAGTATGATGTTAGCTGTAGGTTTTTTGTATATGTGTGTATATACATATTTTTCATATGTATATATAAAATATGTATATTATATATACAAAATATGTTTATATAAATGTAAATAAATATACAAAATGTATGTACATATTTATACATAAATGTAAACATGTACACATATTTTACATATACACAAAATGTATGTACATATGTATATTTATATATATATATATACATATCCAAAAAACCTATAGCTAACATCATACCTAATGATAAGAAAACTGAAGCTTTCCCACTAAGATTAGGAACAAGTCAAGGTTGTCCCCTCTCCCACTCCTTTCAATAGCACACTGGAAGTACTAGCTAATACAAAAGGACAAGAAAAAGGAAATAAAAAGTATATAGACTGGGAAAAAAGAAATAAAGCTGTCTTTGATCGCAGATGACATGATCGTTCATGTAGAAAACCCAAAATAACTGACCAAAAAAAAAATCTCCAGGAGCTAATAAACAATTACAGCAACTTTGCAGAAGACAAGGTTAACATGTAAAAGTAAATCGCTTTCCTATATTTCGGCAATTAACAAGTAGAATTTGACATTGAAATCATAATACCATTTAACCCCTCAAAAATTAAGCACTTAGGTAAAAATCAAGTAAAGTATTTACAAGATCTATATGAGTAAAACTACAAAATTCTTACAAACAAAATAAAGGAAGAACTAACTAAAGAGCTGTTCTATGTTCATGAATAGAAAAATTCAGTATTGTCAATATGTCAGTTCTTCCCAACTTGATCTACAGATTCAATCAAATCCCAGAAGGTTATTTTGTGGGTATCGATAAAGCAATTATAAAGTTTATAGAGAGACGCAAAAGACCCAGAATAGCCAACACAATGTTGAGGAACGACAAAGTTGGAGGACTGATACTACCAAACTTCAAGACTTAGGATAAAGCTATAGTAATCAAGACTGTGTTATTGATGAAAGAATAGACAAAGAGATCGACAAAACACAACAGAGAACCCAGAAATAAGACTCACATGAATATAATCAGCTGATCTTTGACAAAGATGCAAAGGCAATAAAATGGAGCAAAGATCATCTTTTCAACAAATGGTGCTACAACAACTGGACAATCACATGCAAAAAGATAAATGTAGACACGGACCTTACACCCTTCATAAAAATTAACTCAAAGTGGACCACAGACCTAAATGTAAAGTGCAAAACTATAAAACTCCTAGAAGATAATAGAGGAAAACCTGTATGACCTTGGATATTGCAGTAACTTTTTAGATACAATACCAGAGGCACAATCCATAAAAGAAAGAATTGAAAAGATGGGTTTCACTAAAGTTAAAAATGTATGTTCTGTGAAATACAATGTAAAGAGAATGAGAAAACAAGGTACTGACTGGGAAAAATATTTGCAAAAGACATACCTGATAAAGGACTGTCATCAAAAATATACAAAAACTCTTAAATTCAGAAATAAGAAAAAAAAAAAAAAACCCACTGAAAACTTGGCCAAAGACCTTAACAGACACCTTACCAAAGAAGACCTACAGATGGCAATAAGCTTCTGAAAAAATGCTCCACATCATATGTCATCAGGGAAATGCAAATATAAAACAATGAGATTCCACTACACACCTATTGGAATGCTTAAAACTTAGAACACTGACAACACCAAATGCTGACATGGATAAAGGGCAACAGGGGCTCTCATTCATTGCTGGTGAGAATGTAAAATGGTACATCCACTTTGGGAGATAGTCTGTGATTTCCTTAGAAAATTAAACATACTCTTAGCATACGAACCAGCAAGTGCCCTCGTTGGTATTTACACAAGTGATTGAAACCTTATGTTCACGTAAAAATCTGCACAAGATGCTTACAGCAGCTTTACTCATAATTGCCAAAACTTGGAGGCAACCAAGATGTTCTTCCGGAGGTGAATGGATAAATGAACTGTGCTACATCCAGACCACTGGCATATTATTCAGTGCTAAAAAGGAGTGAGCTATCAAGCCATGAAAGAGTATGGAGAGAGCATAAATGCATATTACTAAGTGAAATAAGTCCATCTGAAAAGGCTACAGACTGTATGATTCCAACCATACGACATTGTGGAAAGGGTTCAACTATGGAGACAACAAAAGGTCAGCGGCTGCCAAGAGCTGTGGTGAAGGTAGTGATAAGCAGGGAGAGCACAAAGAAATTTCAGGAGAGTAAAAATACTCTGTATGATACCATAATGAGGGTATTACACATTATGCCATTATACATTTGCCCAAACCCATAGATTATACAAAACCAAGAGGGAACCTTCTTATAAACTATGCATTTGGGGTGATGATGATGTGTCAATGTAAGTTCATCAGTCGTAACAAATATACTACTCTAGTGGGGAATGTTGATAATTGAGGAAGCTGTGGGAAATCTCTGTACCTTCTTCTTCATTTTGCTGTGAAGCTAAAACTGCTCAAAAAAGTAAAGATTTTTTTAAATGATAAAGATCAATACCTGATTATACCTTCAGCATTTCTTTTTACAATATATTCTAGGTATGTGGGTTTTATAATATTTGACAGTATTTTGTTGGAGTTGTAGCATTTTAAATAGTGGCTAATGAATGTAAAATCATACATATTGCAAACCTACACAGAGGGCCCCCCAAAGGAATTCAGATAACACATAAGCCCTTAGGATACTGGGCTCCACAGCCCTGCCTGCCATCTTCAGTGCCAAAACGTAAGTGCATGACCACTTAGTTCTACGGTCTTGTGACTAAAGCTTCCAAAAAGCTGAGTCTGCATTTCAAATCAATAAAATACCAAAATAGTCAATCTTGTATAATTATGTGTTTTACATTTGTATATAATTACATGTTGGTTCATATTATTAACAAACTTGACTTCTGGACATGCTTCATAACCAATGCATATTTATTTTATGCAAATCACTTAGAATGGCCTTCAGATGCATGTGCTCAGGTGACTGACTAAACAGCACAAATAAAGGAGAAAGAAACATTATGGAAACTTGGCAGATTAGAACCTCACACATGCATCACTTCAAAATGATTTCTTATGTATTATCTCATTCCCAGCCCAGTTACAAGCCCAGGAAGTAAATTAATAATCACCAGAAGTCAGTGTGTGCATATAAGAATAATTTAGGCACTTTCACTTAGCAAATTTATTGATGTATATTCATGATGTTTATACACACAGTTATAGATCATAGACAATATATCCAAAACATCTCTTAAATCTGCCCCCTTCTCCACATTCCCACAGTGGCCATCCTAGTTTCAACCTCCTTGTCCGTTACCTTTCTCTCCTCTCTGACCCGTCTCACACTCACTGCTCTCAGCATCTTCTGCTTAAGCAGAGATTCGGTTACTTCCCTCCCCTGTTTAACGACCCACCATATCTTCCCCCTCTGCCTAGTGCTTCATGAAGGAGCCTGTTGAATAACAGCAGGTCAAGCAATTCCTTTGAGGACTCATGTTGTACCTCTAAAATGTATGCAAAGTTTTTTCACTCCAATCTATAATTTATACTTGAATTTAATACAAATATCATGGTTTGGACTATTTCCTTTTCTAGGAAAATATGCTATGGCAGGCTGGTCTTACAGCTTCACAAAACCCCTGGCACACTGCCTCCTCATGCCCTCAGAGATGCCTAGACTAGGGCCAGGTGAAATGCAAACTTGCAGAGGAACTCAGGACGCCTCACACACTGCAACCTTACTGTCCCCACACTCATCTAGCACCTCCTACCAAAGAAAAATCATAGCCTCCCCCTTGTAAGGTGTGCTTCTAGAGCATATAATTCTTACAAAAGGGTCTATAAAACTATCAGTAGTTTGGTCAGTACTATATTGGTCTTTTAGAATGTCTCAAAAAACATAGCATAAATTTTCTGAGAAGTCTTGCAGCAAAACCTGTAGTAAAGATCAACAGGTTGCCAGTGTCCCATAAAACACACCTTGTTGAAAGTGAGCTGTCCTCCACTGCACTTTCAGTCTTTCCTCAACCTGGAAAAGATTTCCTACTTTCAGTGGCAAACTCCTTCTCATCTTTAGAACTCTAACCACCATCTCTTTGAAGCCACTCTCAGCTGCTCTAGTTGAACACAATGTTTTCTAGCACTTTGTATAGATATTTATGTTAAATTTCATCACATGTAATTTTGGATTTACTTTTTAATCTCCCTAGCCAGCTCATGAGATCTCTGAAAGGAAAAATAATCCCTCATCTTTCTGTTAATTCTCAGAATTTGTCAAAGTCTACAACAGGAGCTCAATAGCATGTGTGGAATAAATTGATTAAAGAGTAAATGATCTTTCACAAAAATCAAATATGTAACATCATATGGTGTCTTCCTATCACTCCAGTCAGGAATCTCTGCTGACAAACAAAAGCAATCAATAACAATATTTGGGAGTAGGAAAACCAACTACTATGGTCTCTAGAACAGTCCAGTTAAAATGGGCAACAAATGTGTAAAGAGAATCTATACCAGCCAAGATTTTGCCACACGAAGCCTTTATGAGAACCATTGTGTCTCTGTCCAGAGCGCTGAGATTTCAGCTGGAGAGACCTGGCTCTGCTTCAAAAACCAGGCAGAGCCAAGTAAGGCTGGAATACAAATGTTTGCATATTTTGTTATGTCTGATAGAGACTTCGGCTTCATCCAGGATCTCAGGAAAGTCACATTAAATTAGTTACAATTCACCCAGTTTAAATAAATTAAATGACTTTGTTCTGCCGAAGTTACCAAGTCTAAAGGAAGCAGCAGATGAAAGACAAAGGACTTGTCCGATGTTGGTTTTCCTCATAGCCCTACCTCTAATCACAGAGTGACCTTGGGCATGTGACCACACCCTTCTAGGCATGGACTTCTTGACCTCTGAGTTGAGTAGTTACATAATTAAGATGGAGCAGACCTTCAGTGAATCACCAGTGTGGGCAAGCACTTTCTCTCATTTAATCCTCTCAAAACCCTCTGAAGCAGGTATTATTATTCTCATTTAACACATGAGAAAACAGAGCTTAGAAAGGTAAGTGAGTTTGTTCAAGGCCACTCCATGAACATAGCATTGCCTGGCTGGGAAGTTCAATGTGTTCACAGCCAATACCACGGCTAAGGTGAGAGATAAACTTTCTCCCGCCCCCTTCCCATGACCTCTGGCTGCTGACAGCCTTCTTCACATGCATTTCCTAAGGACACTGGAATGTCATTGACACAAAGTGCCAATGTGCTATTTTTGTAATTTTCTAACATGACAAAAGTTATTTTAAATGTTCATGTAGTATAACACTAACTTATGCCTAAACTTCTCCTAAGACTCAGAGCTCCTCATAATAACTTGGTTTCTTAAGAGTCTCTTAAAGAAGAAGTTCCCAGAAGAAAGCCTGCAGCTTCTCCGCGAGTGGTCTCTTCTCCAAAAGGTGCTGCCGCAGCCTTTGCAACCTCAGGAGCCTGTTCTACTGACTTCCTCCTGTTCCTCTACTGAGGGGCTACTACACCATCACCCCCATCCAGGCAATACAGGGTCACCCACTCCAAGAGAGACAGCTGTGGAGCAGACACAAACAGTGTGACAGCCTGGCTGGAGTTGACCCTGGACAAATGGGGGAAGAGGGGGCTACTGTCCCTTTCTCACCCTGTCACACACCACTTGCGGGGTGTGTTAGCTCTGCTGCCTGGTCCTTTTTCATGTGGTTTCTGCATGAAAATGACCATAATCACATATCTAGCTTTAAGGTCTCTTCAAGTTGTTTCCATATTCTTTAGTTGATCACAATGACTGACAGTGTGCATTTTATTAGCCGGAAAGCCAAGGCTCAAGATGCTTAAGAAACTTACCTAACAGCAGCCATCCAGAAACCAACACAGACAGAACCCACCGAAGATCCCAAGTACAAATCCTGAGCTCTTTAAAGCAACTGAGGAACTGCTCCATAAACAGCAACTTTTGCTGCTCTGCAACACATGAGACTGAACCTGCCTTCCCCTACAGCTCTTCTCATGATAACTTTTCCACATCATCACATATACATTCAATATTTTAAAGCATGATTCTGTCTGTAGGAGGAAGAACACATTTGAGGCGAGTGTAGCGTTGGAAAGGAGGCAATGTATGATGGCAATTTTAACTAGGTTAAGTGATATACCATTCATCAACATGATAGTGCGGGTAACTGTTTATTTGTAGGATTATGAAATATCACCTCTTACCTTTTTCCACTTTGCCAGGTAGCTCTTAGCACTATTTCTTTTTTAACCAGTAATTGTGGCTATTCTCTCACCTCTTTCCCATCATGCTCTCCCTCCCAATGAACATTATTATCCCTGTGCCCCACCCTGCCACACTCCAGGGTGCTCCACAATAGAATCCGATACTCCGTATAGACAAGACACCAAACCCACTTATAATGAATTAAACACTTGTGTGAAGTATTTGTATTGTATGGAGAATATACCATGAATATTGAATATCCAAAGCAGCATAGAGGAACAATAGGCAAGTTTACACAGATTGGCTAACTGAAGTGGGCACTAGCAAGGCTGCAAGGCAAGAGACCCACGGAACTGATGGCAGCTGCCTGGAGGGACAGACACATGTATTCCTGACGGGGAACCCTGAGTCCTCGGAGCAGGACTCCCAGTACCTGTCCTCACCAGGAAGGCAAAGCATGCCCATTCCTAAGATGGGGTCACAGTGAAAGTTCACAGCTGGCCCTCTTGCCCTCTGCCTGGATAGATTCGCCAGCTGCAAAGCTCAGGGCCAGGCCCCCACCAAAGAAGTTACATACCATAGGCGGCAGAAAAGTCTAGAAGTGGCTAAATTGACAATGCTGGAATGCAAGTCAACACTTACACCATAAGGGAGATTAAAAAGTGAACTTCACCTGTTCTTGCTACTGAGTCCCAGCTCAGGATGCTTGAGTTTCTAACCTGAGAGAAAGGTGGGACCCAAGTAACCATGCACAGGTGGCCAGGGTGATGGAATAAGCTTTACCAGGTCCCTCCTTGGCTGGAGGGGAAACCGAGAAATGAGACACTCAGGAGAGGGCAGGCTGGGGACAGACTCAGAGCATGGCCCTGCCTAGCTTGGGGCCAACTAGAGTGCCCCAGCCGAGCTCCACCGCCTGGCCGCCCGACGCTGTCTAAAAAGCCCCTCGGAGCCCAGGAAGGGGAGAGGGCAGCCCTGTAGCCAGGCGGGACTCACCACGTCCATGATCTGCAGGAGGCTCAGGGAGAAGTAGACGGTGAGTGGTTGCGAGTCATTGGCCACGGGCCTCTCCAAGGGATTGTAGTTCTTGACCAGCTCCTTGTAAAGCTTCCTCTGGAACTCGCCTTGCAGGGACACTTAAGGAGAGAAGACCCGGGCAGGGGGCTCAGGGCAGGCCGGCGGGGGTACCCCCGACTCCCTCCTGCCGGCGTCCCCCGCCGCCCACCCGGTGCAGCCCAGACAAGCAGCCCCCGCAGCGCCCCCGCTGCCCCTCCCCGGCGGCGGGGAGATCCCAAACCTGGCCCAGGCGCGGGGCGCACAGAGGCGCCCGGGATGTGCCCGGGATCCCACGGAGGAGTGGAGGGCGGGGAGGCAGTGGCTTTACCGTGCAGGAGCGACGCGGCCAGCGCCAGCCAGACGCCTCCCGGCGAGCAGCGCATGTTGAGTCCCGGAGCTGCAGCGAGCCGGCGCGCTCCACGTCTCGGCTGTCGCCCGGGCCTGCGCCTGCGGCCACAGAGGCACCTCGCCGCTCGGCTCGCGCGCCTTTAAGGAGCCGGGCGCGCGCCCCCGCCCCGCCCGCCCCCGCGCGCCTCTCCACGTGACGAGCCCCGCCCCCGCCCCCGTCCCCGCCCCCCCATCCCTCCAGCCCGGGCCAGCGTCTCGGCGGCCACCCAGGGAACTGCAGCCCGAGGTGTGAGCGGGAGGTACTCCCGGCGCTGGGTACGCTCCGGGCACCTCCACCCCCAGTCTCCACCGAGCGGGCTCTCGGCCTCGCGCCTCTGGCCAGGCCAGGGGCTGCCCAAGGCCAGGCTCTACCTCTCCCTTGCGTTCTTTGTCCCCACTCAGCCCGCTCCCGCTCTCAGCCAGAAGCTGCGCTGGGCACTCGGGAGAAAGCCGGGACAATTCTGGGGTCCAGTCTTCCCGGACTCCCTCCTCCACGCCAGCGACCGGGTGGCAGCTATAGGGAACCAGGCTTCGGAAGTCTTGCCAACCAGACAAAACAGACCCGAGGAAGCCCCCCTCCTCCCGCTTTCCGCGAGCCCCGGTTTGCTTTCCGCACCGTTTGCTGGGCGCCAGCAGCCAGACTCTCGGCTGGGATCTGAAGTGCTGGAGGCACCCTGTCGGGGAGGAGAGATGCCGCCAATGTGTGTGATGGGATTCCCAGTGGTTACCCTAATGTATGGCTCATTCTTTTTTAAAGGAGATTAAAAAAGATTGAAAAGTTAACTCCTAACTCTTTGCTGGAAGGACAGCCAGAACTTGGTGTTCTTATCTAGGCTCTTTTGAGCCAGCGCATTGGAAAGAGTAAATGAGGAGAGGCTCTGAGAGGTCCAGGGAGTGCGGAGAGTTCTTGATGTTGAAGAGGGGGCTTGATTTTGGAAAGAGGAAGGGAGGGAGGAAGGCGCCAAGGGGCGGCTTCCAGGGTGGCTGAAGCTCCATCCCATTTGCTCCCTTCTGCTGAGCACAGCAGCGCCCTGCGTCCGCGTAGGGGGCGCTGCCACCTTCTTTCCTGCAGCCCCCGGGCATCCGAGCTCCACCAGAGCAACTCCCGTGGACCACGCAGCGGCAATGCCTGGGTTTCTGAACTGCCGAAAACCACGGGATTCTTTTAAGACTCCAAGAACTAGGGAAAGGCTCACCAAAAGGTGACTGAGCTTGACTGTACCCCAGTAGCAGGAATGGGGGACTGAGCCCAACTATTTGATTTGGAAGAATAACGCAGTATATTGCCCTTGCCATGAAGTGTCTTAAATGTATTACTGTTAATGTACACATGTTTAAACAAAGGGTCAGCATAGGCTTTCATAACTGCGGTAAGAGCCTAGAAGAAGGATTAGCTGTTTTTGGAGAGTGGTTAATAGAAGAGGTGACAGCTGAACTGGATTCACCTCAAAGGATAGCAGTCATTCTGCCAGGAGAAAGGGACGCCAGGGGTCCCTGGAGAGCAGACAGGCGTGCCCTTAGCTTCATCTGGCTCTTGAGTCCCCCTACCACTTCTAGCAGTCCGGACATCACAGAGCAGGCACTTGATGAATTAATTATCTACAGGGGATTAGTTGTTGGTAAAGGGAGAATTAGAAGAAGGGAAATAAAACCCAGTAGCAGAATAGAGAAAGCCCATGAAGCATCAGTGAAAAGATTCTCAGTGGCACATCCCCTGCACTGGTCATGGGACTGTAACAACACTCTTCTACGAGCGCTGAAAGTACCTAAGAGCCCTGTCTTCCCTTCTAGAAGAGCATGAGCCCATGGGGCCAAGGGAATTTATTGATTTTTTCTGGAGTATGGCTATCAGGATCACATTCCTGAAACCAGAACTGCTTCTTTACCGCCATTGCACCCCATAATATCAGAAACCTAGAAATAAACCATTTTCAGGTGAGACAAGCAATTCGTAAATATTTATTTGTCCTCTGTTCTCGCTAGGCACCTGGAGGACCTGCAAGCGCAGTCCACTCACTCAGCTTACAATGTAGGACTGCTGGAAGTTGGAAAATAAACTTCAGTCTCCCCTGTGCCATAGGTAGGTCTGTGAGTTTGGCTGTATTGACTCCCATCTATGGGACTCAGGTTTTTCATTTGTGAAACGAAGAAAAGAGCAGAACATTCTTGGAATAGAGCTGACGGGACTGTATAGGTTCTACACTCACTCCCGTTCCCAAAGCAAAAAAAAAAAAAACAAAAAAAAACAAAAAAAAAACAGCAAATAAAACATAGCAGGATGTGAATACATGCCTGGGCATACCAAAAATATAGATTCTATGGGTAAGAGGGAAATTTTAACACACTCTCAGGAGGTAAGGTGACCTTGGGCTTGGGGCCTATGAGAGGTGGGGAACTGGAACTGAGATATTCACATAAATCCAGAAATTGGTGTAATCTCCTTTCCAGTGTAAAAAAGACCAGGAAACCTCAACCATTAGCCAGGGAAGTGGAAGGAAGCATGTTTTCTGCTTGGGCTCCGGATAGGGGGAAAAAGATAATTACACATTTAAAAACCAAAAAGTGCATTAGGCTTAGGTGTGGAGTCCAAATGTGTATTATATGGTTTAGAATTCAAGAATTCCTCCGGAGGAAGATTTAGTAACTTTACACACATGGGACTCCAAAAAATGCCCCCAAATCGCAATATCCATGAAAATCAGTTCAAAATAAAAAATATAAACCATTCAAGGAAACAAACTCTACATCATCCTAGGCCATCGTCAATTAGGGAAAGTCAGTAGGCAGAGTAAACAGGAAAATGTGTGCCTCACAATTTGAGATAATAGGACACTGAAAAATAAACTATAAAATTTGTGGCCGGGTGCAGTGGCTCACACCTGTAATCCCACCACTTTGGGAGGCTGAGGCAGGTGGATCACCTGAGGTCACGAGTTCGAGACCAACCTGGCCAACGTGGCCAAACCCCGTCTCTACTGAAAATACAAATATTAATCGGGCATGGTGGCAGGCACTTGTAATCCCAGCTACTCGGGAGGCTGAGGCAGGAGAATCGCTTGAACCCGGGAGGCAGAGGTTGTGGTGAGCCCAGATCATGCCATTGCACACTAGCAGGGCAACAGAGCGAGACTCCATCTCAAAATAAATAAATAAATAAAAATAATAAAAATAAATAAAATTTGTACGTTTAAAATGGTAAAGCTAGTTATCATAGTGGGTGATGTCCATTGCAGTGATAATCCTCAATTCTCATTGGCTTACCACAATGAAAGTTTCTTTCTCCCTCACACCACAATCAAAAAGTTCAGATGACTTTGCTGGGTGGCTACCTTCCTCCCCAGGTCTTTCAGATATAAAAGATCCTTTCATTAAATGGAGAGTCAATGTAAGACAAAAGCACTATTCAAAGAATAAATTCTGAGAACTTTTCAATATTTACAAAAGACATCAAACCACAAATTCACTTGGTCATGGATTTGATTACTGCTGAATTTAATTTGTTAGTAGATTTTAAAAGAATTTTCTATGTATATCCATGAAGGATATTGCTCCATCATTTTCATTTCTTGTAATTTTATCATCTAATTTTGGTAGAAGATCTTATGCTTCCTCCTCCTCTACTTTCTGAAATAGTTTGTGCAAGATATAATTTGTTTCTTAAATGTTTGATGAAACTAACTAGTGGAACTATCTGTGTCTGGAGTTTTTGTGGAAAGATTATTTTCTTAACGTTAACCCAATTTTTAATAGATATGTAGTACAATTCAGTTTCTATTTCTTCTTGGGAAAAGCTTACTAAATTGTATTTTTTTTTACAAATGTGTTTATTTCATTTAAGTTATTGCATTTATTGACATAAAGTTGTTTATTATGTGCCTTTATTACCTTATGTATATATATAGGCTATGTGGTGATACCTCCTCTTCATTACTGTTTCAAGGAATTTGTGTTTTCTCCTGTTTGTTCTTGATTACACTTACTAAGGTTTAACGATATTACTAATCTTTTCATGGTACAACTTTTTGCTTTTTCTCAATTTTTTTTTTGAAATTTCAGTGATTTCTATTCTTGTGTTTCTTATTACCTTCTACTTATTTGGGGTTTAATTTGCTCATTTTTTACAAACTTCTTGAAGTGTAAACTGAGGTTGCTGATTTTAGATTCATTTCAAATGTAAGCATTTAAATATGCAAATTTCCATCTAAACACTACTTTAGTTGCCTCCTCCTAATTTTGATATGTTCTATATTCATAACCTCCAGTTCAAAATATTTTCTAACTTCTTTGTGATTTCTTCTTTGACCGATGATTTACTTCAAATTGTGCTTTTCTGTTTCCAAAACAGCACAGTTTTTTCTAGATATATACTATTCTTAGATATTGTCAGTCTCTCAAAATATTTGTTCTAATTACACTCCCAGCACAATGTATGAGTGATCTAGTTGCCTCACATAATTCATCCACTTGTCTTTGACTTAATTTCAGATTTTTTTGGCTTATGGGTAATTTGATCTCAATGTGGCTTTTAATTTGCATTTCCCTGATGACTAAAGAAGTGGAGCAGCTTTTCATGTGTTTATTGTTATTTTGGATATCCTTTGTGAACTGATTTTTCAGGGTTTTTTGTCCATTTTTCTATTGTGTTGTCTGCCTTTTTCTTATTTATTTGTAGGAATTAATTCTTCATTCAGAAGGAGTCCTTTGTCAGACATTGATATTGAACATAATTTTTAGAACTCTGGCTTCATTTAACTTTCTTAATGGTATCTTTTGGTGAATAGATATTCTTAATCTCAGTGTAGTCCAATTTATCAACGCTTCCAATCACAGTTTGCATTTTTTGTGTTGTGCTTTAGATCTCTTTGTCTACCCCAAGGTCGTGAAGGTAACATCCTATGTCTTCCTAGAGTTTTATGGTCTTACCTTTCATGTTGATATTTGTCACCCATCTAGAATTAAATTTTGTGTATGCTATGAAGTATGGTAGGAATAGGGATTCATTGTCTTATATGAATATTAAATTGACTCTATACCACTTAATGAAAAAGTAATCTTTCTTCCTGCATTGCCATGTCACCTTTGTGCATCACATAACAGTGTATATATGTGGGTCCAGTCTATTTGCTTAGACTTGCACCAATATCACACTCTTTTAATGACTATAGCATTATAGTAGCTCTTTATACATGGTAGTGTTAATTTTCCTCCTTTTTAGTATTTCTTCAAGATTGTCTTGAATATTCTTGACCCTTTTCATTTTAATAGAATAAAATAATTTATTTTATATTAACTTTACTGGGATTCTATAGAATTTTTAGATCAACTTGGGAAGGATTGATGTCTTTACTGAGTCCTGTAATATACAAACGTGATGTTTTCTTCCACTTATTTAGATCTTGTTTAATTTCTCACAATAATATTTTGTAGTCTTCAACACAGGTATTTTGGCACACTTTCATAAGAATTATTCATAGACATTGGTGTCTTTTGATGCTATTAAAATGACAGATTTTTTACATTTAATTTTAAAACTGTTGCATGTATAGAAATATACATGATATTTGCATATTGGTCTTTTATCCAGTGAAGTTCTAAACTCTCCTATTGATTATAATGGTTTTTCTGTAGATTATCCGTCCCAATCCTTATTCATCTATTTCTTTTTCTTGGCCTGTTTCACTCACTATGACACTAGCTGGGACCATCAAATTCAATACTGAGTAGAAGTCATAGCATACTGCTTTGTCTCATTTCTGGTCTCAGGCAGAAGGCCTTCAATAATTCACCACTATATTCGTTTCCTAGCACTTCCATAACAAAGTACTGAAAACTCGGTGGCTTAAAACATATAAATGTATTGTCTTACAGTTCTGGAGGCTAGGAGTCTGAAATCATGATGTCAGCATGCCCCTGCTGAGACTCTGGGGAGAACTTTCCTCGTCTCTTCACAGTTTCTGGTGGTGGTTGGCCATCATGGATGTTTGTTGGCTGGCAGCTATGTCTCTCCCATCTCTGCCTTCATCTTCCATTGTTGTTCTCCCTGTGTGTCTGTGTTCAAATTTCCCTCTTCTTATAAGGACACCAGTCATATTGGATTAGGCCCCAACTTAATGTCCTCATCTTAATTTGATTGCATCTGCAAAGACCCTATTTCTAAATAAAGTCACATTCATAGGTATTAGGGGCTAGGATTTCAACATATCTTTTGTTGGAGACATAATTCAACCCACAACAGCCACTAAGTAAAATGTTAGCTATAGTTTTTTGTTGTTCTGTTTTGTTATTTTATTTTTTAGATAAACCTTTTCACAAGGAGGAAATTCCCTTCTATTCCTACTCAGATAACAATCCTTAAAAATCACAAATGAGGGTAGAGTTACATCTTTGTAAAGTGTCTATTAAGATGAGATTGTTTTTATCCTTTTTTCATTAGTATTTTGAATTGCAATGACTTTTTATTGTTGAGTTAACCCTACACACAATACAAAGATCTACATTATTGATCAGATTTATATGAAATTCAAGTCTTGTTCAGCACCAAGCTTTACTAATGATTAGTAAAAGATGCAAGCAAGAGCAGCAACATGCACCACTTCAATATCTGGGAGACCCTGAGCTCTTCACACTCAGCTCTCTGTGTCTCCTTTTTCTACTCAGAGTGAATTTTGCCTTCAGAGTGAGGAGTGCAAACTGCATAGAGGACAAGTTAGTGCAAGAAAGCAACTGGGTTTAGTTATCACTCAGCTTTTATATCCTCCAAGGCAGGCAGCCCTGTACTGGCTACATGACTAACTTCTATTGTCCAATGCAGAACTGCAGCTCGTAAATTGCAGATCTATTTATAACAAATATTATAGACAAGCTAGGTGTTTTGTCCTGAAAGTGCTCCTGGATCCATAGTCTGTACCTAGCAACCCTTGCTGAAGTTTCACTTACGGTGTAGCTGGTGTGTTTCATCAGCCGTCCTTTGCTAGGAGTTTGGGTCACAATTAAAACTGTCTCAGAGGCTGGAGGAATGAGTTACAGACACACTGTTTACCCATTCCTTCCCATTTTGCAATTCTGAAAAGTAACACATTTGGTTATTATTTTTAAAAGTATTGTTGAATTTGTTTCACAATTATCTCCTTAGAACTTTACATTTATCTTTATCAAAGGAAACATGCCTCATATTTTCTTATTTTAATAATAAGCTTGTAAGATTTTGGTACCAAGATTATGCTGGCCTCATAAAATGAGTTGGGAATTATTCCCCATTTTTTATATTCTGAAAGTGTGTAAGCTTTGTGTTATGTATATATTTTCTCCAAAAGTTATTAGAAAAATTAACCAGGGAAGTCATCTAACTTGATATTTCCCTGTCAGAAGGCTTCATTTTGTAATTTTTTCCATGGAAACATATGAACAGAAAAATCAAGTCATAAGTTTCAGAAGTTTGCTTATCTGAGCACTTTTTAATACCACTTTGAAGATGTGTTAGATAATGCCAACATCTCATCATTGATGTCTGTTGCTTGTCTTTTCTAATGAAAGTTGAAGGTTTTTTTGTTTTATTCTTCAAATGCAATATAATTTTGGATTTTATACTGCACATTTTGAATATTATGTTGTGAGCCCCTTCTTGTTTAAATTTTGTTCAAATCCTATAAAAAGTGTTACTATTTATGTTTTAGCCTTCTGTAGGCTGTGGTTCCCATATCAGGCCAGTTTTCGAAGCCTTTCAGTAATATTCACATTTGTCCTAGACCTGTACCACTTACTTAGTGGTCAGTTAGGAAAATGAGCAAAGGTCTACTGGCTATCTCAGTTCTCAGAGTCTTTAGTGTGCTGATTATGATCAGGACCGTGAATGTACAGGTCAGAGGTGAGTCCTTGAGCTGATAAACAGTGTTATGGGGTCACTTTCCCAAGCTTGCGCTCTGCTATCTCTCCAGTACTTTCTGGTTTCCTGACCTTCTCTTTTTCAGTCCTCTGACCAAAAACTGCTCTGTTCCATAATTACAGTCTATACCGGGCCCATACAGTGCAGAACAGAAAGAAAAATGGAAACACCTGGGATTGACTCTACCCTCTTGGAACTATAGCCACACCAAATGCTAGAGGGAGATTCCCTCTCTCAGATACTTAACTCCTTCAGTTTTTCCATTGCTGGCTGTCTTTGCTCTTCCTGCTACCCACATTATACAATTGCCTGGGGCTAGGGTGCAAGAACTGAGGAAATGGGGAGAAAAAATGGGGGATTTCTCTCTCTTTCTCTACATTTCCCTTTTCTGGTCTTTGAGCCTGAGCTAGAGAGTTTCTGTTGTTTCTATTTCCGCACCTCAGTGCTTAGTTCTGGTTTTCTAACTGCGTTGAATTCAGACTGGGAAATAACGCAAGGAAAAAAAGATTAAACTCGCCAGCAGTTCATGTGTATTTTGATGGTATTCTGATGGTTTCTTCCTTTGATCTGCCTACTGATGTTTATTTTGCAGAGTTCCCAAATTGCTGCCTATGCATTCTGTTCAGGTTTTATAGGTTGTATTCAGTAGGAAAGGGTGTGTTTACCCCATCTTCCCTGGAACTAGATCTGGAAAGTTACTTTTCCGTTTTTTTTTTTTTTTTTGAGATGGAGTCTCACTCTGTCACCCGGGCTAAAATGCAGTGGCGTGATCTCGGCTCACTTAAACCTCCACCTCCCAGGTTCTAGCATTTCTCCTGCCTTAGCCTCCCGAGTACCTGGGATTACAGGTGCACGCCAAGGTGCCGGCTAATTTTTTGTATTTTACTAGAGGCGGGTTTCACCGTGTTGCCCAGGCTGGTTTCAAACTCCTGAGCTCAGGCCATCCACCCACCTTGGCCTCCCAAAGTGTTAGGATTACAGGTGTGAGGCACCGCACCCAGCTGGAAAGTTACTTTTTATATCTGCTATTTACTTAAGATTACCAGTATAATTTATATAGGCATAGTTAATTAATTTTATCAACATATGGTTTCTTAATTCACTCTCTTTCCCCCTACGTTTACTCTTTCTATAAACATATATCTTTACTTTTTAGTGAGTCTCTTTATATGGTAAGTTCTCTGCCATCGTATGTCTATAAATGTCTTTATTTTCCATTTGAATTGTGTATTTTTTGTCAGAATAAAGGAAAACGGAAAGCAGTTTAGACCAAGTGTACCACTTGATGAGTTATTACAAAATAAATGTCCCTTTAACTCCACCCATAAATTAGAGAGAACTTGGCAGCAACCACAGAAGGTTCAGGCCACCTTCCCAAGACAAGCACCATCCTCCCCTAACAAGACTAACTCCTGCTCTAGCTTTTCTGGAAATACCCTTATTACTCTTTATTATTATTTCATTATCTAGTTGAGGAGCCCTAAACAGTGAGTTTAGGTTAGCCTGATTTTTAAAAATTTCTCTCTGTATCTTCCTAAACTGAAAGATTTTTTTTTCATTTTAGAAACCAATCCTGTAGAGTCAAGATTCTGCTGATTCTGCTGATTGCATTCCCATGGTAGAGTTTAATGTTTCATTTATCCTCTAGATTTCCTGCAGATTAGTAGTTGAATCTATAAACTTAATCTGATTCAGATTTCACTTTGGGGAGGAAGATTACACCATCGGTGCTGTTGTGTTCATTGTGTTCATTGTCAAGAGGCACACAATATATACTTATCTTTCTTTCTTTCTTTTTTTTGAGACGGAGTTTCGCTCTCGTTGCCCAGGCTGGAGTGCAATGGCACGATCTTGGCTCACTGCAGCCTCCGCCTCCTGGGTTCAAGTGATTCTCCTGCCTCAGCCTCCCAAGTAACTGGGATTATGGGCACCCGTCACCATCCCCGGCTAATTTTTGTATTTTTGGTAGAGATGAGGTTTCACCATGTTGGCCAGGCAATCTCAAACTCCTGATCTCAGGTGATCTGCCCACCTTGGCCTCCCAAAGTGCTAGGATTACAGGCATGAGCCACTATGCCTGGCCTTATCTTTCTTTTTTTGTAATTAGTAGCAATAGATTCTTAGAAGCTAGTACTTAGATTTGTTTGATTTGTAGGTGTTGCAAAGTGGCAATGCTCCAGTTCTATCATTCCCTCTTCCTTTAAAGATATCCGCACATCTGCCATTAGCTTCTGAGTGGTAGTTTGCACAGGAAAGGAAGTATACATGTTCCCTTTATTTATGAGATTTTAACACAGATACCTGGTCCCTTAGTGTCCTATAAAGTTAACTAATCAGGTAGGGGTGTGTGTGTGTGTGTCCAGGTGTCCATGCCAACTGCCAACTTCAGATAGCATAATTCAACAAGAGTCGCAGCTATGGAGCTACAAAGTCCATCCCAGTATTTGTGATAGGCCATGTCTCACAACATCCTGCTTCTTGTTCCCAGGAAAACTGTTCCTAAGAGATGCTGAACTCTGCTGACAACCAACTTGGGCTCAAGGGCTCTCAATGCTCCTGCTGAACCTTTCTTCCTGGCAGTCCAAGACTCTTCAATGCCATGTTTCCTCCCTCCCTCCTTCACTTGGGATCAGATACACATTGCAGTCTGATAGATCTCCAGACTTCTCTAGCATGCGCCCTACTTTTTTCCCACAGGGTCTTTTCCTCCAATAAAATCCTTTCACATTTAATTCTATATTGGTGGATCTGGACTAATACAGTGTATCATTATGAGCTCACAGAGAACCCTGTTTGGTGTGTTTTGATTACGGTCGTTATCCTTACTGATCCTCAAGTTGCCCCATGGTTTGGTGAGTGCCTGTTCTACAGGTTGACTCCCAAGTTCCTTTAGCGCAATCCTGCTGGTCTTGGCTGGTGCCCTTGCTCTCTGTGGTACGATGATATTCTGAGCTCCTCTGTTTATTTTCTATATTTCCCACCCCAGACCTAGAATTAGCTATTTCAACTATTTCTCTAAGAAACTCTGGTACCTTTTAGTTGCAAATGTTATTTTTGGGCCTCGTCAGTGGACAGATTTAGGATACCTATCTATCTATGAAAAATATCCTATGAGTTCAAATTTAGGATTTCAGAGTGCTTACTTAATCTTTTCTATTTCACACTTGCAGCTTCTAAAAGTCTTGGTTCTGAAGGGCCCTGGGGATTCAAATAACACATGTATTGCTTATTTTCTTCATCTCACATTTCAAGCAAAACATAAGGAGAGTAGCAATAGCAACATTGTCACCAACATGATTATAGAGAAGCATTTAAAAATTGTTTTGCATATGCTTTTTCCATTTTCTCTTTCCCTTTTTAGAAAATTCTGCTTTCCACCCATTGTCAAAGTATATAACTATTACATGCTCTACTCTCCCTCATATCGCAGATTTCGTCTTAGCTCTCCATGGAAATATATATTTAATGCTCAGCCAGTCTTTATGCCACTGTCTCTCCAGTAATGTTCATTATTTAAACCTCATTCTCAGTACATTATGAAGAAAGGGCCCATGGAAAATATTCTGTATGTTATTCCATATGGATGACAGTTTGCTCCCTTTATACTTGAAAGTCAGTTTGTTAGGATATAAAATCCTCAGCTCATTTTTTAAAAAGTTGAGTATCTTTATAATGTTCCTTTTATTCTGGCACAAAATGCTGCTCTTGAAAGTCTGATAAGCTAATTTTCTCTTTGTTTTACATCACTTTTTTCCTTTTTTTCCCCTAAATATTTAAAAAGAAAGAGAAAGGACATTTTCTTTTTAACTGTGTTTTGGTGTTGGTTGTTCTGAGTTGACTTTCCCAGGTATGCAATTTATTATTTCATTGTTTCAAATCTCTTGTTTATAAAATATTTTTTTCAACAAAATGCCATTCTTAGTACTTGTTTTCTTCCCTTATTTGGGATTTCTTCTTGGACCTGTATGTTGTGTTTTTTGTGGTTGGGGTGGTAGTCTTTTATATTATCACTTTCACTCAAATTCTTGGCATATCTTTAAAAAATTTTTTTTAAACTGTCCTCTTTTTCCACTTTTCTTAAGACACTATGTTGTGATTATTTGCATTTCTGTTGTGTTTATTTATAAGATTCTGTTTTTAAGTTTATTTTTCCCTGAATTCTATCTTTTTTTTTTTTTTTTTTTTTTTTTTTGAGACAGAGTCTCACTCTGTCGCCCAGGCTGGAGTGCGGTGGCGCCATCTCGGCTCACTGCAAGCTCCGCCTCCCGGGTTCATGCCATTCTCCTGCCTCAGCCTCCCAAGTAGCTGGGACTACAGGTGCCCACCACCATGCCCAGTTAATTTTTTGTATTTTTAATAGAGACAGGGTTTCACCGTGTTAGCCAGGATGGTCTCGATCTCCTGACCTCATGATCCACCTTCCTTGGCCTCCCAAAGTGCTGGGATTACAGGCGTGAGCCACCACGCCTGGCCCCTGAATTCTATCATTTAATTTACACTGTTCTTTTGTTTTTTCCATCTATTTTCTTAGACAATTACTTTAAAAGTTATAGGATATAGATTTCTATAAACAATCAAAGTGTATCCCTCTGTTGGTACACTTTTAATCCTTTCATCAAAATGTCGTTCTGGCAAGCATTTAACATTTTTTCCATAGAATGTTTGCATTCCTTTGATTTATTTCCCTGTTACTATCTTTACATGACATTATAGTTCTAAATTTTCAGAATGGAGGCATGATTTAGAAGCGTTTCTTGTATCACAGCTCTCGAGTACTGTGGTAGTTTTGTAATGTGCCTATTTGACAAGGCCAAACTGTTTTTCAGAATTCCCTTCACTGTATTTTTTTGGCTCGACTAGAGAGGTTTTTGGGGGAGCTTTGGAAGGAAGACCTGGAACACCAGCCATTTTGAAGCTTACAGGTATTGGAACTGATCTGCTGACTCACTTTCTTGGTGTGAAGCAGTGGCTGGGCTTCATCCTCCACTGGATCTTCCTTCAGCTTCTGCATCTTCTGGGCCAAGCATGTGTTTAGCTCCATGACACAGAGCCACAGCTTCTGCAGGATACCACTTCCACTAATGTCGGGGGCAGCAAGTCTGACCCAGATGTCATCCCATCCTCACAAGGTTCCAACATGTGCTTGTGAGTTCCTGCTTGCTGTTGCTCTTCCCCACTGTACAGACATCTTCCCTTCCTGGCTAACTGCCTCGGTGTGAACTCCAGACTGCAGCTCCAGAGGCAAATATAACAGCTTCTCAAAGGCTGGTGAAGCAGCTCCTAAGATTTGCTGTTACACAATCATGCACACAAACACGCACACAGACATGCTAGTGGTGCTGCTTCTCTGATTGAATTGTGACTGCTAACACAAGTGACCTGTTGTTTTGAGAAAGTGTTCGAAAACATGGCATTTTGCTTTCTAGGAGTCTGACTCTATTCGCCTCCCCAGTCATAACTGGATTTTAATTCCCGTTTTCTCTATTGTTATCTCCATCCAGTTCAATTTGAACTCTGCCCTTCCAGTTTCCTCCTATTTTGGGGCTTTGTCCTGAAGGGAGGTTTGCTTATTATTACTGAGCGTTTTCAGGACCTTGTCTGCTCTGCTGTCCTTTCTGAGATATTCTGGCTCTCCCTGGCTTTAAGAATGAGCAAATCCTTCCCAATTCCAGCTGCTTTCAAAAGTTGGCCTTCTGGGGATTTCCAGAAAGTAGCCATTGGCAGGGTGTATTAGTCAGGGTTCCCTAGAGAGACAGAATTAATAGGATAGATGTATATATGAAGGGGAGTTTATTAAGGAGTATTGATTCACATGATCACAAGGTGAAATCCCACAATGGCCGTCTGCAAGCTGAGGAGCAAAGAAGCCAGTCCTAGTCCCAAAACCTCAAAAGTAGGGAAGCCGACAGTGCAGCCTTCAGTCTGTGGCTGAAGGCCCAAGAGCCCCTGGCAAATCACTGGTGTAAGTCCAAGAGTTGAAAAGCCGAAGAACTTGGAGTCTGATGTTGGAGGGCAGGAAGCATCCAGCACAGGAGAAGGATGAAGGCCAGAAGACTCAGAAAGCTAAGTCCTTCCAAATTCTGCCTGATTTATTCTAGCTGTGCTGGCAGCCAATTAGATGGTGCCCATGCAGATTGAGGGTAGGTGGGTCCACCTCTCCCAGTGCACTGACTCAAATGTTAATCTCTTTTGGCAACACCCTCGCAGACACACCCAGGAACAATACTTTGCATCCTTCAATCCAATCGAGTTGACACTCAATATCAACCATCACACTGGGCTTGCCATGTAATTTTTGTGAGACCCAATGTAAAACAAAAATGTAAAACCCTTGTTCAAATTAAGAAAGAAAAAATGTTTTCCCTTTTTTCTGTGATCTCTCTCCGAACCTGTTCTGGTGACTTTTATTTGCTGTTTAATGTTGTACTCACTTGAGCCCAGGAATACCTGTGGGGTGAGTGCAAACCTTTATAGGCCCCAAAGCCCCAATCCACAGTTCCCTTCATTGGGGCGCACATGCCCAACCCCAGGCCTCCTGGTGCCAGGTCCCCACAGGAGATGAAGCGTGGCTGAGGTCCTTGGGCAGAGGCAGGGAAGCAGAGGGCTGAGAACACATTATGCAGAGGCAGGGAGGCAGTGAGACCCAGGGCCACACAGGTGCTGAGTCTCCAAACCCCTGGTGCATGCTCCATGTACTATTGGACAAGTTTAAAGATGAACTCATTAAGAATTTCTAGACAGCAACTGCTGATCAATCACTAACTTCCCAGTGAGAGCCCCTTCTGGGCACTGGTGGCAGGGCCTTAAAGTCAGGCCTGCCTTCTAGTCAGTCATACTGAAGGCCTCAGGCCTGTCAGACAACCATTGTTCTCTCTTCTGCCAGAGCCGTGCATGTCTTTTGGAGGTCAGTGGTTCATATCTCTCCTCTTGTGTTTTGAGCTCTTAGGGACACTGGGTTATCTAGCTTTACCGTAGGAGATAGCTACTGAATTTGTGTTTTGCTGTCTCCATTTCTGTGTGTTCATGGGGGCGCCTAGAGAAATTCAAAAACAATACTGCTACTTGTACCATCTTCCAAAAACCCTTGAAAAATTTTTTAATCTGTATATAAAATTCTCGTTTGATACTTGTTTATATTCAGTCCTTTTGAAGATATTATTCACAATGTTCTGACAATTGCTTTTGCAAACTCTATGACCATTCTCTGTCATTCCTAGGTAGCTACCTTATCTTTTCTCTTCAAAAGCTTTTAAGATTTTTTTTTCCATCTTTGGGTTCACTAAGACATGCCTTGGTGTGTATGTTTTTATTTATCTCACTTGATACTCCTAGTCAATTTTAATTTGAAAGCTCCCTTACCTTACAAAATATCTGAATTCTCTGTTGTAAAATTGCTTTTCTGCCATTTCCTTTGGTTTCTTATTCTGAAATTCCAGCCAAATTTATGTTGGAAACTTTTACTTTTCCTTTGCTTTCTAATCACTGTCCTTTCATTAACTTTTATTTGTCTCTAACTCTGAGGTTGGTGGTGGGTGTGTGGACTGTATTTCCCTATTTGCATGGGATAGTTTGGTCCCTGCATGTTGTCCCTGTGAAATTACTATGCCCTTTTCACTTTCAAAAATTTCCCTGTTTAGAAGGTCCTCACTATGATCTATGATCGGTGATCCTCACTTTTACTTTGAATTCATTAATCATCTAAAATGTATTCATTCTGTCCATTGAGGTTTATAAATGTCATTGTCTATATGTTTTCACTTTTATTATTTTTAATTGTTTGAGTCCACTTAATCTTATTTCATTTCCACCTGTTTTGTTTCTAGGTTGCCTCTTTCCTGGTCCTTAGCCAAGGGAAGCAGGCTTTTGTTGAGACTTTTTGTTTTGTCTGTACCTGTTGGCAGTGTTTGGAATATGCAAGGCAGAAATAAATCCCAGGGAGCTCGCTGCTGAGTTATTTTTCTGTCCTGACATCCCTAGTTGGTCTCCCTTTTTCTCTCTCCCCTTCAGCATCTGATGTTTGTTTTCTGTATAATGTTCAGGGCTTAGCTGGAGAAATGGGGAGAACTCTGTCATTCCATTTGGTTCCAGAACTAGTTGCCCCTGCTGCCTATTTTTATGATGTTATTATTTTCATTAGTTTTTTCAGTGAAAATATGCTTTATTTATTGGCATTTTGTGGGAAGAGGCTAGACTTTCTTAGCATAAGAATTCCTTATGTGTTTGGGAACTTTATTTTCCATGTCCCTCTCCTCCCTATTCTACTATACCTAACAATTTTGCAACTGACAATATCTACATCCTTGGACCCTCAGTCCGAAACCACATTTCATCTTATTGAGTCCAGTGTGTGTTTCTCTGTGAACCTGGGGGCATTGCATATACCATCCCCAGGTCAGCAGAGGCCAGGTCCATGTCACGGTTCAGTGCTCCCAATTGGGGTTCACACTTCCCAGCTGTCCCAGGAAGCAGCAGCTTCTCCCCACCCTTCAAGAGCAGGAGGCTGTGGGGGCAGGAGGTCATTTTAAGCACTGAGATGGCTCACTTCCCATTCTTCCTGGGTGCCAGAGGCTTCCATCAGCTCTGCACCTTCTGCTTTTCTAGATTTCTCAGCCACAGATATGCTTTTCCTGTTTTACAGCCTGGTTACACATTTTTAGGTTTTATTCCCATGCATATTTTATCTATGTGATTAGAGAAGAGGGAGCCTTCAGCACAGGCTCTTTCAGTGCTGCTTTGACTTGAAGTTGAGATTCCACATTTAGCCCATCAAATAAGGAAAGATGAAGAATTTTGATGAAGGCCAAAGTCTGAGGGGCCTAAGAAAAGGTGCACTCACATGCACGGTTGTTAGGAGAGGAATTGAGAATATACATGAAAATTTGAATTTGCATCCTATTTAACACAATAATTTTATAAATTAGCCTACAGAATACAGTGAGTAATATATACATTTAAGATATATGTTAAAATATTTATTACAGTTTTGTTTACATTAACAAAAAAGAACAACACATTTCCTAAAGCCCATTGATGTGGTTTGAATGTATGTCCCCTCTAGATCTCATGTTGAAATGTAATCCCCAGTGTTGGAGGTGGTGCCTGGTGAGAGGTGTTTGGGTCCTGCGGGCAAAACCCTCATGGCTTGATGCTGTCTTCACAATAGTGAGTGAATTCTTGCAGGATCCAAAAGAGTGTAGCATCTCCCCTCCCTCTCTAGCTGCTGCCCTTGCCATGTGAAACACCAGCTTCCCCTTTGCCTTGTGCCATGACTGTAAGCTTCCTGAGGCCTCACCAGAAACCAAGAAGATGCCAGCACCACACTTCCTGTACAGCCTGCAGAACTGTGAGCCAAATAAACTTCTTTTCTTCATAAATTATCCCGCCTCAGGTATTTGTTTATAGCAATGCAAAAATGGCCTAATGCACCCATCATGAAGAGACAAGTGGATAAAGGATGGCATACCCATGAACTAGAATGCTTTGTAACCTTAAAAGAGGGACATAAATATGTACACACAGATAAGTGAATACACACAAAAAACTACATATTAACAAAGTTTATGAAACATAGAATATTATCTCATTTGGGTAAAACAGTTCTAAAAGCCAATTAAATAACTGTTGGCAGTCATTAATTGTAGTGATTGGAAATGAGGTAAGAGGCACTTTTACCTTTGTACCCTTTCATAATGTTTGCAGGTTTATTAACATACCCTTAATTGTGCTGTTATATTAAAAACTAGCCCTTATTGCTGGTGGTAATGTAAAATGGCATAGGTACTCTAGAAAATAGTTTGGCAATTTCTTATAAAAGTAAATGTATGATTAGTACAGACACAGCACTTGCACTCCTGGGCATCTATCCCAGATAAATGAAAACTCATGTTCACACAAAAACCTGTAGACACATGTTCATAGTTACTTTACTTTTAATAGCCCCAAACTGGAAACAACCCAAACATCCATCAATGGGAAAATGGTTAAATATAACTGCGATATATCACTACAGTGGATGACTACTTAGCAATGAAAAAGAATGACATTGATAAACACAAAACAGCTTGGACAGATCTTAAGGGAATTATGCTGAGTTTAAGAAAAAACAATCCTAAAAGAGTACATAGTGTATAATTCCATTTACATTTTATCCTTTAGATGGCAAAATTATAGAAATAGAGAACAGATTAGCAGGTGCCAAGGGCAAGGGATGGAGGTTGGGGGTGGACAGGTGGGTGTGGCTGTAAAAGGACAGTATGGGGGAGCCTTGTAGTGATGGAACTGTCCTGTATCTTGACTGTGGTGGAGGATGCATAACTTATGCATGTGATAAAATTGCACAGAACAAAACACACACACACAAATGAGTACATGCATGTAAAATTGGGGTAATATATACTTTTGAGATGTTACCATTGGGAGAAACTAGGCAAAGGCTACACAACATATCTCCATATTCTTTCTTACAATTACATATGAATCTAAAATTATGCCAACATTTTTAAAGTTTAATGAAAAAAGAGCAGTTATTTAATAGTGTGATTTTCTTTTCCATACAGATTGCATGAATTTCTTTGTTGGATTTTACTAAATATTTTAGAGATTTTGTTTCTATTGTAAATTGAGTCTTACTGTCTATTACATTTTCTTAACAGTTATTACTGGTTTCAAGGGATACCATTCATTTTTATATGCTGGTCTTGGATCTGGAAATGTCTCCAGATTCTCTTTGTTGTTCTTACAGCTTGTCTATTGAGTCTCTTTTTCTATGGGTTTCCAATGCAAATAGCATTTAACTGTAAAGATGTTTGTAAGAATGCATTGAGAAAAAAACCATGTAAGTTTCTTCTTTATCTGCACTCGTAAAAAAATTACACTGGTAGATTTTTCTGATAATAAAATAATATGATGTTGAATCATTTCTGATGGCATTCTTGCTTTCCTGGTATAAATGCTTCACAATCATTTTGTTTCATTAATTTAAAAATACACTCGGGTTTAATTAGCCTACTCCATTATTCCATTTCTGATTCTGAGTGTATGTTCACCCATGAAATCGGTCTGTCATTTTCTTTGCTTGTAATTTACTTGCTCTGTTTTGGTAGCAAGGTTATGAACTGACTTCATTAAATGAGTTTGGAAGCTCATCTTCAAGTTCTGTTTTCCATAACAGATTATTTAAAATATGGGTTACACATTCTTTGACAGTTTGGTAGAATTTACCCATGTAATATTGTCTGGGTTGGCAGCTTCTGGGCAAGGAGAAAATTTGATCACCATTTAAATATTTTTATTTGCTATTGGCCTTTGTAACATTTTTCTTTCTTTTGGTACCAAATTTGTTACTTTAAGCTTTTTCATAAAATTTTTTACTTCATCTAGTTTTTTTTAACTTGGTGTATAATAGTTGGACATATTTTGAGGTACATGTGACATTTTGTACCTGTATACAATGTGTAATGATCAAATCAGGGCAATCGGGACATCCATTACCCCAACCATTTATCTTTTTTGTGCATGTTGGGAGTATTATAAATCTTTCAGTTATTTTGAAATATGTAATAAATTATTGTTAACTATAATTTTTCTACTGTATTGTCAAATGCTGGAACTTATTTCATCTATCTAACTGTATCTTTGTATCCATTAAGAATTTTATATTTAGTCCTCTATAGCTGTTCATAAAATTGTTGTCAAAAATGTTTAAATCAAATTGTTTTTCAAATGTATATAAAATAAATACTTCACTCTCTAAGAGGAGAGTACTTCCAAGCCATTAATAATATCCCATTTTTTTCCCAGATACTCTTCAAATGGAATTCTTAATCTGGTTTACTTGTGCTCTTGTGGTTGAAACATCCAACTGTCATCCTAGAGTTTTCTCTTTTCATCATCTGGGGATTCTTCTTTGATTGTTTTCTGAAATTTTTTTGGTCCCATACTTACCTCTTTCTTCTATTACTGCCACATTTTAGTATAGCAAATACTTTTAAGGAAGCGTGCACAAGAATTGGCAATCACACGCTTTGAGGCCTAGCTGAAAGCATCTTCACTGTGTCCCCATATGAGATTGACTGACTGTTATACAGAAGTCTGGATTGGATATATCTTTTCTTTAGTAGGAAGGTCAAGGCATTGTTTATTGTCTGAGGTCATTTCCACGAGTCACCTTTTTTATTCGTCTTTTTAAAATCCATAATGTTGCCTCTTCCCCTGATATTCCAAAATACCACAGTGGTTAGTTTCACGCGATTCCACATCTTACACTGTGTGCAGTGGGACCTTTCAATCTGGAGGCTTATGCCCTGAGAATCTGAGAAACTTTCTAGTATTATTTCATTGTCATTTTTCTTCCTTTTTATCTGTCCTTGCCTTTCAGAAGTGTAATTATTTGGATATTGGCCCTTCCAGAGGTATTCTTTTCCCTTATACTTCATTTGTTGTTTTGCTTTAACTTTCTGAGAGAACAATTCCACTCTATCCTCTGGCCCTTCAATCAAATATTTTGTTTTTCCCATCACACTTTTTTATTTCCAAGAATTTTTTTCTGCGTGCTTTTTAAAAGCATCCTGCTTTATTCCTTGGCCTCACTCCCCACAGGCACTTAGCTTTCCGTGGACTTAGTTTGTAACATTAAGAGATGTTACAAACTTTTAAAAGTGTGAAAGTAAACTAATGGAGCTTCTCACTTTTAAAAGTTTGTAACATCTCATATCATCTTATTTGCTCTGTCCTTTTCCACTGATGCTTTACTTTTTCTCTTTATTCTGATTTCAGTGAAATTTTAAATATAGGCTTAATCTGTCATGTTTAAAAGAAGTTTCTTATAATTAAAAAAATCTAGTACATTTATGTCAATTCCTTTCATTGATATTCCACTTATTTGCATTTTAATTTTTGGGTATAACTTTGCCAGATAGCACTCTGCATAATAATCTTCCTTTTAATAACCAGGCTTCATTTTTATAGTAATCTTCTTTAAGGAAAATTGAAACAATGGCTCTAGAAGTTTGTAAATTACTAAACAAATTCTGAAAATAAAGCACAAGTTTGGACAGTTATCCTACCTTAAAATAACACATAGTACAAAACTATTGTAATAAAAAATAATGTGCTACTAGAACAGGAGTAATAGAATAGCCTGGGCAGTGCAGGCACAGCCACCCATATATTCAGGGATACAGTGTATGATGGTGGTTGCATTACCATTCACAAGAATTTGTTTATTACTGCATAAATGGTGTTGCATAAACAGACTGAGTGCCCACTGAGTGAAATGAAACTGGATTCCTACCTTACATGTGAACAAAAATAGTATTGAAAAAGTTAAAATTCTATAAAGAAAGTAAATCTGCTAAACTAACGGGTGAAGATGCAGAATTCCTTTGTGAACTCAGCTGGATAAATCCTCCTTAACAAGATCCAAGAATCACACACACGGAAAGGAAGGATTGATGGACATCACTCACTCAGAATTTATTTCTGTGTAGCCAAGGTAAAGTTAACATACAGATAACAGATGGAGGTCTACTATTTTAAGTGCCTAAAACACACAAAGTACTTCTGCAAATCAGTATGGAAAAGGCAACCATCCAATAGAAAAAGAATGGACCATGGACATGAGAAAGCTCTTCAGGTGGAAAACCAGACAGAATACCTGCCAACCGATGCATGTATGCTTAACCTCACCATCTGAGACATGCAACTCCTAACATCATATTGCCGTACTGACATCAGAGTGGCAAAATTAGAAAATTTGATCATGTTAAATCCTAGTGAGGATGTGGAGAAATGGAAACCTTTGTTTACTTTGGAAATTGAAAACCAGTGAAGCCATTCTGGAGGGCAATCATTAAAAATTATGTATGTGTATGCCACCTAACCTGGGAATTCTTCTCCAGGATGTATCCCACAAAGAAAATCTCAGTGGTAAGCACAGAGAGACCTCTACAAAATTATGCATTCAGCCTTGGTTATGAGAGCAAAGAGCTGGGGTTAATCTGAAAGCCTTCCTTACAGAAATGGATAAGGATGTGTGTTGCACTGTTTAGATCTCAACAGTGGTCCATGTAAGGAATTAGATTTATATATATCCACATATGTGTGACTAATAAACAAAGCATTATTTACATTAATCACATGAACACACAACTACTCTATATCCTACATATATTTACATGAATATATAAAAATGGTTTGAAAAGATTCTCTTTAGATAGAATGTATGTACATTGTGAAGGTCAGGGTAGGGAGTGGAATGGGAAAAGGAATGATGGATTAAATAACTAACAGAAAGAAAAGAAGGAAGGAAAGGATGGAAGGAGAGAAAGAAAAGAGAGAGCAAGAAATAGGAGGAGGAGAAGGGAGGGAGGGAGGAAGGAAGGGAGGGAGCGAGGGAAAGAAAGGAGGGAAGAAAAGAAAGAAAAAAGGGAACTTTGTACAGACTGATGGTAAGTGTGCCATAAACTGGGGCATATAGTCTAGTTAATTTTGTTCATCTGTAATTTTTTTTTTTTTTTGAGACAGAGTCTTGCTCTGTCACCCAGGCTGGCACAATCTCAGCTCACTGCAACCTCTGCCTCCTGGGTTCAAGCAATTCTCCTGTCTCAGCCTCCCAAGTAGCTGGGATTACAGGTGTGCCCCACCACGCCTGCCTAATTTTTGTAATTTTTTAGTAGAATCGGGGTGTTACCATGTTGGCACCAGGCTGGTCTCAAACTCCTGACCTCAGGTGATCCACCCTTTCACCTTCCCAAAGTGCTGGGATTACAGGCGTGAGCCACTGCGCCCAGTCCATCTGTAATTTTAGAAAACAAAACCAGTTATAAATTGGATGCTAGTGACTAAAAGTCATCTGTGGAGAAATTCACAGCCCAGTTGGAGAGTTGGATAATACAGCTACAGAGATGACCATTATTCTCAGGACGACAGTAATCTTGCCACCCAGTGGAACATTACTATGTAATATGACAGAAAATCTATCAGGGGAAAACAAGACTGTGACCTTTTAGTAATCTTCCAGGGAAAAGCGTTTTTCTATATTCCATTAGCCCTGAGATTGATGATCTGGGGTTAAAGTAGAGGATCTCAAATCATGTGCTTGGATTACACAAGAGACTGGAGATTGATGGAGGGCTGCTGGGTGCCCACATCCAACCAGCTTGCGTTCCATCCAAAGTAGAACTGAGAGTTGATTGAAGAGCCCTTGTTGTGCTGTGTCATGATGCATCGTGATGGCTGAGGACAAAGAGACAGGGGAATGAAGTGCCTAAGTCCACACTGGAAACTAGTAGTTATGAAGGCCCTATTGTATGCCAGGTGCTTATGGAGACTATAAAAATTAATCTTCATGACAAACACAATAGGCAAGCATTCTCATCTGAAATTTTACAGATAGGATCAAGAGAGGTGATGTAAATTGCACAAGGTCTACTGGTAAAAAGAAGCTGAGGTCCAAGGTCAAATATTTTTGACTCTTTTCAATATATAGCACCTTATCTTCATCCCTAAAAGGCTAGAGTTGCATTCTGTTATCCACATGGACTCATCCAGTGCTAAGATTTTATCTTATTAGGCATGCCCATTACAGGGTTTCCCATGGTTGTGCCCATATAGACCTTTCTAAGAGGACAGCCTTAGGTACTCATGTCATGACCCCCACTCCCAGTTCATAGCTGATGGACTAGAGTCTGGTGATGGGCTGAAGGTAACCACACTAACAGGGGTCTAAGGTGTGGTCTGGAATGGAAAGATTTTCCCTGGCAGGGTTAGGGATATCAGTTGAGCAAGGTAGGTTCTACCTGTCTGGAATTTGAAGTGAGAAGTTTGGTAGCAATGAGCTCCTTGGTAGGCAAACAGAAGGTGGCTCCGCACAGGGAGGAATGGACAGACAGCATAGAGCTGAGTGATCTGCCAGCGGAACCCTGGAGTGGAGGTCCTGGGACTCCCACTGCTGAGGATGTCAGTCTCCAGCATTAACACTCAGGATGCCATCCCACTCAAGTCTCCCTGGTGGCCGGCCTGGTCTTCCTGACCTGGAAGTGAAGCTTGGTTGTTCAGTTTTCTCTGAGTTCTTGTGAAGACCTACCCCATGGTTAAGATTCCTGTTTTCCATTTTCTTAAATGAATCCTTAAAATATATTCCCACTTACGTGAGGTGGGGTGAGAAAATCTGTTCCATGAAGCAAGCAAGCCCCAATGAATCATTGCTTTGATTTCTTAACTTTCTAGAAGGTGGACTCCAGCTTTGATCAAGAAGACACAGTCAAGCATAAGAACATATAGCTAGGCTGGGCGCAGTGGCTCACACCCGTAATCCCAGCACTTTGGGAGGCCGAGGTGGGTGGATCACGAGGTCAGGAGATCGAGACCATCCTGGCTAGCAAGGTGAAACCCCGTCTCTATTGAAAATACAAAAAATTAGCTTGGCGTGGTGGTGGGCGCCTGTAGTCCCAGCTACTCAGGAGGCTGAGGCAGGAGAATGGCATGAACCCGGGAGGCAGAGCTTGCAGTGAGCCGAGATCATGCCACTGCACTCCACCCTGGGCGACAGAGCGAGACTCCGTCTCAAAAAAAAAAAAAAAAAAGAACATATAGCTAGAGGGAGGGCTTCATGCTTCAGTTTTCAATGGCTATGAGCCACACATGGTGGGGTAGCCATGTACCCCCTCACATGGCTTGTGGAGGTAAAGTTGAGAGTGTGGTTCTGACTTAGGAATGTCAGTGAATTAGGGTGCAGGGGTTGTGTTGTGTAAGGATCAGGAGTGAAGAAGGAGTTGTTTAGGGAGAATGGGAGCCTGTGATGGGTGGGATGACATCTCAGGATATATGTGGGGCATGTACTCAGGGTTCCAGGTAGTTAATCTTGGTAGTGGTTGTTTTATGAGCACTGGTTAGAAGGATAAAGAGAGGACATCTCAATAAATCTAGTAAGAAAATAACCATAATACTTTGATTACAAGTAGAGTGACAAACCATCCAGATGTGTCTGGGACCGAAGGGTTTCCTGGTATGTGGGATTTGTAGAGCTGAAACCAGGAGAGTACCGGGCAAACCAGGATGCTTGGTCAATTCCAGAACTTGCAAGTGACAGAAACCCAACCCTCACTAGTTAAGCAAAAGCAGATGATTTTTTGACTAACAGGGAGGAAAGCCCTGAAACCTAGTTTGCAGAGTTCCATATGGAAAGGATTAAACCATTCAAGGAGCTCCTGCCTTGACCTTCCAGAAATTTCACCGATCAGCATGAGGAGCTTTTGTTAATCACCCATGCCCAGCCTCCTAGAGATTCTAACCCCATTGTTCTGGGCCTGGGATTCAGTGCTTTTTAAAAACCTCCCTTACGTGATTCATATATGAAATCACTGCTTTTCAGGAATAACAGGATAAGCCCATTGTTCTCAAACTTTTCTTCCCATTGCAATCATCTGAAGGGCTTAAAAAATGCCCATGTTGGAGTTCCATTCCCCAGAGATTGTGGTTTAACTTGTCTGGATGTGGCCAGGGTTTGGGGAGTTTCTGAAGATCAGCAGATGATTGTAACTTGCATACCCACAAATTTGGGATCCACTCCTAGACCCTTTCCCAGAATAGCCCCAGAATTCAAGCAGGGGAAGAGTAAGGATGTGTGGGTACTTTAGTCATCAAATAAATCAGCAAAAATCATTTGCAAACCCTATGAGCTAGCTGAAGGTCTGGTCTTGTTATTCTGCCTGAATGGAGCATGGGTACAAGTGATTAGAAGACTTTGCAGGCAGCTGGGATGGGACCCTGGCCAGACAGAGGCTGACTTTTCCATGATCCTCTCACTCTCTCCATGATTTCATGATTGTCAATCAAGGCTTCTGATAGATGTGCAGTTGAAGTCCTAGCTCTGGAACCTATGAACTTACTTGATATCAAATCATCCTCAACTTTGGTTTCCTCAGTTCTAACATGGGGATAATACCACATACAGTGGAGGACCTATATGAAGTAGTGATATGTAGCTAACATAGAACAAATTATTAGTATTTCTTTCTCTCACCACTTTGAATATCTTAGTCCCTCCAGGGACTTCCTTTAGTAATGGAATATGTGTCTGCTATTGTACAATCTCAATCTGACTCTTAATTTCTCAGAATTTATGAATTGGCAGCTGCAGAATGTTTGAATCAAAGCTGAAGTTTTCAAAGAGAATGACTATGGGATTCTGCAGTTTTGATTTTAATATCCTGAAAATGCAAATCAAGGCTTGTGTGCAAACGTAATTTTCAAATATCATGACTCAGCAGATCTCAGATTCCATGATTCTGTAGATATTCAAAACCCATGACTTAGTGATTCTCTGATATGATGGCACCGATTTTCTATTTTAGTGATCAATACACAGAAAACATAAATGTGAACCTCTAGCAATTGTGCAAAGGAATGTTCATTTCTAGAGCCAGCCTTAACTTGTTTGACCATGAATGAAGAGGGTTGTATCTGCAGCTGCGAGACTCATGTACCTGAGGCTTCCTTAGAGGATTCGATTCTACAGTTCCAGCTCATTGAAGAAATAGCATCTATCAGAACAGTTGAAATTCCAAATTGAGATTAATTTTTGTTTGTCCTTTTTAAAGATAATGGATACTGCTTAGGCAATAATCGGTATAGCCGAGCATTTGCACAGTGAGCACAGAATAAGGATAAGATAATGATGCTTCTCAGATTGACTCAGAAATCTTCAGATGTAATAACTTGATGGTTTTAAGATTGAATGACTTGGCAATTCTTATAGGCAAACAATAAGATGCTAAAAATAGAGAAAAAAATTAATTCAGCATTATAGAGAGAGAATTCAGAATATCACAAGGCACAAAGACCCCAAAACACACTCAACAAGGGACAGAACATGTAGGATCTGACCATTGCTCCCTCTACAGTTGAACAAGCTGGAAGCTAGAGAAACTTATTGTGAGGGACTATCCCTGCTGATGGCCACTGGGTGGTGGGTGGGGTGGGGTGTGATTTGTGCAGAAAAACACAGAGACAGGAGACTCTGCTCCCCGCTCCATATGTGTTTTCTTCCCTCGATTTCCAGAACACATGCCCCATTAACTTTTTTCCTTGGATTTATGTATGCATTATTTATTATTTATCTTTTTGTTTTAAGATGAAACAGAAAACCAGACCCAAAAAAATGTAGAGATTAGTTAATTATGATTATAAGGCAAATGTCTTTGTCACAACTACCCAGGTCAAGAAACAGAACTTTGGCCGGGCGCGGTGACTCACGCCTATAATCCCAGCACTTTGGGAGGCCAAGGCGGGCGGATCATGAGGTCAGGAGATCGAGACCATCCTGTGAATGGTGAAACCCCGTCTCTACTAAAAAAATATAAAAAATTAGCCGGGCATGGTGGTGGGCACCTGTAGTCCCAGCTACTCAGGAGGCTGAGGCGGGAGAATGGCGTGAACCCGGGAGGCGGAGCTTGCAGTGAGCCGAGATCGCGCCACTGCACTCCAGCCTGGGTGACAGAGTGAGACTCCGTCTCAGAAAAAAAACAAAAACAAACAAAAAACAGAACTTTGCAACAAACCCAAAAGCCCTCCATCATGCCCCAGCCAAATTACATTGCTTCCTGTAAATGTAACTATGTTATATTGATTTTTGTAACAGACATTTCCTTGCCTTTCTTCATAATCTTACCAAGTGAGGATAGTAGTCACTATAGTACAGTTATGTCTATTTTGCCAGCTTGCTATGGTATATACTTATCTTTCAGTCAATCTTGAGATTACTCCTCCATCCTTTTCTTTTTTTAATATACAATTTGTCTGTTGAGTCTGGGCTCTTTTACCTGTAGAGTCTTCTAATGCGTGGATTTCAAACTGGTTATGTAGCTCAGCATGTATCCCTGCCCTATTTTCTACCAAATAACAGTGGGATCCAGAGGCTCAGTCAAACTCAGGGTCAGTCCTTTTGAAAGTTCACTGTTTATGTTGTGGCCTTTCACATTGTGGCTGGTTTTCACTGTTTTGATGTCACCAACTAATGATACCCAGTGCCTGCATCCACTAATTAATTGAGTGCTGTGAAAAGCTAATATAGTTATTGTATCACTTTGTTTTCATTTACTCTTTTAAATTTGTCAAGGTATGTTTTATAGTCCAGAATGTGATCTATTTCATGAATGTAAGCATGTAAAATTGAGGGGACTGTGTATTCTGCTGTTGTTGAATGAAGTATTCTATAAGTGTCAATTAGATCCAGTTGATTGATGGTGTTGTTCAGTTCAACCATGTTCTTATGGATTTCCTCCCTGCTGGGTCTGTCAATTACTGATAGAAGAATATTTAAGTCTCCACCTATAAGAATAGACCCATCTATTTGTCCTCAAAATTTAATAATATTTTGCCTCATGTATTTTGACACTTTTTAGGTGCACATACACTAAGAATTGTGATGTTTGGGTGATGGAACCCCTTTATCATGATGTGATGTACATTTTTATCCCTGATTATTTTCCTTGCTCTGAAGTCTGTTCCTTCTGAAATTAATATAGCTACCACAGTTTTCTTTTAATTAGCGTTAGCATGCATATGTTTCTCTACTCTATTACTTTTATCTATATGTGTTTTTATAGTTAAAATGAGTTTCTGGTAGACAACATATAGTTGCGTCTTATTTTCTTCTTCACTCGGACACTATTTTAATTGATGTATTTAGACCATTGACATTTAAAGGGATTACTGATATAATTGGATTAATATCTAACAAGTTTCTTACTGTTTTCTATTAAATATCTTTGTTTCTGCTTCTTTCTTTTTTTTTTTTTTTTTTTTGTCTCCCATTCTTTTTCTGCCTCATCTGGTTTTAGTTGAGCATTTTGTCTGACTCAATTTTTACTCTTTTAAAATGTTTTTCAGCGATTGCCCTAGAGTTTGCAGCATACATTTACAACAATCCAAGTTCGTCTCCAAATATGCTAAATCATTTTAAAGGTTTTAAAATAGAGTGTTTACAGTTTCTCCTTCCTACTCATTATAAAATTGCTGTCATTCATTTCATTTATCTCTGTGCTACATCCACACAATTCACTGTTTACTATTATTACTTTGAACAAACTATTATCTGTTAGATCCATTAAGAAAAAGAAAAATGAAAGGCTTCATTTCATCTTTATTTATTCCTTCCCTAATACTCTTCCTTTCTTTATATAGATTAAAGTTTTTAACCTATGTCATTTTCCTTCTCTCTGAACAACTTTTTAAACATATCCTGCTAGGCAAACTCCCTCATTTTTGTTTGGCTATAAAAGTTATTTATTTCTCTGTAACTTTTGAAAGATAATTACTCTGAGTGTGGAATCCTAGGCTTTTTCGTTATTCCTATAAGCACCTTAAATATTTCACTCCACTGTTTTCTTGCTTGCATGGTTTCTAAAGTCAGATGTAATTTTTATCCTTGCTTCCCAATAGATAAGGTGGTTTTTACCCTCTGACTTCTTTCAATACTTCCCCCTTGTCTTTTAATTTCTGCAGCTTGGGTATGACATGCTTACATGTAGATTTCTCAGCATATATTCTACTTGGCATTCCCTGAGCTTCCTGGATTTGTGGCTTGGTGTCTGACATTAATTTGGGGAATTCTCAGCCATTATTGTCTCAAAAATTTTCTCTGTTCCCATATCTCTTATTTCTCCTTCTCATATTACCATTATGTATATGTTACATCTTTTGCAATTGTCCCATAGTTCTTGGATAATTTGTTCCATTGTTTTAATTGCTTTTTCGCTATGCATTTCAGTCTTGAAAGTTTCTATTACATTTCTTAAAACTCATTGATTCTTTCCTTGGCTGTGCTTAGTCTACTGATGAGTCCATCAAAGGTATTCTGTGTTTCTGTTATAATGATTTTACTTTTTTATCTCTGTTTATAATTGAGGAACAAAAATTATATATATTTATCATTTATAAAACATTTTGATATACGTAGATATTGTGAAATGGCTAAAAAATCAAGCTAACTAATATATATTACCTCATATTTTTATGATTAGCACACTTAAAATCTACTCTCAGCAATTTTCAAGCATATTATATACTGTTATTAACTGTAGTCACAATAAAGTACAAGCGATCTCTTAAACTTATTCCTCCCATCTAACTGAAATTTTATACCTTTGACCAACATTTTCTCAGTTCTACCCACACGCCAGCCTCTGATAACCACTATTCTACTCTCTGCTTCTATGAATTCAACTTTTTAGATTTCATGTATAAGTGAGATCATGCAGTATTTGTCTTTCTGTATCTGACTTATTTCACTTTGTATAATATCACCTAGGTTTATTCATGTTGTCACAAATGACAGGATTTATTTATCAGGCCAAACAGTGTTCCATCGTGTACATATACCACCTTTTCTTTATTCATTCATCCATTGATGAACACTTAGGTTGATTCCATGTCTTGGCTATTGTGAATATTGTAAATACTGTCTGCTTAAAATTTGCCCACTACTTAAAATTCACCAATGTATCTTGCCTATGACAACTGTACCTGTAGTGTTCTAATGGTGTTTTTAGAATATCCCCAATTTCTTCTGCGCTTACTGACTGGAATTTTTATGTAAAGGGAAAATGATCACTTCTTTATTAATTTATGTATTCAGTTATCCATTTACATTGGATGGATTCCTGGGCATTTATTTTATTCTTTGGATTATATTCCAACACGATCATTACATTTTAGTCCAAGTTGTTCATGGGGAATGCTTTGGTCATTGCTCTTATTTATTTATTTATTTTTTAAATTTTACTTTTAAGTTCGAGGATTCATGTGCAGAATGTGCAGGTTTGTTACATAGGTATATATGTGCCATGGTGGTTTGCTGAACCATCAACCCGTCATCTAGGTTTTAGCCCCGCATGCATTACGTATTTGTTGTAATGCTCTCCCTCTCCTTGCCCCCACCCACTGACAGGCGCCGGGTGTGTGATGTTCCCCTCCCTGTGTCCATGTGTTCTCATTGTTCAACTCCCACTTATGAGTGAGAACATGTGCTGTTTGGTTTTCTGTTCCTGTGTTAGTTTGCTGAGGATGATGGCTTCCAGCTTCATCCATGTCCCTGCAAAGGGCATGATCTCATTCTTTTCCATGACTGCAAGGTCATTGTTCTTTAGGCTTAGAGCCCTTTTAGGTTTACTCCTGTGCTCTTTTGACACTCCCTCAAACCATTTTGCTTTTCCTTTGCTGGCTTAATTTGTTTTGTTTTATTTTAGCACTTCCTTCCTACTGGCACTACAAGATGTTACAGAATCTTTGTGAAGCTTCCCTGCCACAGGCCTGGAATTAACCACACCTGCAAAGAACCATGTTTTCCTTTTGTTGGAGAATGGTAATTAAAAACCACGAGCTGGGCCGGGCGCGGTGGCTCACGCCTGTAATCCCAGCACTTTGGGAGGCCGAGGCGGGCGGATCACGAGGTCAGGAGATCGAGACCATCCTGGCTAAAACGGTGAAACCCCGTCTCTACTAAAAATACAAAAAATTAGCCGGGCGTAGTGGCGGGCGCCTGTAGTCCCAGCTACTTGGGAGGCTGAGGCAGGAGAATGGCGTGAACCCGGGAGGCGGAGCTTGCAGTGAGCCGAGATCCCGCCACTGCACTCCAGCCTGGGCGACAGAGCGAGACTCCGTCTCAAAAAAAAAAAAAAAAACCACGAGCTGAAGAGAAGGCATGCTCATTGCCACGGGGTGTCAGAGCATCTAGTTCCTATCAGTGGATAGGGCTCGGAGATATATATGCTAACTCATGTATACATACATCTACATTTACTTCTGCATCTACTTTCATATATTCACACACACACATACATGCACACTCATGAGTTCATATTGATTCTCAAACTTCAATGCAGCATCACTTAATCCATTTTAGACTTATCTCTTTCCTTATTGTAACTTCTTACAATAAGGAGAACCTGGCTTCCATTGTTTCAAATATATTTACTTATTTATTCAACACTACTATACAAATAAAGTGGTTTCAGAATTCTTTTTATTTATTTATTTTTTTACAGACAGGATCTTGCTCGGTCACCCAGGTTAGAGTGCAGTGGCTCAGTCATAGCTCCCTGCAGCTTAGAACTCCTGAGCTCAAGTGATCCTGCAGCCTCAGCCTTCCAAGTAGCTGGAACTGCAGGCACTGCCACCACACCATGTTAATTATTATTATTTTTTTTGTAGAGTTGAGGTCTTGCTTGCTATGTTGACCAAGCTGGTCTAGAACTCCTGGCCTCAAGCGATCCTCCCACCTCAGGCATGAGCCACAGTGCCCAGCCCAGAATTCTCAATCCAACCCTTCTGGGAAACAAATATGCCAACAAAAGCAGTCTTCGTTTATGTTCTTTTTTTCTTTAGTCTTACAGTAACCATTTAAAACACTGCTTTTTGAAATGACTTAGGTCAGCTCTTTTGTTCCTCATGCCCTCACTGTGCTTATGTAATTCATTTGTAATATGGTTTAACTCATCATCACAGTCTGGGGACTCAATCTTTTCCCCACATCCTGGTTGATTTTTAAAAATTTATGTCAATGAAATTCATTTTTTATGGTAAATTGTTCTTTGACAAATGAAAAGAGTCTGTAAAACTGTGTCAGCCACCAAAGTTTTATATGAAACTGTTCCATCATCCTCAAATTTCCCCTTTGCTGCTCCTATATATGAAACCCCTTGTCCAATCCAAGACAACCACTGATCTTCTTTCCTTCTGACAGTTTTGCCTTTTCCAGCATTACATAAATTGAATCACATGATGCATAGCCTTTGGACCTTTCTTCTTTCACTTAGCAGAATACATTGAAGAATCATCCTTATTGTCACATGCATGCATCATCTGTTTCTTCTTATTGTTGAATAGTATTCTATTATATGAATGTGTCATAGTTTATTTATCCATTTGTCATTTCAAGGGCATTCACATCCCTAAATCTTTATTTATCTTTGGTAGATACAGAGGAATAGAACTCTGGATCATAGATTAGGTGGATGCTTAATTTATATAAAATTGCCAAATTCTTCTCCCCAGTGCAGACGCAGGGACGGCCAGGCAGAAAAGAATAAGACCTGGTCACATCAAGTGATCAGGCTTTGGAAGCCTCTTTGATCCTGTGAGCCCAAAACTCTCCTCCCTCACTCAGAGACACCGAGAAAGAGAGGAGGGAGCTTAAAGTGAGACCCCTCCCACATCAAGAGACATCTGACTGCCATACCTGGAAAAATCACTTTTTCCCTACAGGCACCACCAGCAGACTACAGTGGGAGCCTTATGGGCACTGGAAGAATCAAGCAGAGGAAAATAACACTGCAAAGTTTCTGAATGTTAAATTGCTATTGGAACCACAACCCGTAAGAGTAGGCTAAGACCCACATGTTGAATCTGAACCGGTTGACAGCATGCTAAAATAAAATATTTAATATTTAAATAGGACCAGCCAGTACAGTGGCTCAGGCCTGTAATCCCAGCACTTTGGGAAGCCGAGGCGGGTGGATCACCTGAGGTCAGGAGTTCCAGACCAACCTGGCCAACATGGTGAAACCCCATCTCTATTAAAAATACAAAAATTAGCTAGGCGTGGTGGCAGGTACCTGTAATCACAGCTACTGGGGAGGCTGAGGCAGGAGAATTGCTTGAACCCAGGAGGCAGAGGTTGCAGTGAACGAGATCATGCCATTGCACTCCAGCCTGGGCAACAGAGCAAGACTCCATCTCAAAATAAAATAAATAAATAAATAAATAGGACTCAAAGTCTCCTGGCCTAACAGATATAATTTTCAGAGCACAGTTGAAAATTATATCATAAGAAAAATCACCTTCAATGAGAAAAATCAATCAACTGACACCAACAACAAGAAGAAACAGGCATTAGAACTATTTGACAAAGATTTTAAAGCAGTTGTAAAAATATTTCAGCCAACAACTACAGATGCTCTCAAAACAAATAAAAATAAAAACTAGAAAAGTTTAGTAAAATAGCATATGGTATAAAAATGACTAACTTGAAATTATAGAACTGAAAAACATAGTAAGAGAAAGTTTTAAAAGCCCACTGGATGAACTCAATAGTGGAATGGAAATGTCAGAGGAGGGAATCAATGAACTTGAAAACATATTAATAGAATTCACCTAGACTGTACAAAAGAGAGAAAATATACCAAAAGAAAATGAACAATCCTTTGGAGACCTGTGGACAATAACAAGAGATTCATTCAAAAATAGTACCACCAAGGCCTTAGAAGAAGAAAAGAAAGTGTGGAAGAATGAATATTTGATACAATGATGGTGGAAAATTTTTCCAATCTTTTGAAAGAGAGAAACTTACAGTTTCAAACAATTATTATATGTAAATCTAAAACTAAAAATTTTAAAAAGAAGCAAAAGTTTATTTTCTAATTGTGTATTACTAGTATATAAAAATATAGTTGTATTTTGTTTATGGGCCACAATTATTGCAACCTTGTTACATTTATTTATTACTTCTAGCAGTGTTTTTGTAAAATTTATAGGGTTTCTTATGTAAACAATCATTTGTCAGTGAACAGTGTCATTTTTATTGTATAATGATACTGGCTAGGTCTTCCATTATTAGTGTTGAATAGAAATATTTCCTAGTTAAAAAAAATCTCCACAAATGCAAAAGAACCAAAATACTGTGTGAGTGTGTGTGTTCTCTAACCACAATGAATTTAAACTAGAAGTCAATAATGGGAATATATCAGAAAAATTTCTATCCAAGTGCAAATTAAAGTACACTCTGAATAATCCATGAGTTAAATAGGAAATCTCAAAGGAAATTTTAAAAGACATACAGTTGAATAAAAGCAAAAACACACCATATCAAAATTCATGGAATGTAGTTACTGCACTACTGGGAAATTTATACTGCTAAATATTTACATTAAAAATTAGAAAATATCTCAGATAAATAACCTATATTACCACTTCAATAACTAGGAAAATAAGATCAAAATAAATGGAAAGTAAGCAGAAAGAAGGAAATAATAAATACAGATCAGAAATCAATGAAATTGAAAACAAAAAATAAAGAAAATAAATGAAACCAACAGCTAGTTCATTGGGGGGAAAAAACCCAATAACATTAGTAAACCTATAGCAAAACTGGCAAAAATAAAAAGAGAATACTCAAATAAATAATAATAGAAATAAAACAGGGGGTATTACTACAGATTCTTCAGCTATTAAAAAGATATTATGGGGGATGGTATGAACAATTACTCATAAATTCAAAAACTTGGAAGAAATGGAAAACTTCCAAAAAAGCTCCACAAGCTACAAAAACTCATGCTAGATAAAATAGATACTCTGAGTATCCCTATGCCCATTAAAAGGATTGAATTTGCAATTTGAAGTGTCTGGAGGAATAAATCTCCAGGCTGATATGGTTCCACCAATGAATTATAAAGTCATTTGAAGAAAAATAACACCAATTTTATGCAATCTATTTCAGGAAATAACATAGTGAGGGGCATCTTCTGCCTCATTTTTTAAGGCCAGTATTACCGTGACTAACCAGTATAAGACAGTATTTTCAAAAAGAAAACTGTAGACCAATACCTCCCATGAGTTTATATGCAAAAATTCTCAAAAGTATTATCAACTGAATTATCAAGTTGGATTTATTCCATGGATGTAAGGCTGGTTTGGCATTTAAAGTCAATCACTGTAATGCACCATGTCATTAAGCTAAAGGAAAAAACCATATGCTATTATCAATTGATGTAATACGCTTTTGATAATTGATGTAAAATGCAATTGACAAAATCCCACATCCATTCATGATAAAAATTCTCAGCAAGTTGGGAACAAAGAAAAATTTTCTCAATTTGATAAAGACCACTTGAAAAATAAAAACAAAGCTCAAGATTATACCTTACATCACATTTAATACTTTTTTCCTCCTTCAAATTGGAAACAGGAGGAAAAATCTCAGCAATCACCACTCTTGTACTGGAAGTTCTAGCCACTTTAATAAGATTAAAAAAAATAGGCACACTGATCAGAAAGAAAGAAATAAAACTGCTCCTATTTGCAAATGACTTGATTGTCTACATGGAAATCCCAAGGATTCTACAAGGAAACTCTTATAACTAATAAGTAAGTTCAGCAAAGTCCTAGTTTACAAGGTCAGCACACAAATATCAATCCCATTTCTGTATACTAACAGTGAGTATGCAGAAACCAAAATAACATTTGCAATCATGCCAAATAAAATTAAAACTTAATTATGGATTTATAACCTCTGTAAGATCTGTATGCTGAAAATTTCTTTCTTCACAGAAGAAAGAAAGAAATCAGAGAAGAAAGAAAGAAATCAGAGAAGATCTGATAATAAATAGGCAGTGTACCTTTTAATAAATAGGCAGTGTACCATGTTCATGGATTAGAAAACTCAGAAATAGCAAAAATGTCAATTTTCCCAAAATTGATTTATAGGTTTAATGCAATTCCTATTAAAATCTCAGCAAGGACTTTTTGTAGACATAGATAAAATTTGTATTATTTTAAAATTATTATCATAGTGTAATGTTTATTATATTATTATATTTTATATAGTTGTAATTTGTATTATTCTAAAATTTATATGGAAAGGCACAGATCCTAGAATAGCTAAAACAATCTTGAAAAAGAATAATAAAGTGGGAGGAAACATGGTACTTGGTGTTAAGTTTTGCCGTGTAGCTGTAGTAATCAAGACATTGTGGTATTGAGGAGAGAGAAACATAGATCAATGAAACAGAATAGAGAACCCAGAAATGGACACAAACACATATGTCTAATTGATTTTAACAACAGTATAAAAGCAGCTAAATGGAGGAAGGATAGTCTTTTCAAAAAATGGTGTAGAAGCAATTGGCCATCCATTGGGTAAGAAAAAAATAAACCTTATATCTTATATAAAAATGAACTCAAAATGCTTTATAGCCTTCAAGGGAAAATATAAACTATAAAAGTTTTAGAAAAAAATATTTTAAAATGTTCAGAATCTAGGGTAGGCAAAGTTTTCTCAAATTTGATGCCAAAAACAGATAATTTGGAGCTCAAGAATATTAAAAACTTTTGCTCTACAAAATACCCCCTGAAGAGAATAAATCTATAAGCTAAAGAATGTAAGCAAATATTTCCAAATCACTTATCTAGTAAAGGATTTATAGCTAGGATATATAAAGATTCTCAAGAATTCAATATTAAAAAAACCAAAAAATACAACTAGGAAATGGGCAGAAGATATGAACAGATACTGTTTTTTGTTGTTGAGCCGTAGGAATTCTTTATGCATTCTGGATAATAATCCTTTATCGACATATGAGTTGTAAATACTTCCTCCCATTCTGTGTGTTGTCTTTTCACTCTTTTGATAGTGTCGTCCAATGTACACAAGTTTTAAATTTGGATGAAGTTCATATTATCTATTTATTATTTTATTGCCTGCTATCAACTTTTTTATAAGTTAGTTTGAGTGGCTTCCTTCTTCCTGTTACCAAATCATCCCTGGCTAAAACACCAAGAAACAGAAGCACCGGGCAGGAGAGAATAAGGGTTCTGAGAAATGAAAACAGATCCACTGGGAGAGTTAAATGCACCAACATGCAGAGAAACACAAGTTCAAGGAGACGGCTTAGGGAAGACTTAATAGCAGGGGCAGAAAATTGGCTTGCCTCCTGCACCTAGCATCTTCTGTGCCACATAGGGCCTGGTATGCAGGTCAAGTTCAAGTTGGAGTCATTTAGGTAGATACCAAGCTGAATGGTAAAACCAGATTAGACACCAATAAATACAGCCATAGCTCAAAGGCCATGGGGAGGCTCAGTAAGCCCTGGGCCAGCTAGGGTGGGCAGAAAGAGAGATCACAGTAGGCAAAAGGAGGTGAAGTATGAGGTAAGGCCAGGTATCTCTGGCACTACTCCATAAACAAGATGACATACCAGGGGTGATTTTTATGTACAGAGAAAGATACCTCCCGGCATTAAGAGCATCCTTTCAATGGGGCCACACGGGTTCCCATAACTGAGTCTGCCTGGTACATGCTAAAACAGGTAGAGAAAGGATAAGTACAGGGTAGGCTAAAGCCAGGGAACAACAACAACAACAACAACAATGTGTCAATCAAGAGACAGTACTGCACTCATCTGGGCAAGGTGCAAGGGAGACTTGGTAACAACAATGGTCCCACCAGGCAGTTACTATAGAAAGAAGAACAATGTAAGGCTGAATGTTGAGGTGAGCATAGTTTGATGAAAGGGCTATGCAAAAAGATGTAAAGAAAGTAAGATGTTGAGTAATCAGCTGTCCTGATTTGCCTGAAACTGAGATATTTCCCAGAACACAAGACCTTCAGTGACAAACTAGTACAGTCCCGGGCAAACCAAGACTGTTGGTTACTTTAGCAAAATGTCGGTGTGAAGTTGGATGGAATGCCCTTGCCTGCAAGGTGTGCAGGGCTCTGCTGAGCAGGATATCTCCACAGCTTGCCCTTCCACCCCTGGTTGCTTGCTGTGTGAATTTTCTACCCCTGCTTCCCACAGGGAATGTGTGTGTTCTCAGGCATAGGAAGCAAAACACTGATAGAGCTAAGAGGTAAGGTAAAAGGCCCACATATAATAAGAACTTAAGAAATGATGAGAAAAGGCTGGTCCCAGTGGCTTACGCCTGTAACCCCAGCACTTTGGGAGGCGGAGGTGGGTGGATCATGAGGTCAGGAATTCAAGACCAGCCTGGCTAACGTAGTGAAACCCCATCTCTACTAAAAATACAAAAAAATTAGCCAAGCTTGGTGCTGTGTACCTGTAGTCCCAGCTACTCAGGAGCCTGAGGCAGGAGAATTGCTTGACTCTGGGAGGTGGAGGTTGCAGTGAGACAAGATCGTGCCACTGCACTCCAGCTTGGGCAACAGAGTGAGACTTCATCTCAAAAAAAAAAAAAAAAAGATGAGAAAAAAAGATTTGAATAAGTATATAAGTTAAAAGTGACAAGAGTTGAGAGAAGGCAGCAGAATTTTAAGAGAGGGTAGGGCAAGCAGAAGAAAAACAGTGACAGAAAGAATCTGGAGACAGACCAATAGAGTGGTAGCAATTTGTACATAAGAGACAGCGTGATGGAAGAACCCAGGAGAAGCGACAGGGAAATGAAAGGTGGGCTCATGTAGAAGAAAGATGGATGCAGGGGAAGTGCAAAAAATATAGGCAGAGAGAAATGAAGGAAAAAGTTGGAAGAGGCTGAGGAGACATGGAGAAGAATATTCAAACTCTACTTTGATAGAATAAATATTTATCCTTGAATTCTAGGCTGAATTTAAACAGAATAATTTAATTTCAAAGCTTTGCTCACATCCTATAAAAATGAAGACATATATTTCAAAATAAAGCTTAAGAATGGAAATGGCTCCCTATCGGTTTGAATAATAGGTCTTGGTATTATATAAGACATTTTTTCTAAGCTCCCCCCCGCCACGCCTACCAAAACAAACAGCAATGCATGCAACAGAGAAATCTTTCATGAGAGGAAGAGTCCATCAATGCAGCAAACTTCACAGTTGTCTTATTTTAAGAAATTGCCGTCGGGTGCAGTGGCTCACGCCTGTAATCCCAGCACTCTGGGAGGCTGAAGCAGGCAGATCATGAGGTCAGGAGTTCGAGACCAGCCCGACCAATATGGTGAAACCCCGTCTCTACTAAAAATACAAAAACTTAGCTGTGCATGGTGGCACGTGCCTATAGGCCCAGCTACTCAGGAGGCTGAGGCAAGATAATTGCTTGAACCCGGGAGGCGGAGGTTGCAGTGAGCGAGATTGCACCACTGATTCCAGCCTAGGCGACAGAGTGAGACTCAGTCTCAAAAAAACAAAAACAAAAAAAAGAAATAAATTGCCACAGCCACCCCAACCTTCAGCAACCACCACCCTGATCAGTCAGCAGCTGTCAAGGGAGGACCCTCTACCAGCAAATAGATTACAACTCACTGAAGGCTCAGATAATCATTAGCAGTTTTTAGTAATAAAGTACTTTTTAATTAAGATGTGTACATTTTTAAAAACATGCTATTGCACAGTTAATAGATTACAGTATAGCAGTCTATTCTGCGAATCACTTTATTGTAACATTCAGACCATTTATTGCGGTGGTCTGGAACCAAACCAAAATCTCTTGGATATGCCTGTAGTAAAATGTGACAGAAGACAGATAAATTGAAGAAGAAATTATTACATCAAAAGAAACAAGAACTTAAAGATTTGGAAAATTCTTAGTCTGTCCATGTGGCAAATAAAAAATAAAAATGAGAAAGTGTATCCTGAAGAGAGAACCAAGGGTGTGGCTCATTGAAGGGAATACAAGCAGAAACACCTACACCACTGGCTTACACTGAAGGGGATGAGAGAGGGAATAAATGAAGGAGGGTGGTGGCACTTCTTAAACTCTGCAGGCGACGACAGTGGTGCTAATTGGCTGTGAACGTGGACTGTTTCATCAAGAAAATGGAAGAACGACGTGGAAGGTGTTTCAGAGAACATCAGGGCTGCCTCGTTGTCTTCAAAGGGTCAGGCTCAGGCCACCACTTTGGTTTCAGCAGGTAGATGGCCTCCACCAGAAGCACTGGGGTGGGACTGCCCTACAGAGCTGTAGGAGCAGGGCTGCCCCACAAGGCCCAGAGGCAAAGGTGCTGCCCCACTGGATCCAAAGGTAGGGCATTGAGCCCAAGAGGATTTTCCTCTCAAGCCTTAAGATCTGATGGAGCTTGTCTTGCTGGGTCTGGGACTTGCTTGGACCCTATCATCCCTTTTTTCTTTCTGACTTCTCCCCTTTGAAATGGGAATGTACGTCCTAAGCCTGTCCCACTATTGTAGTTTGGAAGCACATAATTTGTCTGTTCACAGGTTTACAGCTAGAGAGGACCTCACCCATAGCTGATTTGGATGACATCCAGATGAGAATTTGAACTTAGATTGATTCTGGAATGAATAAGACTTTGGGGGCTGTTGGAATGGTGGTTTGTGTATTTTGTATGTGAGAAGAACATAAATTTGAGGAGGCCTGAGAGTGGAATGCTACGGATTGAATTGTGCCCCACTCTAATCCATATGTTGGAACCCTAAACCTCAGTGTGGCTGTATTCAGAGATAGGGCCTTTAAAAAGATAATTAAGGTTAAATAAGGTCATACGGGTGGGGCCCTAATCCAACAGAACCAGTGTCCTTGCAAGAACAGGAAGAGACATCAGCAATCTGTCTCTCTCTCTGCACACACACACACAGAGGCCAAAAGCCATGTGAGCACACTGTGAGAAGGTGGCTGTCTACAAGCCAGGAAGAGAGCCCTCACCAGAAACCAAGTTTTCTGGTGTTTTCAGCATAGACTTCTAGAACCTAGAATTGTGAGAAATAAATTTCAGTTGTTCATGCTGCCCAGCCTGTGTTATTTTGTTATGGCAGCCTGAGCAGACTGAAGACAGAAGGTATATTTCAGCAGCATGGTACAAACATGAAAATGAATCCAAAGATAAGAAAGAGACAGAATTGTTGATGTAGCCATCAAAACAGTTTGAACATATAGTTTTAGGTATAAATATGTTATAAACGTAGTAACAAATTGCATGCAAAATCCAATGTTTTTTAAAAGAACATTTAAATATCAAAGATCAATTATACATTGTTTAAAAAAATCGGACAAATTCCCAAAGATTCCAAAGTATCTTGTGGAGAGGGGTGAGGCAGTTGGAGAGATTGAACATCAAAGGAAGCAAAGGTGAGCAAAATTCTTCATTGAATATGGAAAAAAATAAAAAGTCACTTTTTCATAACTTTGCTAGAAAATTTGTGATTAGATAAATATAAATAATTAGGCTTAAGCATGATTTTTTTATATATTCCAAAATAGATCGAGTGCCTGGGATTTTGAATAAGAGGTGGTGTCTGCTCTCCTGGAGCACGCTGGCTAGTGGGGAAAACAAACTAGCCAGAAACCAACAACAAATGGTGTTAAGGATGGAGAAAGATGGGAGACAACGCCCTGTGCACTGCTGGGCCAGGGAGGCCCTTTCTGCAGGATTGGTTTGTGTGCTGCACCCTGAGAAAGGTGAAGACCCAGCCACGTGAAGAGCAGGGAAATGTGTGTTCCAGGGAGGCACGGAGACTGGAGGGGCCTGAAGTTGGCAAGGAACAGAACACAGGCCAAGTAGCTGAGCAGTTAGTGAGAGGGAACATCCAGCGGGAGGATGGAGGAGGAGGGGGAGACCTGATTGAGTAGCCCATGTGAAGAAGTGCGGATCTCCACTAGAAGCATGAAGCAGGTAGAAGTCCCTGAAGTGTGAGTGTGTGTGTGTATGTGAGAAAGAGAGAGAGTGATTAATATATTCAACAAGATTCAAAAATCACATAAAAACACTATCATAAATTATACAATGGGAAGCCTCACTTCTCTTTCTTGTTGACCTCACCACCCTCACACTCAAGTAAAGATAAATTTTTATTTCTCTCTTTATATAAAAAAGATAGCATACTATAAAATACTATTTTCAACCTTCTTTTTCGTTAACAGTATATCCTGGAGATATTTTCATATCAGCATATGGAGGGCTTCCTCAAAATTTTTTTCACTGCTTCAAAGTGTTCTATTGTGTTGATTACCATAGCTTATTTATCCAGCTTCCTCTTGATGGGATTTTGAGTTGTCTGGAAATTTTGTTGTTTCAATGCTGCTTACAATAAGTTTGTGCATTTATTACTTTGCATGTGTGCAAATATGTACAAAAGACAAATTCCTGGAAGGCATTACTGAGTCAAAGGGTAGTTGCGTTTGTCATATTGACAGACATTCCCAATTTCCCTGCATTGTGTTCTGTAACATTTTGCATTTTCACAAGCAGTGGATGAAGCACTTGTTTCCTTAAGCAAAGGAGTGACATAATGGACTTACAATGACAAAAGTCCACTCAAAGAGAGTGCATGGGAGGTAGAGGAGATGACTTAGGCCTTGCAATTGACCTTGGAAGAGCTATGGGTGCAGGGCAAGCAGAGAGAAGTGAATAAAGCGATATGCATTTTCTTAGAATCTGCAGGACTTGCTGATGACTTGGTTGCGGGGAGTGAGGGAAAGGAGGAAAAAAGAGTGACTCCTTGGGGCAGGACAGGAGAGCATGTGGGAACAAGAGTGCAATAACCAGCCTGTTAGGGGTGAGTCCCCTATGGGACGTCCGAGCTGAGTTTTCCAGCAGTCAGTCTCGCAGAAGAGGGATTACACCTGGAGCTATGGATTGGGGCTGGGACGTAGAGCAACCGACTGTAGGAGATCACACAGGAAAGGTGCAGATAAAGAGAGACAAGGAAATACCCCAGGTCCAAGGCTGAAGGCAAACTGACATAGAGAGTGCAGTAGAACAGGGGGTGCCAGCAGGGAGGCAGGTGCAGCTCTGGTGTCATAGAAGGAGTGAGGGAAGAGTTTGGAGAAGGAAGGCATGGTCCCCCAATCCCAAAGCTGCTCAGGGGCTGAGTTGGATGAGGACCACACGAAGTGAATTCACTGGATGGGACAGCAGGGAAGCACTTGATAAGAGCTTGCAGGGGAGTTCCAGCAACGTAAGAACAACTGCTGGTAAGGTGAAAAGACTATCACCTTCCAAATCACAAGGGAAAGGAAAAGGGCCTAAAAAGATATCATTGTGAAGAAAAATTGAGAAAACATAAGGAACAGGAAATCGAGAAAACACAAGCAAAACGTGCATTGAGATGCTTATGCACATGACAGTTAGGAGCAGCGCTCGGGGTTCACACTCGGTTCCTCGGCTGCCTGCAGGAGGTGAGCTGATCAGCTCCCGGATCCCAGTGTGTCGTGGTTTGCCTGCAGGGTTAGTGTGAGGACTGAGCAGATAGTACCGCACTAGCACATAGGACGTGCCTGGTGACTGTGAGAGTTCCACTGGGAAGGCGCAGTGGAGGTAAGTGGATTGAACTGTTGCAAGTTAAAAAGAATTCTGAAATCACAGAGGGGAAGAGGATACACACACACACACACACACGTGTGTGTGTGTGTGTGTATCTTTCATCTTATATGATAACCTAAAATAAAATCACATCCAAGGGATTGAAAAAGAAATCATCTATCCACCAATAAGGTAAATGAAATGAAGTGCGGAGCTGAGCACAGATGGAAAGAGAAAGCAAAGGTCTCATTACACATGTTATAATCCTGGGCTCCAGGGAAGTCTGTTAGCACCTCAACCCAGAGATCTAAAAATAAGCCGCTTAGCTGGAAAAATATGAATAAATTCTGTAGTTTTTATAATAATATTGTATCATTGTTTGTTTCCTGGTTTTGATCATCGCACTGTAGATGCTCACAATTAGGGGAAGCTGGGTGAAGGATTTACTGGAATTCTCTGTACTATTTTGAAATTTTCCCATAAGTCTAGTTATTCTAAAATAAAACTTTTTAAATGAGCACACCTTGCTTCTCCCCAAACCTCCATCAACTGGCCTGTCTCATTAAAAGGTGTCATTCTTCTCCCAGCTTTCAAACGGGAGACCTCAGATGCATCCCCACCTCCGTCTTTCCTTCCTTCCCTCCCCCGCTTCCTGTCTGTTCTGCCCTAGAAACATCCATCATACCTGTCCCTCCTCTCCTGCACAGCTGGGCTCGGACTCAGCCTGGCATCTTCTCTACAAGGTTCCTGACACTCCTGCAAAGACAGCAGCCTGTGCCCTCTCTCCCCGCACTGTGGCCAGAGTCTTTGTTCTAAAAAAGGAACCACATTTTTTTTTCTTTTTTTGCCACTTCTGTCTTCAACGACTGCTTCCCGTGAGGCTCCCCTTGAAGGCCCCAGGCCTGTCAAGTCTCATGTCCAGACACTCCCCAATCAAGTCACAGCAGTCATGGCCATCTGCCCCCTCTGTCCCAGGCCCCAACTGGTTTGCCCCAAGCTTCAGTCAAAGGCTGCCTCCTGCCTCCAGCATGTCTCAAGCCTATCCACTTCCTGGAAGTATGCATTGCTCTCTAGTCTGTGTTCTCACAATGCCAGATGCCTCCTTTATTGGAGTGATGCTGCGAGATTGCCACCATCCTGATGCCTGTGCCTCCTTCAGCTTTAGATCCTGAGGACACAGCTCGGTTCCCAGTGTATAATAGATTCACAAAGGGGTGTTGTTGCATTGAACATGTGCCAGTGCTTCATTTATGCCTTGTTTAATCATATCAAAAAAGCCATGGAACTTCAGATGAGCCAGAAATAAGCCATTTTCCACCCTATGAAGCGATGCAGCTCACTACCCCCATCCCTCCACTATTCAACAGAAAATGGCCAACAATATCAAACTGTAATCTACTTAAATGTTCTTCTCTTCTGAAAAGGATTCCATTCAGTAGAACTTCAGGTTGTCCTCAGCTTCCTTAACGAAATTGGAATTAATTCAACTCACGTTGGCAGACTGGATGGAATGTGCATATCGGTACAACCCCAATCACGCTGTTCAACAGCCCATGCAGTATTCATCTAGGCAGACAGGGAGTGGGGAAGTGCACCCTAAGCAAAGATGCAGAGGGGCCTGTGGGAATCTGCATCTGCAAGAGGTGCAGGGGAAGTTTGATGCAGTAGAATTCAGGAGGCTGGAGTCTCAGTCCTGACTCTATTTGGCTCATTACACCTTCACCTCAGCTGGACTTCTAGTCTCTCTTGCCTCCTGGGTGAAGGCAGGAGTGTGAGCTTGAGGACCTACCTCCAGCCCTCGACAATCCTCTGATCTGAATTTCATCCTTTACAATGTGTGACAGCTAATGTTATGTGTTAACTTGACCGGGTGAGGGAATGCCCAGACAACTGGTAAACCATCATTTCTGGGTATGTCTGTGAGGGTGTTTCCAGGATAGATTATTGTTTGAACTGGTGAACTAAGTCAAGAAGAAGGCCCTCTCCAATGTGGGTGGGCATCATCTAATCCACTGAGAGCCTGCATGTAACAAAAAGGTGGAGGAGAAAATTTGCCCTCTCTGCTTAAGCTAAGACTCCATCTTCTCCTGTCCTTGGACATCTGCTCTCCTGGTTCTCAGGCCCTTGGACTCAGACTGAATTGCAGCACTAGCTTCCTTGTTCTCCAGATTGCAGACAACAGATTGTGGGACTTCTTGGCCTCCATAACCACGTGAGCCAGTTTCTATAATGAATCGCCTCTTGTGTGTATACACCTGCATTATTCCATTTGCATTGCTATAAACACCTGAGGCTGGGTAATGTATAAAGAAAAGTGGTTTATTTGGCTCATGGTTCTGCAGCCTGCACAGGAAGCATGGCGCCAGCATCTGCATCTGATAGGAACCTCAAGCTGCTTCCACTCATAGCAGATGGCGAAGAGGAGTCCGTGTGTGCAGAGATCACAAGACAGGAGGCAAGAGAGAGGGGAGCGAGATGCTAGGCTCTTTGTAGCAACCGGTTCTTGTGGGAAATAATAGAGCAAGGACTCATTACCACAAGGACAGCACCAAGCCATTCATAAGAGATCCACTGCCATGACCCAAACACCTTCCATTAGGCCACACCTCCAACACACTAGGGAGCAAATTTCAACATGAGGTTTGGAGGGGTCAGATATCCAAACTACAGCAACATTCTGTTTGTTCGATTTCCCTGTAGAATCCTAACTGACACACTATTAGGAGATAATCATAAAAACAAGGACACACTTGTCTCCAGCTTCCCGTTCTTCCTCTCAGCCCTGCTGAAGCACGCACACAGCACTCCCTCCCATGTGTGCACACATTTGCATATACACACAGAGCTTTTTTTTTTTTTTTTGAGATGGAGTCTCGCTCTGTCGCCCAGGCTGGAGTGCAGTGGCATGATCTCAGCTCACTGCAAGCCCTGCCTCCCGGGTTCATGCCATTCTCCTGCCTCAGCCTCCCAAGTAGCTGGGATTATAGGCACCCACCACCTGGCCTGGCTAATTTTTTTTGTATTTTTAGTAGAGATGGGGGTTTCACCATGTTAGCCAGGATGGTCTTGATCTCCTGACCTCGTGATCTGCCCGCCTCGGCCTCCGAAAGTGCTGGGATTACAGGCATGAGCCACCGCGCTCGGCCTATACACACAGAGCTTTTTAATCAAGCAGCTTTGCTGGGTTCCTTAGCTATTATATTAGGTTATGCATAAAGTGTCTTGAACTCCTCTTTTTTAGGCACCTTCCCCAAGGAGGAGTTGTTTTCCATGATGATTCATAGGGCCAGGGTCACACGACTTCGGGGATCTGCTCTGGCCAATCCTTACCCTGCATCAGGTCGACAGAGCACTCCACAAGAAGGAGAACAAATATGGGTGTGGGAGGCCTTGGTATAGCTGCTCCTTAGTCACAGCTTCAGAACTGTTCGAGAGGCTACAGGGAAGCTTGTGCCAGTGGGAAGCGTGCACCTATCTCCTAGGCTCACGCCAACAGCATCATGGCTGTAGCTTGGATGTATCAGGAGCAGTGTCTCCTGGCCAGCACAGCGGCTCACGCCTGTAATCCTAGCACTTTGGGAGGCCAAGGCGGGTGGATCACCTGAGCTCAGGAGTTCGAGACCAGCCTGGCCAACATGGCGAAACCCCATCTCTACTAAAAATACAAAAATTAGCCGGGCGTGGTGGTGCAAGCCTGTAATCCCAGCTACTTGGGAGGCTGAGGAAGGAGAATTGCTTGAACCCAGGAGGTGGAGGTTGCAGTGAGCCAAAATCGTGCCACTGTGCCACTGCACTCCAGCCTGAGTGACAGGAGCAGGACTCCATCTCAAAAAAAAAAAAAAAAAGGAGTGTTTCCTATAAAAAGGAAGAAGCCATAAGCCTAAGGAAAGAGCATAGAGCCTACAGAAAAGCAAACTGGAGCCTGGAGTGCTCAGGCCACTGGAGCGGGATCCTCTGCTCTTGGACAGAGATATTTATGAGGTCTCTGGGAACAGGTCTTGGGAAACAACCTCAATGTCTTCTGCTTCATTTTTCTATAACTCCATGCTCCCCTGAGACCTTCTCATTTCCAGTTGCTGTACTGTCAGAGAATTACCTCTTTCGGCAGACATGGCCATAGTTCCCCGGGAGGAAAGGCTGTGCGTAGGCCCTCCAGTGAGCATCACACACGGCCTGGTGCAGTGCAGAGCTCCATCTGGGTGTCTAGCATCAGATGGGCAGAACTGACAGCCTGTTTGCCTGTCCTGGGCACTGGTGTGGGGGCACCATCCACCATGAGTACTCTGTGGTGGTGTTTGTGGTTGATTCACACACCTGGATCTGCAATCTCCTAAGTGAAATCTTGCCAATATTTTCTGCTTATTGTAAATTGGCTGAATTTTATGCCCCTGGATCCTGAACCATCCATAAACATGCACTAGAGAGGAAAGGTCTCCAGGAAGAAGGCATATCTGGAAAGCTCCCTCCTTTTCATGGGCTGCTTACCTGAGATTCTCACAGCATCCAATTTCATCTCTGACATGCTGATTGGTCACCCTTTAAAGACCTTTCTGAGCAGACAGCTAGAAAAATGCCTGATGGCACACTTAGACTGACTTCATTCAATTTCTTGCCTTTTCTCAGCTAATCTTCAACTCGTAATTTCTTAATGGCTTTTCCAGGCACTGTTCTGGATCACTAAAAGACATAGCCAGCCAAGATCCTCTGCATGGGGCTCCTGTTGGGATTTTGTCAGCATTGCTTTCTTAATTATGAACCAGTGTAAGGGTCTCTGGATTTCCAGCATTTCTTTAAGGTGAGCATTCTCTACCCAGGAATTGGGTTTGGTAGAGACCCCAGGGTATAGGCATAGAGGAAACTTTGGATGTCCAGTGCTGTAGAGCCCAGAGCCTTCCTGCCCCGTCCGCAAGGCGCTGGGCTGTCTCTGTTCCCTTCCCCATCATAACCTGCACAGCATAGTTTGGAAGGGACCTACTCAACCAACACACAGCTAGGCTTTCAAATATACGGCCCTCCACTGATCTGTACTGTTTACATCCACTGGCACCTGTCTCCCCTTGACTTTTCCTGTGGCCTTGGTGCTAAGGAAATGCTTCCCAAGTACATTCATTAATGTCATACTATGAAATTGCATAAGTGGTTTATCATCCTAATTGCCCATACTGCATTATTTCCAAGTTAATGAGGTTATGAGCCTGCAGCAGGCGTACTATATTCTAATAATAGACTTTAGGACATGCCGTTAAAAAGTCATTACTATTATTATTGTTATTTAATTGGGAGAAGGTCCTCTCGCCCCCTCACCTATAGGCAAAAGATGTCTTAAATAAAAAGACACGTGAGCAGATATATGATTCCAAGGTCAACCCTGGACCAGAAAGACATCTGAGCTCTACACTGCTCTCTGCCCCTGCACACTGGGAGTCCCTCTTCCTTTCCCTCCCTCTCCTTGATCAATAAGGAAACACAGTATTCCCATCTGCTCTCCACCCCTGTTTGATGCCTGCCTTATCTTCCACCAGGACAAGTTCTATGGATCCAAATCTATTGCACCCATTGGACCCACCACAGTAATTTCTTCAGGAGTTACCTCTACGATCTTTCCCCAGTTGAACACACATTGGTGTGAGTAAGAACAAAAAAATCAATTTTGTTTGCAAGTGCTTAAACCCTTCCATAATCCAAACTCTACCAGTCCTTCAGAATCTGTCTCCAGTTCACATTGTCCAATCTCTAACCCTCATTCCCCAAATCACCAGGGTTATTACAATTAAATTAAAGCTTAGTCTGGTCTCTGAGCACACCAGGCTGTTCCCATCCCCGTACATTGTCATGTTTCTACTGTGGCATAGAAGGCAAAATCTTCCTTGTCCGTCTGTGGCTCCCTAAACCATTCCAAGATACAAAACAAGCTCATTCCATCTGTGAGTATTCCAGGGGAGCAAGATACTCTTTCTACATCCATGATCCATTGAATGATCATAGCAACAGCATAAGGAAACCAAAACCAGATGACTCAGGAAGTAATTAGTGTGTGCCAAGGACAAAGCAGTAAGATGAAAGGTTGTAATTAAGCCCATCTAAGAATTACTAAGAAGTTTACTTCTCATTATTAAGAGTTTACTTAATTTTGCAATACTCAATTTATATGTAAAGCAAGTAAAGTTGAGGATAGCATGAGATGACACAGATCAGAGAATAGAAAAGCAAATCAATCATCTCTGTACAAAAACAGACTGAGAATGATCTATGCAGAAATCCATCCCATCCACACAAAGCAACAATCTAAGCAAGATCAAATGCTGGAGGCCTTTTTCCTTCATTGGTGCAGATGGTCGCTACAGGTCACAAAGAAGGATCCCTGTCCTCAAATGTGCAGAGTATTAGTGAAAAACAAAGTGAAGGGGCTTTTCAGAACACACAGACTCTCAGCACAAATAACACATGGAAGGAACGCAGGTCTCGTGTGCACACTCTCAGTGCAAGTGACAAAAAAATGGCCCCTAACTTCACCCATATAGACACTCAATACCAAACATCAAAAGATGACACAATGTCCAAACATTTGCAAACTCTAAGAGAAGATTACAACTGAAGACCCTGTCATCATGGGAGCACGCTGTCAGTACAGATCACACACAAAAGGCACTATTTTCCCAGGCGCACACCCTTAGTACAGGAAAAAAAAACACCAAAGGCACCTCTCCTCCCAGGTGCATACTCTCATTACAGAAAACAAATAAACAAACAAACAAAAAACACTGAAGGCCCCTGTGCTCCCAGGTACAGACCCTCAGTACAGTTCACACACTGAAAGTCCCTGTCCTCTGTCCTCCCAGGTGCAGACCCTCAGTACGGATCACACACTGAAGGAACCTGTCTTCCCAGGTGCAGACCCTCAATACAGATCACACACTGAAGGGCCCTGTCCTCCCAGGTGCAGACCCTCAGTACGGATCACACACTGAAGGAACCTGTCTTCCCAGGTGCAGACCCTCAATACAGATCACACACTGAAGGGCCCTGTCCTCCCAGGTGCAGACCCTTAGTACGGATCACACACTGAAGGAACCTGTCTTCCCAGGTGCAGACTCTCAGTACAGATCACACACTGAAGGCCCCTGTGCTCCCAGGTGCAGACCCTCAGTACAGATCATACACTGAAGGTCCCTGTCCTCTCAATGCAGACCTTCAGTACAGATCACACACTGAAGGCCCCTGTCCTCTGAGGTACAGACCCTCAGTACCGATCACATAGAGAAGGCTTCTGTCCACCCAGGTGCAGACTCTCAGTAGGGATCACACACTGAAAGCCCCTGTCCTCTCAGGTGCAGACCCTCAGTACAGATCACACACTGAAGGCCCCTGTCCTCCCGGGTGCAGACTCTTTGTGCCGATTGTCCCCGGGACAGGAATCCTGGCTGCAGTGCCCTTGTCGTATCCTGGCCACCTAACTTTCACTCTACACCAGTCTTCATTTGCTTGTCTATTATTATTGTCTCCTAGAAATCTTCACATCCCATACAGCATCTCATGCTTTTATTTCACCCTGACTTCTTTCAACATTAACTTTCCATCAATTTTTTAAATCAAATTCTCTATTGTTCATCCTTAAGGCATAGAACACCTCTCCAGGAATGCCTAGGGAGTGTGGCCTGGCGTTCTCTCTCAGTTGCTGTGACTGCTGTGGATTTCGTTGTGCTCCATAAAATCCTTAAATGCAGAAAATGTGGGTGCTGATTCTCAGAAAGTAACAATACATTTGATTTCACCAACTTGCCCACAGCAGTCCGATACTGGGGTGCGATCCTCTCTCTTCCGCCTCTAGCAAGGGATTTTACAGCCACCTCAAAACCAAGGGCACTAATAGGACAGCAGATTCTTCTCAGCTGGGCTCTCCAATCTGCTGAGATTCCAGGAGGATCTCCCTTGTGGGATAAGAGGGATTCAAGGACCCCCAGGCCTGTGACTCAGCCTCACAGGATGCATGAAGTCTCAGGTGTGGACCACCCAACTGTCCCCCTCACCCACCATGGGCTCTGAATCATGAGAAATGGGAAGAAAATCATGTAATAGTACCGGAAAGGAGAACAGCATCAGTATAACAGAAATTGGAAAGAGGTTTGAAACACACAAAGGAGACAGGATGGGACAGAAGCTCAGCCTCCAGGAACGCAGCAGCACGAAAGAACCGTGGGGAGAGGGTGGTGGAAGGGCATCTTTGCGGGTCTCAGCTCCCAGGGAACAGCACTCGCGTCGGGACTGCATTCAGACCAGAACTGTCCTGGAACCTGCGGGCGGTGGCATGTCTGACTCACTTCCTTTAATCCAGGGAGGTCCTGCCCCATACCCTGTGTCCCCAGGACAAGGAGAACTAAAAAGTTAGCAAGAATAGAAGCCTCAGACCATCAGGGGGAAACAAATAAAAGCATATTTAAAACCTTAAAAAATTACAGCATCCAATAGCCCTGGGTAAGTGATTTGCTCTCTATTAATCAGAAAGCACAAGGTTTTCTAAGTGGGTTTTACGCGGAGATTGTATTTTTAAAAATTACTCACATTTTAAAAATTCCCTGCTTTTTATGAAATCTGCTCCTTTCTGTCTGTGTAGAGGTTGGGGTTATCTGCAGCTCCTTGTCTCACAGGAGGGATCCGAGGGCGTCCTCAGGCAAGGGTCCCTTGTCCAGCAATTGAAGGGGTGAGGGAGGATCGGGGTGTGGACAGAGGGTGGCTCTGCCCCCTGGTGGCTGCTTGGGGAGACCGCCGCGGCCAGATGCCAGGCTGGAGGAGGCGCCAGCCCCAGCCCTGGAGGTGGTAGGAGATGAGCTCTCAGGGCACTTCCCATCCTGGTGCGGGGCTCACGGCAGAGTCAGGACTGGCTGGGCCTGCAGAGCCCCACGCACAGGGCCTGGTGAGCTCCCCAGCGAGGCCTGCCTGAGCCCACCTCCGCAAAGGAGGGAAAGCTCCAGCCAGGGCTGGGGATGAGCTGAATGAAGGACAGGAGTCCCCACCTGCTCAGGGGTATCCCCAGTAGAGAGGAGGGACTCCCTTAAGGGCCTCATCCTGTGGGAACTCCCCAAATAAATGGAGAGTGCCTGGGGTGGAAGCTGATCCCTGGAACAGGCTAAACATGGGGAGCTGCCAGGCAGGAGTGTCCCCAGGAAGGAAGGCAAACTGCGGTGGAAGTGAGGGCAGAGGCCACGATGGGATCCTCAGCTCTGCTCGAGCAGGTGGCGAGGACGGCCACACAGGGTGTCCTCCCCAACAACGAGGCAGTGCCAGGCGCACAGGTGGGTGTTGGGACTCAGCACAGTGGGGCAGCAGACACATGTGCTGGACACACAGCCCAGGACACACAGAAGTACTGGGTACACAACACAGGGCGCACAGCACAGGACACACAGCACAAGACACACAGCACACGGCACACCACACAGGACACAGCACAGGACACACACTACAGGGCACACAGTGCACGGCACACCACACAGGACACAGCACAGGCCACACAGCATAGGACACACAGCACAAGACACACAGAGCACACACACAGGGCTAACAACAGAGCACACAGCACAGGACACAACACAGGCCCACACAGTGGGCACAAAATTCTGGGCACACACTGTCAGCCAAACAATTCGAGGTACACGTGCCAGTCACGCAGCACCAGGCACACAGGAGTGGGCACGCTTGCCAAGCATACACAGCCACACAAACCATGCTGGGTCACAACACCAGACACAGAAGGAAAGACACACTCTCCAGCCACAGACACTGAAGCTGGGGACACACTGGACACACAACTCTGGGCATACAAGGTCAGGCATACCATGACCGACAAGCTGGCACACCCACTGGGAATACACACTGGCACACACTGGGGACAACACCAGACGCTGCAGGAACACAACATCGGGCACACACCAGGCACAGATGCTACACACACTCTAGGGACACAGCATCACATACACAATGCACACACGGCAAGAACCCATGCTTGTAACACATGTTGAACACACACACCAAACGCAATGCTGAGCTTCACTGTAGGGCACAAAACACTGGGACACACCATGCTGGGCACAGAAGCCAGGGTGCAATGCCAGGCACACACAAGTCCAGGCACTAATGCCAGCACACACTGTGGGAACACAACACTATGCACAAAACCTCAGACAGATGATGCCAAACACATACCACACACACACCAGCAGGCACTCCGGGCCAGGCACTCCAGGAGCACCACACTGAGCTCACAACGCTGGGTCACATACCAGCCATGTACACACCAGCCATGTAATTCCACCCACACAACACCAGGCATGCAGTGCAGAAACAGAACTCTGGAACCACAGGGCCAGGAAAACAATGCAGGCGCCCCATGCTGGACACACACAGTAAGTATACAACAATGAGCATGCAATGCCAGACACACAAAGCCAGACACACCATAGTAGGCGCAGCCTCTGGGACACCATGCAGGGCACACAGTGCTGGGCAAACATGCCAGGCACAAAATGCCAGGGAGAAAGCACTAAGCCCGTATGCCAGGCACACTCTGGGCCCACCAAGCTGGATGCACAAACCTGAGCACACAGGGCCGGACACACAACGCAGGCACCCAGGCCGGGCAGACACTCTGGGATCTCAATACTGGGCACACAGGACCAGGTACACAACACCAGGCATGCAATACTGGGCATGCCCACTAGGCACAAACAAGCAGGAACACAGCGCCAGGTACACACAGTACCTGCACACACAGTTGGCAAACAACACAGGGCATACGCTCCAGGATTACACTGCAAGGCTCACAGACGGGAGCAAACAAACCCGGCATACAATGCGGAGTATGCACAGCCAGGTGCCACACTAGGCATGCAGGGCCAGGCACATGGCAAGAACACAGGCTGGACACAGATGCTGGCTACGCGACACTGGGCAAACAAAGTCAGACACACCATGCCTGGTGCATAACACCATGCACATAACTCAATACTGGACACACAGTGACAGGCACACAACACTGGGCGCACAAAGGAAGTATGCATGCTAGGCACTCAGCAGGAACACAGGACACTAGAAGGCACACCCAGTCAGCACATACAGTTGGCTTTGAGCAACGAAGTGTGCGCAGACGCAGTGTCACCCACCAGCTTAGGGCTGACCGTGGCCAGCCGTGCTCCAGATGGCGGCCGCCCCGCGGCGCAGATCTTGGATGAAGGCGACATGGAGCGGGGCTGTCGCCAGCCACTGGGGCTCAGGGGGCTCAGGGGCACTTGCGGCAGCCACACAGCCTGAGCGCTGCTGGCTGTAACTCTGTGGGATGCACGAGGTTTGCTTCCATCAGTGCCCTCTCTGATGCACATGTGAATCGCTCTGAGTCTCTTACGATAACAAAAAATTCCGTAGGGTGTGGCACGTGTAAACCCGACTCGTATTTCTTGCTAGAGTATCTTTGGCAAGGTTTCCTGGGTTACTGGGTCAGAAGTCAAAGGCAGGTGACTTTGCAATTGCCAATTATCTCCGCAGGGCTACACCAGAGTGGGTCAGGGGAAGAATCAGAGATGGGTCGTAGGATTGTATCGTCATTAGGTGCATGTGCCCAGAAAGCAGGAAACAAATCTCCCAAAAAAGCTCTCTCAGCCTGCTCTTCAAAAACCCGGCCCCTTCCCACCTCTTCCTCTGCCGGAGGAATCTTTAAGATTTGCAATTTTAACCTTTAGCCGTTAGGTGGCGCCACAAAGTAAGGTATCCATGGGCCGAGGACGCTCAGCGACCCCTTCCTCCCCTGTGAGATTTCTTCTCTTGTTGAAGCTGCAAAGGAAAATCGCAGTTCCCAGATCTGGCAAGTGTAACAACATCTTCAGCAGCTCTGAATGGTTTTTATACAATTCTTTTCTTTACCTAATAGAAGGATCAATAACTGTAGACATATGCAGATCTTGATGGTTTGACCTCAGGCCAAAGCAACCTTGCTCCCCACCCCCATCACTTTCCTGTAAGACAGAAAGAGTGGTTGGTGAATGCTTGTCAGGTGCATGGCCCAGTGGGTGAAGCTGTTGAACAGGTCCCTTGCCAGTGCCCCCAGCAGCGGCTCTTAACAGCCATGCTAATGGCCGTCTCCTCTCCAAGCACCCAGGCTTGCAGTGGTCTGGGGCAGGCCTTGGGCCGCTCCCTCCCCGGGCATTACAGCCCTATCTCTGTGCCTTCCCTGAGCCCCTGCAATTCCACCAGAGGCCTGATGACTCTCTGGGGGACCTCTTCAAATAACTTCAGTCATTCATGTGGAGCAAGAGAGCCAGACTCCTGGCAAGAAAAAGCCAGACAGGGCCTGGGCTTCAGAAGATGCCTCACAGACCCTGGCAATCGGCCTGACTTCCAGAGGCCCCTCCCTCCCTGCAGGTCCAGGACACACATCACTTTACAGGAGAGGTTTCAGTCTGCAAGGCCAGCCCAAGTCTCCCAGAGTGGATGGTCCTCCCACCTCACCCTCTCTCTCAGACCATAGGGGTCGCTGGGCCCATGCTCTGTTGCAGGCACCAAGCCTGCCCTCCAGGCTAGGGGCTCAGCATTTCTAGAATTCTTGGGGTGTGAAGGACATTCATCTGAAAAGCTTCACTGGAGGATTGCAGACTTCAGGCTCCTAAGAAATTGCCTGGTGACTCTTGGTCTGCCTTTGCCACCACCCCTCCCAACGGCATAGGCAGCACTGAGATAGGCCACTCTACAAGTGGAAGGAGCCCAGGCCGGAAAACTGGGCCACCAGAATTCAGCCTACGAACCTCAGCTTCATCCTCTGTGAAACAAAGACGGCAATTTCCCAAGCAGAGAGAAAGGTCCTGGCACTAAGCAGGTGCTGAACAAAGACACGTAGCTGTTCACTCTACCACGCCCTAGCAGGTGGGTCCCAAGCAGAGGATGCACCAGAACAGAACAAAGCCATTCAGGGAAGCAACTGACTCGCTCATTCATTCTTTCTGTGAGAGCTTATGCGATCCACTCTCTTTCCGATGGACATAGGAAGCCCCAGGCAAAGGCTGTGCACAGCCCCTTCCTTCTCTTGCTGCTTGGGGACATCTGGAAGGCTGACAAAACACACAGAACCACCTCCTGCTCTGACCAACTAACAACACTACACTTTCTGTCCAGGTAGAAAAGTGGATGAAATATGCTAAACCATTATTTACAGACTTTGAGCCACAGACAGTGCGGGAGTGTGATCGCTGAAAACAAGCAGAACTTCTGGGACCCAGTGCAGGGAGGGGCTCCATGCAGCGCATGGAGGTGGCTGGAGCTGAAGAGACAGAAACCGGACAGATTGCTGGAGAAGACAGAGCTGCACGCTGAGCCCATGCCTCTTGCATGGCTTGAGTGAACAAAACCTGCTCTGCGTGGTGTGGGGGGCTGTTATATTCATGAAGGCTGCAACCAAGACCCAGGGAGGCCCTGAACTGCATCCAGCCAGGGCTAGGTCACGTCGTTAACACCTTTAATCAGAGACCGTCCTGATTCGCTGTAGTCCTGATTGGCTTTTATACTCTCCACCTCCAGCCAGGTCTTCTTTGCAGATAGATTGTAGAAGAGCATGGGTCTCTGAGAGCCCATCATCGTCTCACTTGATCTGCTTCTGTAAAGCATTTTAAATGTATGCTGTGGTCTGAATGTTTCTCATGAATGGGATTACTGCCCTTATATAAGGGGCCCCAGGGAGTCAGCAACCTCCTCCAGTATGTGAGGACACAGGGAGAAGGTGCCATCAATGAAACAGTAAGTGGGTCCTCACCAGACACCAGATGTGTCAGTGCCTCGATCTTGGACTTCTCAGCCTCCAGAACTGTGAGGAATACATTTCTGTTAAGTCTCCCAGTCTATGGTATTTTGGTTATAGAAACCCAAACAGACTAAGACGCTTTGCAAAATAATGTTTATTTTGAGCACCTACTATGTCCCAGATACTGCGACTATTATATAACTTAATTTAAACTTTTATAACAGCTCTATTATATACATAGCACCATCTCTTTTTACCTTTTTTAAAAATTGTGCAACACATGAATACATTTGTTGGAAAAAAAAAACAAAACAGAAGTGTATTGACTGCAAAGCCAACGTCTCCTCACCCGGCCTCCACTTCCAGTCCCACTCGTGTGTCTGAGCATATCCATTTAAGAGGGGTGTGATTCTGGACAATTCTATATATTCAATCATTTGTCTGTCTTGAGGAAGTCCTGCTTGTTTCCTAATGCAGAAGGAGTTATTTATCATTCCTGGCAATGTGGCATAGAATTTCCAGTGCAGCTGGGGAGTCCAGCTGCCCCCACCCAAGCCCACCTCTTCCTGGAGTTGGGTAACTTGACCTTGAGGCTCAACATCGCTGGAACTCAGCGTCATCACCTGTCAAACAGGGTCAAAGGAGTGTCTGCCTCCAGGGCTGCTGAGTGGCCAGCAGGCGGTGGTGAGGGTGAGGGTGCAGACGGTGAGCACTTTGAAGCTGCACGGATGCCATGAGCAATGCCCAGCTCCCAGCCTCCTCCGTCTGCCACAGAAAATGTGTCTGCCCATGCCTAGGCTGTCCCCAGACCCCCACCCTATCATTGAATGAGGGATGAAGGTTCTCCATGTTGTCTCTCTGTTCCAACACTGTTTATGTACTATGGGTATCACCTCCTTCAAGAAACCAGGTTGTTGTCCAGGTCTAGGACCTGCTGGGGGAGGTGGGGAGCTCTGGAGGGTAAGCAACAGCACAGCAGGGTGGTCACCATCCCAGGCTACGGAGCCAGACCACCTGGACTCTATTTCTTACTTGGAGCCAAACAACCAGGTTCAAGTCCCTACCTGTTCACTTAAGAGCTGAGTAAATTCCGGAGGCTACCTCTTGTCTCCTTGCCACACCAAAACCCCCATTAGTAAAATCCAGACCATGGTAGCTTTCACCTCAATAGGTGATTACAAGGGTCATATTTTTATTTTGTCTACTGTTTATCTTTATTTTATATCAAATTGTCTAAGTTCCCTCTTTTTCTAGATTGCTGAGAGTTTTTGTCATGAATGTTAGTTGTCAAATTTTTTTCTGCATCATTTGATATAAACTTGTAATTTTTTTCCTTGTTAGCCTGTTAATATGGCACATTATATTGATTGATTTTAATGATTGAATCAGCCTTGCACCCCTGACACAAACTCCACTGCTTTCTGTACATTGATGGATTTGATTGCTAATATTTTATGAGGACATTTGTGTTTATACTTTTTTTTTTTTTTTTTTGATATGGAGTCTTGCTCTGTCACCCAGGCTGGAGTACAGTGGCGCGATCTCGGCTCACTGCAAGCTCCGCCTCCCGGGTTCACGCCATTCTCCTGCCTCAGCCTCCCGAGTAGCTGGGACTACAGTTGCCCGCCACCATGCCCAGCTACTTTTTTGTATTTTTAGCAGAGACGGGGTTTCACCGAGTTAGCCAGGATGGTCTCGATCTCCTGACCTCGTGATCCGCCCATCTCGGCCTCCCAAAGTGCTGGGATTACAAACATGAGCCACCGCGCCCGGCCTGTGTTTATACTCTTGAGAGATATTGATCTGTATTTTTTTCTCTTTTTGTACTATCATTGTCTAGATTTGGTATCAGGTAATACTGATCTTGTAAAATAAGTTGGGAAGTGCTTCCTCCTCTTCTAATTTATGGAAGATACTTTTTAGAGTTAATGTTAATTCGGAAATTTCACAGTAAAATCATCTGGTTCTAAAGATTTATTTTTTGGGGGGGGGTTAAAATTACAAATTAAATTTTCTTAATAATAGGATTATTCAAATTCTCTCTTTCATGTTTACTGAATTATAGTAATTGTGTTTTTTGAGAAATTGGTCCATTTAAACTAAATTGTCAAGTTTATGTGTGTAGGGTTGTTCACAATATTCCCTTATTATCCTTAAGCCATCTGCATGGTCTATATTGATATCCCGTTTCATTCTTGATATTGGTAATTTATGCCTTTTTTCTCTCTTTTAAAAAATTTTTAGTAAAAGCATTTTTGTGATGGCTGCCTTAGGATCCTTGTTGGAAAATCCTAACATCGGTGCTACTTCTTTATTGGTGTCCATTGATCACTTTTACTCATTCCATTTGAGATTTTGCTAGTTCTTGGTATGATGAGGGATTGTCAATGATATCTGCACATCTGAGGTATTATGAGACCAAACCTTATTTAAATTTTTTGTTTTAGCAGGCTTCCTCTGAAGGAAGGAATGGGTAGAGAGGGTTTCACCTATTACTGCAAGGTGGGGGTCAAACTTCAGATCCCCGCTTGGGCTCCATTGGCCCCCAAGAGGAGGGGCTTCTCATCACTGCTGGGCAGGGGTAAGAGTTCCATGAAAGGCAGGGAGCGTGGCCACAGCTCCCCACTGGTCCCCACTGGCACGGCCAGAGATGGGGCCTCACTAGCACTGGTCAGCAATGGAAGTCCTGACCTCCCACTTGGCCTTCTCTGACATCACCACAGCGTGGAGGAGCAGTTGCTACAGTTTGGCAAGGGTGATAGTCTAAGCTCGCCAGGTGGCCTTTGCTACTGGGGTGGGGCTGGGGCAGTGGTTATTTCCATGGAGTTTGGCTGAAGAGGAGTGTGGTTATTGTCTAAAAATGTTCTGTCTTGCTTGGCTGCCCCTTTTCTTGTTCTGTGGCTGCAGAAAGCAGGGTTTTTTTGTGTTTGTTTGTTTGTTTGTTTTCTGGGGGATAAGGGAGTCTGTATTTTCCTATTGGCATTTTCAGGTTTCTGCAGCACTCAGTGCGAGATATATAAGGCACTAAGAAGAGCAAAGAAACGCACTATCATGTCATTCTTCAGGACACAAAGCCCTGACTGATCTGCCCTCCTTTCTCCACCTTTCAGAGTTGTCTTGTTTTGTATATAATGTTAAGGGGCTTTCGCTGCACTAAGTAGGAGGAATAGGGAAACATATGTCTACTCCATCCCATAAATGTTTCTATGTTATATTGTCAATCAGTTCAAGCTATTTTTAAATTTAAAATACTTCCTCTTTGAGTCACAGATTATTTAGAAGCACATTTTGTAGTTTTCAAATGTTTGGAGATTTTCCTGTTATCTTTCTGTTATTGCTTGGTAGCTTGAGTCCATGATGGCCACAGAACCAACTCTGTACGAGTTTTATTATTTTATATCTGCTGTGGTTCATTTAATGGCTCAGAATACAGTCTAAGTTGGTAAACGTTGTGTGAGGGCTTGAAAAACATGCGGATTCTACTGTTGTTGGGTGAATTGTTCTCTAAATGTTTAGATCCTGTCAGCTAATGGTATTGTTCTATAAATTGTTGAGAGAGGAGTGTTGAAGTCTCCCATTAAAATTTTGTTTATTTCTCCTTTCAATTTTCTATCAGTTTTCTATTCACATATGTTGCAGCTCCATTGTTGGGTGCATACATGTTTAGGATTGCTATGATTTCTTCAGGGACTGATCCTTTTACCATTAGGAAATGTTCCTTTCTGTTACTTCACTCTGAAGTCTGTCCTCTAGGATAACATATACACTTCAACTTTACTTTGATTAATGTTTATATGTAATATAGTTTTTCGATCTTTTCTTTCAACCTAACCATATTATTAGATTGAAAGTGAGTTTCTTGTAGCTGGCATATAGTTAGCTCATTTTATAATTCACTCTGTCAATTTCTGTCTTTTAATTGGTGTATTCAGACAACTTATATTTAATGTGATTACATATACATTAGGAAATAAATCTGTCATTTTATTTATTTTATTATTATTATACTTTAAGTTTTAGGGTACATGTGCACAACGTGCAGGTTTGTTTGTTTTCTGTTTGTTTCCTCCGAGTTTTTTGTTTTACTGTTTTCTTCTTTCTGCCTCCTGTGGGTTGTTTGAACGTTTTTTACAATTCTAGTTTGATTTTTCTATAGTGTTTTGAGTGGATTTCTTCGTATAAACTATTAAGTGGTTGCCCTAGGCATTACATTTCAGTGAAGATTTTTATATAGGAAATGAGAGAACTTGTAAATATATTTATGTTTCTCATCAGTCATTATAAATGAGCAAGTTGACATTCAACTTTTACTTGTGCTCCCTCGTACCTCGATTGGCAAATCATCACAGAGAGATGGCCACGTTCCCCATTTGCTGATGAAAATCTCGCCAAGGTGAGACTCAGGTTTTGTAAAGTGGTGTGTTGAGGTAAATACCACCTTGTAAGTCGATGACGAGCAGTTTCCCTTCCCTGGCAACTCCCCAGCCTCACTGGATTCTTTATTTCATGTTTAAATGTGGAGTCCCTCCCTGTATCCTCTAGAGGAAGTGCAAGCACCAGAAGAAAGCTGAACTGTTATTTTCATGTTTAATATACCAAAATAATAGGAATCAAATGATTTCAAGGGGAATTGTTACATTAGTTCACATGGAGCTTGAAAGAAACTAGCACAAAGATGCTGCAATGCTACATCAAGCATCAAATCAGCTCTGATGTGCTAGGTCTGAAAGCAGCAAGCATATTTTGTTGAAATTAGACTAACTGCGCAGCACTTCCAGCCTTGTGCTTTGAAATCATGTTAACGATGATGAGGAGAAAGAAAAACTTGTAAAAACACTGTTTTTCTCAGTGGACAGTAAAAAAAATACCAATACCATGGTTTCCTTGTTCAAATAAATTCTGAATAAATTACAAAGGACCCATATTTTGTGGTTTCAGGAAGCATTTTCAAGGGAGCATTATCTTTGCTGCTTGCACTAGTTTTCCTGAAACAAACAAGAGACTGATGTAGCAAGATGGCAGATAGAGGAGTTCTCAAAGATTAGATTTTAAAGAGTATCATGACTCATCCTGTTGATTTTTTAAAAAATCAAATAAGTGTTTTTCCTTAATGTGTGAGAAAAGGAGTCAGCATCTGTCACTAGTAAAACGCATCCAAAAAAATAGAATGAGTGATTGGCAGAGAAGCAGGGCAAGCCTAAAAGCTTAGAAACACCCCAAATATTATGTCTTTTCTATAAATTACATACCACAAAACAAAAGTCATAAGACATATGAAGAAAAACTAACAGCATAAAATAAAAGCATCAAATGAAGTAAATCGACAATGCGGCAATGCAGTATTATTTAAATGGCAAAAATTAGAAGTACACAAAGATGTTTGTTGCAAGCTATTAGAAGTTGGAGGAAAAAAATCTGTTTATATGTAGTGTAATAGTTAATAATGAGTAAATTAAGCTGTTCTGATTCTATGTATTCTGGTTATGTATGGATGTATAACAAACGTCCCTAAATCTACCAACTTAATACAATAATGGCAGTGTATTTTGCTCAGAATTTGCTATTTGAGTGGGACATGACAGGAACAGCTTATCCCTGCTCTGTGCAACATCAATGGGGGCAGCTCTTCTGTGGCTAGAGGATTCAGCTTGAAAACTTATTTCACTAACATGAAAACCAAGTTCATTTATAGGGCTGGCAAATTGGTGCTGACTCTTTTCTGGGTGCTTAGCCAGGGCTGTACCTGGGAGCTTTGGATCTTCTCCATATGCATTTCCATGGAACTTTTGCACCTCCTCACAGCATGACACCTGAGTTCCAGAGATCAAGGCAGAAGCTTCAGGCAGCATGACTTCTGCCTCATTCTATCGGTTAGGCAAGTCATCAAGTTCAACCCAGATTTAAGGATCAGGGCATTAGGCCTCTCAATGGAAGGATCCACAAATGATTTGTGGCATTCTTTAATCTGTCACATTATGGAATATTATGCAGCTATTGAAAAGATTAAAAAGCAAATGGAAGTATAATACAGTTGATTTAATTCCATTTGTGAAAAAAATAAGGGAGCAGGCTATCCATGTATATTCATATTTAGTTGTTTGAAAATAGAAAATAGTTTGAATCATTACATACAGGAGTGGGAAAGGAAACAAAGGGGAATTATTAGCTTCTTTATGTACTTTTATATTTTGATTTATTACAATTACCTTGTATTACTTTTGTGCATTAAAAAATATATAATTCTTTTTAAAAAACTAAAATGATTCTTTTAAATTACCAAATCAAGCAGAACCAGAAATAGAATTTTTAAATATTCCATTAAAATAGCAACCAAAAAGATATTGATCTTAACAACAACAACAACAACAACAACAACAACGCTTATTAAAGCCTTGAGGGTAAACATTTACCTGTGAGGTTTTGAGATTCCGAAATAAGTGTGTTGAGGTAAATACCACCCTGTAAGTCACTGACGAACACTTCTCTGGCAATTCCCCAGCCTCACTGGGTTCTTTATTTCATGTTTAAATGTGGAGTATCCCTGTATCCTCTAGTGGAAGTGCAAGCACCAGAAGAAAGCTGAACTGTGAATCCAGAACCACCACTGTATTTCTTTGAATCCTGCAAAGAGTTGGCATTTTCTAGGGCATGATGTGTGGTAGGCGGGGAGGTGGGGAAGAGAGCTTTTAATATGCAATTCATACAATTTTTGTACTTGAAAAAATAAGAATACAAAACATTTTAAATAAATTTTTATTGCAGAATAACATACATGCGGAAAGGCATACAAATTCTATTTTACCTCAAATAATGTTCACAAACTGAATATATTCATGTAATCAACACCCATTTATAGAAATAAAACATTACCAACACTTCAGGAGCCCTTCTGGCACCCTCATCCCGTGTCAAACCCATCCTAAAAATGGTATCCACTGCTATAACATCTATCGACATAGATTACTCCTATCTATTTTGAACCTTACATAAATAGAATTATATACATCATACTCTTGCGTCTGGCATTTTGTGACAAACATTAGGCTTGGGAGATTCATCCATGTAGTTGTACACTGAAGTTGTTTATTATTTTTCAGGGATTTAAAGTATTTTATTGTGATTTTGTCAGAACATATTTACTTATCCTACCATTGATAAATATTTGGCTTGTTTCCAGTTTGGGGTTATTATGAATAATGCTGCTATTAGCATTTGTATAAACATCTTTTAGTGCATTTGCATGGGGTATATATACCTACAAATGTTATTACCTTGTCAAGTCTAGTGGACACTGCCAAAGAGTAATATTCCCAAATGCATGTATGAGAGTTTCTGTTGCTCCTTAATCTCATTAACACTGGACCACTTGGGAATGGAGGACGGAATGGTAGCTGCTGGTTTCAGTTTGAATTTCCCTGATGACTATATAACACTGATGACCTTTTCATATGTTTTGAGGGCACTTGGATGAAATTTTTTAAAAATAAAATATTCAAGACAATTGCCTATTTTTTAAATTGGGTTGGTTTTTTTTTTCTGATTAATCTGTAAAAGTGCTTTAGAATTTTTAGGTTCTTCTCAGGTGTGTATTGCAAACATCTTCTCATATGCCGTTTTTTTCTGCCTCATATAGTTTTGTTTTTATGGAATAGAAATTCTTGGTTTTAATAAAGTAAAATTTTAAAGTAGTTTCCTTTGTGGTGTCTTTTTAAAGAAAGATTTGCTCACCGTAGAGTCAGGAATATACTCTGTGCTACTTTAGAAGCCTTATTATCTTACCTTTCACAATTAGGTCTAAGTCCGTTTGAGATTGACTTTTCTGTACAATGTGAGGTGATGGTAAAGATTAATTTTTTCCACATGAATATTAAATGAGTCAGCATTTCATATTCTTTCTCCACTGTTCTATGCCACCTTGGTCTACAATTGATTATAGATGCCTTTCTCCATTGGTTTCTCATCATGATTTCATAAAATAATCAATTGGCCATCAACTAGACTTGAACTGAGACATTGACTTTTTGGATTTCAAACCTGCTGGCTTTCAGATTAGAACTTACGTCATTGGCCCGCCATTGGTTCTCAGGCCTTCAGACTCAAATTGGAGCTATATTATTGGCTCTCCTGGGTCTCCACCTTGTCAACTGCAGATCCGGGGACTTCTCAGCCTCCATAATCATGTGAGTCAATTCCTTACAATACATCGATAGGTAGATAGAGGGAGACATAGATATAGAGATATATGTATACCTACAGATATATTAATATAGAGATATAGATATCTCCTATTGGTTCTGTTTCTCTGGAGATCTACGACTAATAAACCTGAGAAAATCTTTCTTGCCCACAAGAATTGGTTGGGTGTCATTTCTGAGTGAAAGCTGCTCAGAAAGAAGTTAGCATTTTCCATTGTTACCCTAACTGTGGGCAGTAGCCACTCCCTAGACTGCATATCCCTGGCTGCAGTGGTTTTTTCCCTTGTCACTGTTGGACTTCACTGCCATTCAGCATGTGCTTAACAAAGGCTTCCTTTAAAAGGTTACTGGCCAAATGCTATACTCCTTCTTCCATCCCATATTTCTAAAATGATAAAAAAGACAAAAATATGAAGCTATGTGAAAACAGCAATGGTTGCAAGTAGACTATGTAATTCTGATCAATACCCTTAAACATAATTATAAAAGCTAGATAAAATATTTCATAAAGATGTGCTTGGGACTTCCACCTCTGGGAAAGTGGAATCGATGTACTTTTCCCAATTCCTCCGACTAAGTCCAACTAAAATCCCTGGCTCTGAAAGGTGGAAAGCAACAGACATATTAGAAACCCCAGGACCAAAAGAACACATGGCGATATGTTCTCTGGGATTTCTTTCCATTTCACATATCCAAGGCTTAAAGCTAGAGAAGCTGACAACTCACAGACCATGGGTGAAAAGGGGGAAAAAAGAAAAACAAACAAACAAGAAAACAAGCAAACAACACAACACAACAAAAGACTTCTCTCTTTAGTTAAAGGTCAGGAAAGGTTCAACCTAGCAAGGTAGAAAATGTTAAAACAGTCATTATTCAACTTCCACCATACACCACAAAAGAAACTGTGGCCTCACCCATATCCACACTAGTGAGGGGTGGCAGGGAGCCTACAGATCTACTCTCACCAAGCTGCAATCAGGTGCCCCAATCCTCCTCCCCAACATCAGGGTGGTATCAGAGATAGTCAAGTCAAGAGCTGGAATTTTCATCTCCAGGAGGCGATAGTCCCTCTCCCTTTGTGGTGTCAGTGGAGGCCCCATGGAGGCCCCATGGGAAGTCTGAACTTCCACTCTCCTCTGACAGTGAGGAGGTGCCCTTCCTCCACCCTAAGGTGATGTAAAAGAGACTTGCTTGGGAGCCAAAACTTTCATTACCACCTGGGCATCATAAAGCCACTTCTCGGTGGTGTCGGCACAGGTCATGTGGGGAATGAGAGGCATTCTTATTCTGACCAGCCAGGGTGATTTTAGTGGAGGCCTGTCAGAGAGTCAGAAACCCCACTCCACTCAGCAGTAATGGGGAGTCTCTTGGGTGTTCATGGAGGTTGAGTGAGGGACCTGGACTTCTACATCCACCAGCTGCTGCAAGGCAAAGGTCTAACTTCCTCCACCAGAGTGATGTCAGAAGCAACCATCTGAAAGAGAAGACCTAAATAATACCAAGACTATCATAATACTGCACATATCCAGTTTTCAATAAAAATAGTCCCTAGTTATATGCAAGAATCAGGAAAACATAAACTTGAGTTTTAAAAAATCAGTAAATACCAACAGTTGGATGACAGAGATGTTAGGATTATCTGACAAAATTTTAATGCAGAGGCTGGGCATGGTGGCTCACATCTGTAATCCCAGCACTTTGGGAGGCTGAGGTGGGTGGATTACTTGAGGTCAGGAGTTCAAGACCAACCTGGCCAAGAAGATGAAACCCTGTCTCTACTAAAAATACAAAAATTAGCCAGGCGTGGTGGCGCATGCCTGTAATCCCAGCTACTAGGGAAGCTGAGGCAGGATAATCACTTGAATCCAGGAGGCGGAGGTTACAGTGAGCCAAGATTGCACCATTTGCATTCCAGCCTGGATGACACAGCGAGACTCCATCTCAAAAAAAAAAAAAAAGTTTTAATGCAGGCATAATAAATATTCTTCACTGAGCAATTACAATACAATGGGACAAAAGAAAAAAGAATTAGAAAGCCTTAGCAAAAAAGTAAAAGATAGAAAGGAAAACCAAATGGAAATTTTAGAACACAAAACTAAAATAGACAAAATTTAGAAAAATCAATGGATGGACTCAACAGCAAGTACAAGTAGATAGAGGAAAGAATCAGTGAACTTGAAGGTGGAACAATGGAAATTACCTGAATGACAGAGAAAACAGACTATTAAAAAATGAGTATAGCCTCATGGACTTGTGGGACTATAACAAAAATCTAAGAGTGTGTCATCACAGTCCTGAAAGAAGAGCAGGAATATGAGAAAGCTGAAAACACAAAGAATTATGGCTGAGAATTTCCATAAACCAAAGGATTCAAGAAGGTACATGTCTTAGTCTGTGTTGCCATAAAGAAATATGGAAGGCTTGGTGATTTATAAAGAAAAAGGGATCTATTTGGCTCATGGTTCTGCAGGCTGTAGAAGAAGCATGCCATCAGCATCTGCTCCTGGTGAGACTCTCAGGCTGCTTCCATTCCTGGTGAAAGAAAAAGGGGAGCTGTATGTGCAGAGATCACATGGTAAGTGAGTAAATGAGAAAGAGATAAAGGGTGGGGCCAGGCTCCTTTTAACAACCAGCTCTCATGGGAACTAATAGAGTGAGAATTCACTCACTACCACAAGGATGGCACCAAGTCATTCATGAGGGATCTTCCCCCATGAGTCCCCCACTAGGCCCCACCTGCAACACTGGGGATCAGATTTCAAATGAGCTCTGGAGGATCAAACAAACCAAACTGTAGCTTTGAGCCAGCCCTAAACAAGACACGCAGAGAAGTACACATCAAGATGCATCATAGCCAAACTTCTAAAAACTAAAAAGAAAGAAAAAAAATATTGAAAGCAGCCAGAGAGAAATAACACATTACCCATAGGAGAAAAACAATTTGAATTATTGTCAATTTCTTATCAGAAATATTGGAGGCCAGAAAGAAATGGTAAAAGATTTTTCAAGTGCTAAAAACAAACAAACAAACAAAAGAAATAGTTTATTCAGAATTCTATATCCAGTGAAAATAGCTTTCTGATATAAGAGGAAAATCAAGATGTTCTCAGATGAAGAAAAATTAAGATAATTTTTCAAAAGTAAACTTACCCTAAAAGGATGTTGTCTTAGGCCATTCTTGCATTGCTGTAAAGTAACACCTGAGATTGGGTAATTTATAAGAAAGCAGTTTAACTGGATCACATTTATGCAGGATATACAGGAAACACAGTGCTGGCATCTGCTTCTGGGGAGGCCTCATGGCAGAAGGCAAAGTGGGAGCAGGCACTTCACATGGCAAAAGCAGGAGTGAGAGAGGGAGTTGGGAGGGCCACACACTTTTAAATGACCAGATCTCATATGAACTCAGAGTGAGAGCTCACTTATCACCAAGGGGATGGCTCAAGCTATTCATGAGGGATCTGCCTCCACGATCCAAAAACTTCTTCCCACCAGGCTCCACCTCCAACATTGGGGATTACATTTCAACATGAGATTTGGGCAGGGACAAATATCCAAACTACATCATTCTACTCCTGGCCTTTCCACAAATCCCATGTCCTCACTTTGCAAAATGCAATTATGCCTTCCCAACAGTCCCCCAAAGTCTTAACTCATTCTGGCACTAATTCAAAAGTCTAAAGTCCAAAGTCTCACCTGAGATGAGGCAATTCCCTTCCATATATGAGCCCACAAAATCAAAGGCAATTTATTTACTTCCAAGATACAATGTGTAAATAGGCATTGGGTAAACATTCCCACTCCAAAAGGGAGAAATTGGCCAAAAGAAAGGAGCTACAGGCCCCAAGCAGGTCCAAAACCCATCACGGCAGTGATTAAATCTTAAAGCTCCAAAATAGTGCCACCTCCAGGGCACACTGGTGCAAGGAGTGGGCTCCCAAGGTCTTGGGCAGCTCTACTTTTGTGGCTTTGCAGGTTTCAGTCCCCAAGGTTGCTCTCAAAGCTTGTTGAGTGCCTGTGGCTTTTCCAGGTGCAAGGTACAAACTGTCAGTGGATCTACTATTCTCAGATCTGGAGCATGGTGTCCCCTTCTCACAGCTCCACTAGGCAATGCTGCAGTGGGGATTCTGTGTGAGGCCTCCAACCCCACATTTCCCCTCCGTACTGCCCTAGTAGAGGTTCTCTGTGAGGGCTCCACCCCTATAGCAGGCTTCTGCTTGGACACACAGGCTTTTATTGTTTTTTTTTTTTTACCGAGTCCTGCACTGTCCCCTGGGCTGGAGTGCAATGCCGTGATCTCGGCTCACTGAAATCTCCACCTCCTAGGTTCACATGATTCTCCTGCCTCAGCCTCCCAAGTAGCTGGGATTACAGGTGCACATCACCATGCCCAGCTAATTTTTTTTTGTATTTTTAGTAGAGACGGGGTTTCACTATGTTGGCCAGGCCGGTCTCAAACTCCTGACCTCGTGATCGATCGGCCTCGCCCTCCCAAAATGCTAGGATTACAGGTGTGAGCCACCATGCCCAGCCCACTCAGGCTTTTCCATACATCCTCTGAAATCTAGGTGGTGGCTTCCAAGAATCCACCACTCTTGCACTCTGTGCACCTGCAGGCTTAACACCACATGGAAGCCACCAAGGCTTGTGGCTTGCATTCTCCAAAATGGCAGCCTGAGCCATACCTGGGCCTCCTTGAGCCACAGCTGGTGCTGGAGCCAAAGCAGCCAGGATTCAGGGAGCAGTGCTCCAAGGCTGTGCGGACAGTAGGGGTCCTGGCCCATGAAATCATTCTTCCTTCCTAGGCCTCTGAGCCTATGATGGGAGGGGCTGCCCCAGAGACTTCTTAAATGCCTACCAGGACTTTTTTCCATTGTCTTGACTGTCAGCGCTTACCACTTGCCTCCTTTTGATTATTCAAATATCTCTAGTAAGTGTTGTTCTGCAGACTGTTTGAATTCCTGTCCTAAAAAAGCTTTTTCTTCCTCTATCACATGGCCAGGCTGCAGATTTTCCAAACTTTTATACTCTGCATCTCTTCTAAATATAAGTTGCAATTTTAAGTCATTCATTTGCTCCCACATCTGAGCATAGGTTGTTAGAAGCAGCCAGGCCACATTTGAATGCTGTGCTGCTTAGAAATTTCTTCCACCAGATACCCTAGGTCATCATTCTCAAGTTCAAACTTCCACTGATCCCCAGGATGTAAACAGAATGCAGCCAAGCTCTTTGCTAAGGCATAATATGCATGACCTTTGCTCCATTTTCCAGTAAGTTCCTTATTCCCATCTGAGACCTTTGCAGCCTGGACTTCACTGTTCATAATTCTATTAGCATCTTGGTTGCAACCATTTAGCCAGTCTCTAAGAAGTTCTAAATTCTCTCTCATCTTCCTGTCTTCTTCTGAGCCCTCCAAACTCTTCCGTCCTCTACCTATTACCCAGTTTCAAAGTTGCTTTCACATTTTCAGATATCTTTATAGCAATGCCCCACCCCTCAGTACCAGTTTTCTGTTAAGCTGTTCTTGCATCACTACAGAGGAATACCTGAGACTGGGTAATTGATATAGTTTGGCTCTGTGTCCCCACTCAAATCTTATCTCGAATCGTAATCCCCATGTGTTGAGGGAGGGACCTGGTGAGAGGTGATTGTATCATGGGGGTGGTTTCCCCCATGCTGTTCTTGTGATACTGAGTGTGTTCTCATGAGATCTGATGGTTTAAAAGTGTTTGGCAGTACCCCACCTCTTCTGCTGCCATGTAAGACATGCTTTGCTTCCCCTTCCCCTTCCACCATGATTGTAAGTTTCCTGAGGCCTCCCAGACATACAGAACTATGAGTTAATTAAACCTCTTTCCTTTATAAATTATCCAGTCTCAGGTCATTATTTACAGCAGTGTGAAAACAGGCTAATACAGTAATTTATAAGACAAAAAGATTTAGTTGGATCACATGCAGGCTATATAGGAAACAAAATACTAGAACATTCTTCTGAGGAGGGAAGCTTTTACTCATGGCAGAAGGCAAAATGGGAGCAGGCACTTCACATGGCAAAAGCAGGAGGGAGAGAGATTTGAGGGGAGTGCCACAAACTTTTAAACAACCAGATCTCATGTGAACTCAGAGCAAGAGCTCATCTATCATCAAGGGGATGGCCCAAGTCATTCATGAGGGATCTGTCCTCATGATACAAACACTTCCCACCAGGCCCCACTTTTAACATTGGGGATTACATTTAAACATGGGACTTGGGTGGGGACAAATATCCGAAGTATATTAGATGGCTAAACCAAGTTCTCTAAACAGAAAGAAATGATAAAAGGAGGAAACTGGGAACATGAGAAAGGGAGAAAGAACAGTGGAAAGAATTTTAAAAATAGATAAATATAATACATTTTCTTTCTCCTATTGAGTTTTCTAAATTATGTTTGACAGCCAAAGCAAAAATTATAACACCCTCTATAACACTATCTTATGTGGTTTTAAATCTATTATAGAAAATATTTAAGACAACTATGTTATACACAGTAGAAGATAAAGGGACTAAAAGGAATGTGAGGCTTCTATATTTCACTCCAATTGGCACTCTGGTGGGTTATGTTAATAGTGGAGAAGGTTATATATAGATGGGCAGGGAGTATGTGGGAAACCTCTGTGTTTTCCCTTCAATTTTGCTTTGAAACTAAAATTGCTCTAAAGTCTAATAAAAAATGCATCTACCAGATCAAAAGCTGCATGCCACATACTAGAAACTACATTGAATACCCTTGTAAAGACAGCATATCCAGCCAGCTGCAACTGGACCTACCACTGTGCCTTAAATCAGTAATTGGCTCACTTAAGTTTGTTATTTCCTCAACACATCCATAGCATCAACCAATTTTACATCCTTCTAGTGACTATTTCACCACATGTCCTACACACCAGAGTTATTGCACAAGCCACTGCATCTTTTTCTAATTGTACCTTGTCCCTATTTACCCCAGATAAACCACAACTATTCACATGCTCCTGTCATTGGTGATGAGCTCCCAGGACTACTTCCATACCAACTGTCTCAAGTTGCATTCCTCAGGAGCAGACTCTGAGGTGAAGATTTCTATGAGTTATTTGTGGTGGAAATGCCACCAGAAGAAACCAAGATGAGGAAGCAGGGCAAGGAATGAGAAGGGGCTGAACAGGGTAAAATTTCAAGCAAAGTCCCAGAATAAGTAGCCTCAGATTGATCTCAGAGTGTGACCTAACTCTAGCCAGGCTTCTTAAATTCTCTTCTCAACTAGGCTCTGACGTGTGTATGTCTGAGTCCATCTTTGCATTGTCCAGTGTTAGCAAGAATCCTTCTTAATTGGTTTAGCCAGAACATGCCACCGTCGATATCTGATCATCCTTGATATCTGATCAGGTTCTTCCTCTTCCACCATCCCTCAGGTGATGTCTGATCACCTTGGCCTGGCTTCAGCAAGAATCCTGTGAGGTCACTTTAGCAAAAAAACAAAACAAAACAAAAACAGCAATGACAACAACAACAACAAAAAACCTCCTTAGCCCTGATTACCTCTTAGTAATTTTCTACCCTCTGATCCCTACCATGCTCCCTGGCCATAAATTCCCCCGTTTCCTTTTGCATTCAGAGATAAGCCCCATCTCTCTCCCCTACTGCAAACCCCAATTGCAGTCATCCTTATGCCTGCCATGATATGCACCCCGTGGATAAAGTCTGGGTATAAATTATATCTCAGAAACATCCCATGTAGACTCCCTTTCAAGCTTCCTAAGCTGAGGGTTGTCATGGGGGATGTCCTCTGAATATAGGAGCAGAGTAGCCTGGGGAAAGTCATGTGAAGAAGCATCACAGGTTCCTGCTATCAGGGACAAAAGTAAGCTTTGGAGAGGCCCAGTGCTGACCAATGGGATTCCAAGGAGTCTGGGTGGGACAGCAACAGGGCTGGCCTCCTCCACGGTGTCTGTCCCACCCACAGGATCATGTGAGCTCTGCAGCTCCTCTGTTCAACACACTCCTTTTCTGATCCTATCCCAACTCCCTGAAGGCAGAACACATCTTCTTGTATCCTCCCTAATGCCTAGCAGTATGAATGATCCACACTGTGCTGAAAACACTAAAGACATCTCTCTGCAAAGCTTGGATCACTTACTTAGCACCCCTGACTGTGAGCAAGAAGGCTTGCCTCAACATTGGTCCTGAGGAAGGGCTCCAAGTGCATTCCACTGGCTGTCCTAGGGCAGAGCAGTGCATGGTGTGGCTGAGAGTGAGTGGACAAATTAAGTTTCACCAGAGAATTTTTAGAAAAATGTCCCAAAGTGGTCTAGTCATCCAATCATCCCCCACACTCACAGATACTGTTGTCCCTACACAGTGTAAGGCAGGATTCTAAATTCATTTTCAACTTGCATGGCTTTTACTTTTTTATTGTTTGTCTTATAATCTGTTAAGTGCTTTTTTGTATGCCAGGAACAGAGATGACTTCTTGAAGTAAATTATCCCCATATGGGCTTAAAGAGGAGGTATTTCTACTGTCTGCTAGAGAAAACACCCGAGGCCTGCAGGTTAGGGGCTTACTCGTGATTGCTTTGAGGGGCATAAGCAGAATGGGATGAGCCTGCAGCTTCACCCCCATCTGCACCCTCCTGCACTTTCACGTTTCTGCTGTGATTCACCCTCCCCCAGAGCCTGGCTTTAGCCTTAGCTCTGCTACACTGGAGACCCAGCTGGATGTTGCCACCAGAGGCATTTCTATATTCCTTTAAATATATCTAGCTATCCCTGCAATGGTTAATCTGTCTCATCTCCCCTGTTACTGTTACAGGACCAACAGGTTTCTTAGTCCATTGTGCATGTGCAGACCAATACACTGAGACAGCAGGGTTTGCAGCAGAGAAAGAGCTTAATGATGATTGATAGGATAGCTGAGTGAGAAGATGGGAGGGACCCTCAAATCCATCTCCCCAAGGAGGTCTAGACAGGGATTTTTAAAAGAATCATTGTGGAGGGCAAGGGGCTGGAAAATTGGGTCACTGATTGGCCAGGTAAAGGGGATGAAATCATTAAGATGTGGGAAACTGCATTCTTTGGTGAGTCATCTTCTCATGGGGCCCTTCGGACAAGCTGAGTCAGTAGTTTCATTGGTTTGCAAGACCTGAAAGAATATCTCAGATGGAAAACTTAATGTTTCACAATGCCCAGGCTGTTATCTACAGAGCAGTTACAGGGACCTATAATCTAGAATCTACATGATTCTAGGGCAACAGACGGAAAACAGCTATGAGGAAGCAGGTCAGAGAACAAGCTGACCTAGTGATTAATGCTGAGCTGTTTCTCCCCCCTTTTTTCTTGATTAATTGTATAACATTTGTAAGGACTGTTTCACTAGTCACTACCAATTCAAGGGCAGAGCTCTTTGTGCATTTCATTTCTCCATTCCCTAGAATGCTGTGTGTGTAGTATATCTGCAGTGTGGATTCACTGTTGGGATAAACTGCTCATGCTCAGTGCTTGCATATTAACAGGCAGGCATGCTGATCCTCCAATTCAGAATGTTTTTGTGTGATTTGGAGCTGTGTTCTGTTGAAAGATTTTATTTTGAGGGCTGAATATATCTAAAAGCAAGAAGACACCTTTGATATCCCAAGTTGTGTCATTATTAAAAGTAAAAATAAATTAGCATCTCCATGGCTATAGTGTTTTATATTCATATTTTTGTCTCTTCATCAAGCCATCTGCTTGCATAATTTCATTTCTATTCTACAGACACCCACAGGCAGCCCGCCACTGGAATCACACTCCCAGCTTGTCCTGCCCTAATCCTCAGGAAAGATAAATGAGAAGTCTGCAGGTCTCTTTCATTTAATCTTCATGACCATCTTTGAGGTACATTTTATGATCTAAAGTGAGACCTTCAGGGATGACTTGTGACCTGCCTGTTGTTAAGGAGCTGGAAGAAGACTGGACCATAGCCCCTGACTGCTCAGCTCTGTGGCTGTTCCGAGAGCCCACCCACTCTGCCCTCCTGGCCTCACAGGGACCTCAGCACACACGGATCCTTTGCCCCCTACTCACACACCCTGAGCTTTCTTCCCTCACTGGGTTACTATGACAGAATCTGCAAGCCCTGGAAATTCCTCTCAGAAAGTTGCTATAGAAACTCCCAGTGGGGGTGTCTGGAGGATGTGGTGTGAATCCTCGCAGCTGATGCATGCAGCCGTGTGCAATGAGCATGGCAGCTCCCAATCAAGCCCCCAACATTTCTCACCCAACATGTGCCATCCCAGAGCGCGGAGGAGGAAGCCGCTCTACTCTTTTGCTGCTAACTCCAGCCTTGAAAAGAGAGCCTTCCCTCTTCTGATCTCAGGGAAAGTGCAGGGCTTATTGAACTCACCCACCTCAGTTCAGAGACAGTGAAACTGAGGCCCAGGGTTGCCATCCATTATGCAGGGATTGCCAATAGCCAAAGACAATGGGGCACCACTGCCCCATGGAGTGGCCACATGCCACACTCCCTCCCTTGGCAGGACAGGGGTCAGGGAGCCTTGCCCCCAGCTGGGGTTTGGGTGATAACCTCTTCCCTCCTGCATCTCCTCAAAGACCTCTGGTTCTTGCCCAAAAGCTATCTGGCTCCGTCAGCTCCAAACTCAATGAAATCTTGCAGATCACCAACTTGTTGTTTTGAGAGAAAGCCAGTGGCCCCTGCTGCTCACAGCAGCTCAGGCTAACGGACACAGCCTTGGATGTGGAGGCAAAGGGCCTCAGCTCAAAGTCCAGCTCCACTACATTCTAGCTGTGTGCTCTCAGTTTCCCTTTCTGTAGCAGGGTCATTTTGATCTCCTAAGGCAGCCTTGAGGATTCAATGAGGTCTCACGTGTACTCCTCAGCTGCACTGTTCAAGAGAACGGAGAACTCACCATGCCAGGAGCACTGGAGAGCAAGGAAACAGGAGGGGCCCTAAGATGCACCTTTGTGGCTAACTCAGACCCTTGCCTGGATGCTGCCTCCTTAGAGGGGCCCCCTGGTGGGCAGGGCCAGGACAGTTGGATGGGAACTCAGGGCACTTAATTCCACATGTTGACAAATGACTGCGTTTTCACAGGGTTGCCTATGAAAATTTCTCTTTTCACACAGTTCTTAAAATAAATCTTGTTGAAAGGAGGGATTCACAGAGGAGAAGTGACAGATATATCCTGTTCTACATAAGATGACTAATATCCCACAAATGTTCACAAGAAGCATAAGCCCGAGAATGTCACAGACACAAAGGGCCTTGGAGACAGGGGCTTCGTGGCCCATATAAGGAATGGGAAGCCAAGAGCGAGTGCTCCTTTTTCAGCCAGCTAAAATCCCACTTAACACCTTCTGAGTACCTACTATGTGTGAGACTTGGTGCAGGGGACAGGGCAAGCTTAGAGATGGAAGAAAGCGGCAGTCCTCTGCTCTAAGAGGTTTATAGTGCAAGTAGGTGATTAAGACACAGGGAAATATAATACTGGGAAGAATTGGGGAAGGGGTGCCAAAAACAGATATAAGCTATGAGCTCCTGAAAATTGAAGGATTGCATTCTCTACTTTGTGGACACAGGGGAGAGGAAGATAAGTCTAAAAGACTTTTATTGGAGTTGTGGGTTTCTAAGATTGACCACAATATATTGGTATTTTTGTATTATCAGTCTATTTATAAGAACCCAGCCTTTTAAAAAATGCAAATATGAATAAACTTTTAAGAAAAAGAAAGTCCACTTGAACATGATTTAAAAGATTAAATATTGGTACAAATGAGATATTTTTAAAATAATATATTATGAAATATTACATATTATGTTTTCAAAGTATATTTATTGACATCCAGAAATGTACCAGACCAGACTGGAGAGGACCCTGGCTATGGTCTAAATGTATCCCCCAAAATGCATGTGTTAGAAACTTAATCTCCAAAGCAGTGAGGTTGGGAGGTGGGGCCTAACGGGAGGTGTTTAGGTCAAGGTTAGAGCTGCTGTATGAAGGGCTTGCAGGTGTGGATGTGGTCTCTTCTGCTCCTCCGTCATGTGATAACACAGGGTTCCACCCCTCAGGAGGATGCAGCATTCAAGGCACTATCTTTGAAGCAGAGACTAGACTTCCACCAGGTGCCAGCACTTTGATCTTAGACTTCCCAGTCAACAGAACTGTAAGAAATAAATTTCTGTTCCTTACAAATTGTTCAGTCTCAGGCATTCTACTATAGCAGCGCTACATGGAATAAGATGCCTCTCCTCTCTAACAGAATGTAATGCTCAAAGGAGAAACAGGAATAGCTGGCAGAAAGCAGAGACCAGAGAAAACCTACAAACTGCCTGAACATTCAGTGAATTTCCCACCTCGGACATGGAACCATTAGCCTTGTGGATCAAGACGTTTAAGCATAGACGCTGACCAGTAATTGGCTGATCACTACATGATGCTGACCAAGTGGCAACCCTAGGAATCCAGCCTTAAAAATTGAAAACAAGATTTTTTTTTAATGAGGAAAAACAACTTTGGATGCATACTTTGGAAGAAACCATTCTAAAGAATTGGTACGGAAGGGTCAGTAAGTAAATTAACAAAAAATTTACAAAAAGAAACAACAACCCTAGGGGAAGGGGAGAGTGGAATCGGAATCTAGAGTTGTTGTAATATATGATCTAAACTGGTTTTCAAGAAAAAATTAGGAGACAAGCAAAAAACCCAGGAAAGTGCTACCCATATACAGGAGAAAAAGCAGTCAATAGAAATTGTTTCTGAGGTACCCTACACCGATAATAAACCAACTATTATAAATATGTTCAAAGAACGGAAGAAACGGTGTTTAAGAATAAAACAAAAGTATGATGACCATGGCTTATCAAATTAAAACTATCAATAACTATATATAAATTATAAAACGTAACAAAATAAAAATTATTGTGTTGAAAAGTGCTGTCATTGAAGTGAAAATTTCACTGAAGAGTTTCAGTAGCAGACTTTAGCTGGCAGAAGAGATAAGCAAACTTGTGGACAGATCAATATAGACCATCCAATCTGAAGAACAGAGAGAATTTTTTTAAAAAATTGAACACAGCTCCCAGAGAAGGAGAGAGAAAAAGGCAGAAAAAATATTTGAAGAAACAGTGGCTGAAAATATCCCACACATGATTTTTTAAACTAATTTACACTTCCAAGAAGTTCAACAAACTCCAACTAAAATAAATTCAAAGAGATTCACACCTTAACAAATTATAATCAAATTGTTGAAAGAGAAAATTTTGAAAGCAGCAAAAGAAAAATGACTCATGAAGTACAAGGAACCACAATAAAATTAACATTTTATTGTGATGAGATTTTCCATCAGAAACAATCAGAAGCTAGAAAGCAAAGTGCTAAAAGAAAAAGAAAAGTCAACCAAGTATTAAGTATTCAACAAAACTATCCTTCAAAAAAAAAAGTAAAATAAAGACATTACCAGATAAACAAAGACGGAAGAGAAATGACACCAGTTACTTGAATCTGTATATATAAAAAAAACTGGTAAAAATAATTACACAGGTAAATATAAAATCTGCTTAAGTATATTATTTCTTATATTCTTCTCTTATTTTAAACACTTTGCAGAGAAAAATTAGAATTGTTGGATTTTAACCTATACTTATAGATTATAATAATAGGTAAATTTCATATAAACAGTAAAATAGAACAAAGAAGGGGAGAAATAGAGTTCTATTGGATATCTATATTTTACTGGAAAAATGTTAGTATTAATCTGAAGCAGATTGTGATAAATTAAGATACATATTGTAATTCACAAATTGTGATAAGATACGTATTGTAATCCACAAATAAACCATAAAAAATCCCTTAAAATGTAGTAAAAAAAAAAAAGAAAAGAATTAAACAGTACAATAGAAGTATCTAACACGAAAGACAGTTAAAAGCAATGTATGAATTAAAAAGATATGGAACATATAAAATTAAATAGCAAAACAAGATATACATTAAATCACATAAATAATTACACCAAATGTAAATAGATTGAACATTTCAATAATAGTTTTAGAGAATGTCAAATTGGGTAAAAATAATAAGACTTAAGAGACACCTTTTCTAAGAACATCTAAGAACACAAATAGGTTTAAAGTAATAGAATGGAAATAGATAAACAATACAAATAGTAACCCTAAGAAAACTGGAGTGTCTATATTAGTATCAAATAAAATGAAATTACAGTATATCAATATTTATGGGATACAGCAGTGCTTAGGGAAATTTTCGTGGTTTTTAAATGACTTTTTTAGAAAAGAAAAAAGTAAGGTTTCATCTTAATTTACTAGAAAAGGAAGAGTAAACTAAATCTTAAACAAGCAGGAGAAAAGAAATAATAAAGATTAGAGAGGAAATCCATTAAACAGACAAAACAAAAATAGTGAATGTGAATAAAATGAAATTTTTTAAAAATTGCTAAACCTTTGCACAGACTGGTAATGAAGCAGAGAAGACACAAGTTAGCAAAATTACGAGTGAAAGAGAAGACATCTCTTCTCTTTCAGATCTTGCAGAAATGAAAATAATTATCAAAGAATACTATCATCACCTTTATGCCAATAGATTACACAACTAGATGAACAATTGCTAGCGAAACACAAATTACTAAAACTGACTCAAAAGTAAGCGGAAAATGTGAATAGTTCTAAAATAAGACCTGTATCCATCTGATCTTCAACAAAGTCAATAAAAATAAGCAATGGGGAAAGGACTCTCTATTCAATAAATGGTGCTAGGATAACTGGCTAGCCATATGCAGAAGAATGAAATTGGACCCCTACCTTTCACCAACTACAAAAATTAACTCAAGATGGATTAAAGATTTAAATGTAAGACCTCAAATTATAAAAATCCTAGAAGGAAACCTAGGAAATGCCATTTTGGCAATGGCCTTGGCAAATAAATTTTGGCTAAGTCTTCAAAAGCAATTGCAACAAAAACATTGACAAGTGAGACTAAATTAAACTAAAGAGCTTCTGCACAGCAAAAGAAACTATCAACAAGTGAGCAGACAACCTACAGAATGGGAGAAAATATTCACAAACTATACATCAGACAAAGGTCTAATACCTAGAATCTATAAGGAACTTAAACAAACCAACAAGGAAAAAACAAATAACCTCATTAAAAGAGGGGCAAAGGATATGAACAGACATTTCTCAAAAGAAGACATACAGGCAGCCAACAAACATGAAAAAATGCTCAACATCACCAATCATCAGAGAAATGTCAGCAAGGCTGCAGAGAAAAGGAAACACTCATACACTGTTGGTGGGAATGTAAATTAGTTCAGCAACTACGGAAAGCAGTTTGGAGATTTCTCAAAGAATTTAGAACTACTATTCCACTCAGCAATCCCACTACTGGGTATATAACCAAAGAAAAAATAAATCATTCTACCAAAAAGACACATGCGCCAGTATGTTCATTACAGCACTATTCACAATAGCAAAGACATGGAATCAACCTAGATGCCCATCAATGGTAGACTGGATAAAGAAAATGTTGTGTGTGTGTATATATATATATATATAAAATGGAATACTACAGAGCTATAAAAAGAATGAAGTCAGGTCCTTTGCAGCAACACAGATGCAGCTGGAGGCTATTATCCTAAGCAAATTTGTGCAAGAATGGAAAACCAAATACCACATGTTCTCACTTATACATAGAAGCTAAACATGGGGTACACATGAACATGAAGTTGAGAACAAAAGACACTAGGGATACTAGAAGGGGGTGAGAAGAAGGGGACCAAGAGCTGAAAAACTACCTATTGGGCACTATGCTCACTACTTGGATGATGGGACTATTCATACGTCAAACCTCAGCATCAACACAATATACCCATGTAACAAAACCTGCACATGTACCCCCCTGAACCTAAAATAAAAGTTGAAATTATTTTAGAAATAAAATAGTAGGCCGGGCGCGGTGGCTCATGCCTGTAATCCCAGCACTTTGGGAGGCCAAGGTGGGCAGATCATGAGGTCAGGAGATCAAGACCATCCTGGCTAACACGGTGAAACCCCGTCTCTACTAAAAATACACACACACACAAAAATTACCTGGGTGTGGTGGCGGGCGCCTGTAGTCTCAGCTACTCTGGAGGCTGAGGCAGGAGAATGGCGTGAACCCAGGAGGCGGAGCTTGCAGTGAGCCAAGATCGCGCCACTGCACTCCAGGCCTGGGCGACGGAGCGAGACTCCGTCTCAAAAAAAAAAAAAAAAAAGTAATAAAATAGTAAAGAAATTAACCTGGTATTTAAAAATCTTTCCAAAGGATAAAGGTCATGCCCACATGGCTTGAAAGAAAGTTTCAGGGAGTATACAAGTCTAAGTTGCCAGTTATCTTCTCCCAGAACTTACTCTAACTTCTACTGGTTTCATACTGCTTCTATACTTTATTCCTTTGTAGGTAATCTGTCTCTTCTTTCAGTTAGTTCTAATAGATATATAGACATAGATATGCATTCTTATTTAATATATAGTTATGAAATTGCATGTAAATATCTTAAATACATGCATATACCAATATTATAAATATATGTTGCATAAGAATTATAATTACATATTTAAGGTACTTGTATTAATATTTAATATATATAGTCATCTCTCAGTATATGCAGGGGATTGGTTCCAGGGCCCAAGCACATGCCCAAATCTGCACATACTCAACTCCTGCAGTCACCCCTGCCACGGAACTCACGTATAAGAAAAGTCTGCTCTCCCTATACAAGGGTTTCACGTTCCACAAATGCTGTATTTCTGTTTGGTTGAAAAACATCCACGTGTAAGTGGACCTGTGCCAGTTCAAACCCATGTCGTTCAAGGGTCAACTATAAATTGGTGCAGTCTCTTATTTATTCTGAAGTTTTATCTTCCCTTTAAAAAAAATTTATCCATCATTTTTAGGAGATTTACAATGAGAGATTTTCCAGACAATCTAGTTTGCCCTATTGCTGAAAATATAACTTTCATTTAAATTTGTAATCCTTCTGGAATTGGTTTTTATTTATGGTGTGGCATGGTTATTATTATTATTTTATACCTAAAACCAATTGTCCTGGAACCATTTTGGGAATAGTCTATGTTTTCCCAAGGATCTGCCTTTCTGCTTTTTTTTGTACAATGCAACAATGTTGAATTTTCCTGAGTCCCATGATCCTGAAAAACAATGACGTTTAAGAAATCCTTCCTAATTATTTTTACCTTGCTTGTCTATCCTGAAACTTTACTGAAATCATTTGTCAAGTCTAGGAGTCTTTTGGAGAAGTCTGTAGGGTTTTCTAGATATAAGATCATGTCATCAACATGACTTTCTCTTTTCCAATTTGGATGCCTTTTATTTATCTTGCCTCGTCGTTCTGGTATGACTTCCAATGCTATGTTAAACAGGAGTGATGAGGGTGGACATCCTTGTCTTGTTCCAGTTCTTAGGGTGAATGCTTCCAACTTTTCCCCATTTAGTATGATGTTAGCTGTAGGTTTGTCATAGATGACTCTTATTATTTTGAAGCATGTTCCTTTGATGCCTAGTTTGCTGAGGATTTTAATCATGAAGAGATGTTGGATTTTTTTTTTTTTTTGAGATAAGGTCTTGCTTTGGAATCCAGGCTGTAGTGCAGTGGCACAATCATAGCTCACTGCAGCCTCAAACTCCTGGATTCAGGCAATCCTCCTGCCTCAGCCTCCTCAGTAGTTGGGACCACTAATGTGTGCCACCATGCCTGGTTATTTTTATTTTAGGTAGAACAGGGATCTTTCTATGTTGCTCAGGCTGGTATTAGGGTGTTGGATTTTATTGAATGCCTTTTCTGCATCTATTGAGATGATCATATGATTTTTGTTTTTAGTTCTGTTTATGCGAAGAATCACATTTTTCGATTTGCAAATGTTGATCCATCCTTGTATCCCTGGAATAAAACCCAATCGATTATAATGAATTATCTTTTTCATGTGCTATTGCATTTGGTTTGCTAGTATTTTGCTGAGAATTTTTGCATCTCTGTTCATCAGGGATATTGGCCTGTAGTTTTCTTTTTTAGTTTTGTCCTTGCCAGATTTTGGTATCAGGGTGATACAAGTTTAGTAGAAAGAGTTAGGAAGGATTCCTCCTCCTCTATTTTTTGGAATAGTTTCAGTAAGGTTGGTACTAGCTCTGCTTTGTGCATCTGGTAAAGTTTGGCTGTTAATTTATCTGGTACTGAGCTTTTGTTTTTTGGAAGTTTTTAAATTACTGATTCAATTTCACTACTTGTTATTAATCTGTTCAGGATTTCTATGTTCATAGAAGCACTATTCACAATAGCAAGTCATGGAACCAACCTAAATGTCTATCAGTGGTTGCCTGAAAAAGAAAATGTGGCATATACACACCAAGGAATACTATGCAACCATAAAAAAGAATACAGCTGTGTCCTTTGCAACAACATGGATGCAGCTGGAAGTCATTATCCTAAGTGAACTAACTCAGAAACAGAAAACCAAATACTACATATTCTCACTCGTAAGTAGAAGCTAAAAAATGGGTACACATGGACTTAAAGATGGAAATAATAGACACTGGGGACTCCAAAAAGGGGGAGGGTGGGGAAACAAGTGTTGAAAAATTACCTATTGGGCATAATGTTCACTATTTGGGTAATGGGTACACTAGAAGCCTAATCCCTACCGGTATGCAGTATTCCCATACAGAAAATAATCACATTTACCCCCGAATCTAAAATAAAATTTAATTTTTTAAAAAAAGAATCCCTCCAACCTTAGTGTTCTGTAAAAGGGCTTACTGCAAAGAACGACCCTTTCCCAAATGATTTTGATAAGACTCATAGATGTCCCCTTGTTTATCTATGAAAGGGTCAGAAATAGGCCTTTGAAATTCCTACTCTTTGCTTCATAAATGATTCACTGTACTGCTTGTCCACAAAGATCAGTCAGAACGAAATGCTTCTAATCAAACTTCTGTTAAGCATCTCTTCTTCCTCCAGGCCCCTGAATGAGCTCTGGCCCACTCTCAGCCTGAACCATATACAACCCCCTCCTGAGAATAGGCTGACTTCTGACAAAACATCCTCTGATCAAATTTCTAGAAAGACACAAATTACCAAAACTAACTCAAAAAGAAGTAGAAAATGTGAATACTTCTAGAGCAAGCAAAGAACTTGTTTGATGGAATCTTACTTGTTCGTTTTTGCTTGGGTTGCCTGTAGTTTTGAGGTCATATCCAAAAAATCGTTACCCAGATCAATCTCAAGAAGTTTTCCCCTAGGTTTTCTTCTAGTAGTTTTACAGTTTCAGGTCTTGCCTTTAAGTCTTTAATCAATTTTTAGTTGATTTGTGTATATGGTATGAGATAAGAATCCAATGATATTCTTCTGTATGTGATTATTCAGTTTTCTCAACATCTTTCATTGAAAACGCCATTCTTTCCAATTGTACATCCTTGGCACTTTTGTTGAAGATCAATTGATCATAAATGTATGAATTAATTTCTGGGATATCTGTTGTGCTTCATTGTTCTATATGTCTGTTTTTATGCCAGTACCATACTGCTTTAATTACTATAGTTTTGAAAGTATTTTGAAATTGAGTAGTGTGATGCCTCCAGCTTATTTTTCTCATCTTGGCTATATCAGGTCTTTTGTGATTCCATATGAATTTTAGAATTGTCTTTTTCTGTGAAAAATGTCATTGAAATTTCGATACGGATTGCACTGAATATGTACATAGTTTTGGGTGTTATGGATATTTTAACAATATTAAGCTTTCTAATCCATGAACATAGGATTTATTTTCATTTATTTGTGTCCTCTTCAATTTGTCTCATCAATGTTTTATAGTTTTCCATATAGAGATCTCTCACCTCCTTGAATAAATTCATCACGAAGTATTTTTTGATGCTATTGTAAATGGGATTATTTTCTTTATTTTCTTTTTCGTATTGTCTGTTGTTTGAGTAATACTACTGCTTTTTGTATGGTGATTTTGTATCTTGCAAATTTACTAAATTTTTATTAGTTTTAAGAGTTTTTCTAGTGGAGCCTTTAAGGTTTTCTATAAGCAAGACTATGTCATCTTCAAACACAGACAATTTAACTTCTTCCTTCCTAATTTGGATGCATTTTTTTCTTTGTCTTACCCAATTGCTCTAGGTAAGACTTCCAATACTATATTGAATAGAAGTAGCAAAAAACATCATTGTCTTGTTCCTGATCACCACTGAGTATGATACTAGCTGTGGGCCCGTCATATAAGGACTTCATTATGTTGAGGTATACATGAAGGGATGTTAAGTTTTGTCAAATGCTTTTTTCTGTATCTATTGAGATGATCATATGCATTTTGTTCTTTATTCTGTTAACGTAATGTATTACCTTTATTGATTTTCATATGTTGAAACATCCTTGCTTTCCTGGGATAAATCCCACTTGGCCGTGGCATTGGACTTTTTGGAATTTGGTTTGCTATTGTTTTGTTGAAAATATCTGCAACTATGTCCATCGGGGATATTGGTCTAATTTTCTTTTTTCTTCTTTTTTTTTTTTTTTTGTTGGTGGACTTGTCTGGCTTTAGTATTGGGGAAATGCTGGACTTAAAATAAGTTTGACAGTATTCTCTCCTCTTCAGCTTTTGGAAGAGTTTGAGGATTGGCATTAATTTTTTAAATGTTTGGAGAATTCACCAGTGGAGCCATCCAGTCCTATTCTTTCTGGGGAGGATTTTCATTGCAAATTGAATCTCCTTACTCATTATTTGTCTGCTCAGATTTTATATTTCCTCATAATTCAGTCTTGGTAAGGTTGTTTGTTTCTAGAAATTATCCATTTCTTCCAGCCTATTTAATTTGTTGGCATATAATTGTTCATAGCAGTCTCTTATGATCCTTTATATTTCTGTGGTATCAGTTCTAATGATTCCTCTTTATTTTATAATTTTATTTATTTGTTCCTTCCTCATTTTGTTCTTAGTTAATATAACTAAAGGTTTGTTGGTTCTGTTTGTTTTTTAAAAACAAGTCTTAGTTTCATTAATCCTTTCCATTAGATTTTACTCAATTTCATTTATTTCTGCTCTGAATTTTATTATTGTCTTCCTTCTGCTAACTTTTTGGGTTTAGTTTGTTCTCCTTTTTCTATTTCCTTGAAGTGTAGATTGTTTGTTACATATCTTTCTTTTTCATAATGTAGTTGTTTATCATTACATACTTCCCTTTCAGACTGCCTTTGGCACATCTTACACGTTTTGATTTGTTGTGTTTCCATTTTAGTTTGTCTCAAGATCTTTTTTTATTTCTTTTTAGATTTTTACCAGAAGTTTTGTTTAATTTTGTTCAGAAATGTTATTTCACTTTGATACAAATGTTAATTTTCCAATTTTCCTCCTGTTTTTGATTTCTAGTTTTATGCCATTGTGGTCAGAAAAGATACTTGCTATAATTACAGCCTTCTTATATTTGTTAAGACTTGTTTTGTGGCATAACATGTCAACTATCCTGGAAAATTTTCTAAGTGTGTTTGAAAACAATGTGTATTCTGCTGCTTTTAAATATACAAAATATTCTGTATATGTCTGTCAGGTAAATGTCGTCCATAATGTTGTTTTAAGTCTACTGTTTCCTGTCTTGATGATCATTGTTGTAAGCAGGGGTATTGTTCTCCCTATTGCTGTGTTGCTATCTATATTTCCCTTTAATTCTGTTAATATTTGTTTTACATATTTAGGTGCTCCAATGTTAGGTGTAGAGACGTTTACAATTACTATATCCTCTTTAGGAATTGACCACCTTATCATTATGTAATGACCTTTTTGGCCTTATATAAAAGTTTTTAACTTAGCTTACTTTTTCTGCTATAAATATAGCCACTCCTGCTCTCTTTTGATTACTCCTTGCATATAATATACTTTTCCAACCCTTCACTTTCAGCCCACGTATATCCTAAAAGCAAAAACCCTGGAGCAGAAACCAACACTACAGTGAGTACCAGGGTAGGAAAACTAAACTGTCATTGATGAGTTGCTAGACGACAATCTCAGAGTTAAAGTTGCTATGGACAAACTTGAGAGATAAAAACTCAAGGGATGCCCATTCTTGGGGGAAGAGAACTCATATTTTCATGAGTTTTACCTCCAGGGGTTCTGCTAGGTTCTGCGGCTATAGCATACTATAAACATAGCCTAACCCCTAACCAGATAAACATAAAGCCTCACACAAAGGCCTATTTACTTCAGTTCTTTTTACCTACCACATGATGTCTGGCTTTCAACGAAAAAAATTATGTGGCACATGAAAAGAGAAAGAAAATATAGTTTGAAAAGACAGAGGAAAGTATCAGAACCAGACTCAGATATGGCAGGGAATTTGGAATTATCAGACTAGAAATTTAAACAACTATGATTAAAATGTGATGGCTCTAATGGAAAAAGCAGCCACCATGCAAGAACAGATAACTGATGTAATCAGAAATATGGAAACTCCATGAATCAAAAATAAATCTAGGAGTTAGAAACTCTACAACAGAGATGAAGTATGTCTTTGACAGGCTTATCAACAGAGTGGAAATGGCCAAGAACAGAACCAGTGAATTGGAGGAAATTCCAAAAGAAGCTTCCAGAACTAAAATGCAAAGAGAACCACTGAAAAAGATAGAACAAAATATCCAAAAACCATTAAACGATTACAAAAGGAGAAACATCACCAGAGAGAGAAGAAAGAGAATATTTGAAGTAGTAATGACTGAGAATTTTCCAAAACTAAAAATGGACACTAAACCATAGATCCAAAAAGTTCAGAGAACACCAAGCAGGAGAAATACCAAAAAACTGATATGTAGGCGTATCATTTTCAAATGGCAGAAAACTAAAGACAAAGAGGAAATCTTGAAAAGAAGTCAAAGGACAAAACACAGCAACAAGCACCTATGGATCAACAAGGATAAGAATTACATCAGACGTCTCCTCAGAAAACATGCAAGTGAGAAGAGTCTGAAGTAAAATACTTAAAATGTTTAAAGGAAAAAAACCCCACCAACATAGAATTCTGTACCTAGTTTACTTATTATTTATAAATGAAGGCGAAATAAAGACTTTCTCAGACAAACAAAAATTGAGGGAATTTGTCACCAGTAGACCTGCCTTGCAAGAAATGTTAAAATATATTTTTCAGCAAGAAGAAAAATAACATAGATCAGAACTCTGATCACATAAAGAATGCAAGGTCATTAGAAAATGGATAAAGATTAAATTACTAATTGCTGGTGATGTGTTGAAACACCATTGATTTTTATATGTTGAGCTTGAATCCAGAAACTGATAACCCAAACTCAGTTAATAGTTCTAAATGTGTTGTCTTCAGATTATTTTGGGTTTTTATGTAAAATAATAATAATAATAAACTTGTCTATAAATAGCAAATGTTTTATTTTTTTATTTTTTATTATACTTTAAGTTTTAGGGTACATGTGCACAACGTGCAGGTTTGTTACATATGTATACATGTGCCATGTTGGTGTGCTGCACCCATTAACTCGTCATTTAACATTAGGTATATCTCCTAATGCTATCCCTCTCCCCTCCCCCCACCCCACAACAAGCCCCAGTATTCAGCAAAGTCTCAGGATACAAAATCGATGTGCAAAAGTCACAAGCATTCTTATACACCAATAACAGACAAACAGAGAGCCAAATCATGAGTGAACTCCCATTCACAATTGCTTCAAAGAAAATAAAATACCTAGGAATCCAACTTACAAGGGATGTGAAGGACCTCTTCAAGGAGAACTACAAACCACTGCTCAATGAAATAAAAGAGGATACAAACAAATGGAAGAACATTCCATGCTCATGGGTAGGAAGAATCAACATCATCCAAATGGCCATACTGCTGAAGGTAATTTATAGATTCAATGCCATCCCCATCAAGCTACCAATGACTTTCTTCACAGAATTGGAAAAAACTACTTTAAAGTTCATATGGAACCAAAAAAGAGCCTGCATCGCCAAGTCAATCCTAAGCCAAAAGAACAAAGCTGGAGCCATCACGTTACCTGACTTCAAACTATACTACAAGGCTACAGTAACCAAAACAGCATGGTACTGGTACCAAAACAGAGATACAGACCAATGGAACAGAACAGAGCCCTCAGAAATAATGCCGCATATCTACAATTATCTGATCTTTGACAAACCTGAGAAAAACAAGAAATGGGGAAAGGATTCCCTATTTAATAAATGGTGCTGGGAAAACTGGCTAGCCATATGTAGAAAGCTGAAAGTGGATCCCTTCCTTACACCTTATACAAAAATTAGTTCAAGATGGACTAAAGACTTAAATGTTAGACCTAAAACCATAAAAACCCTAGAAGGAAACCTAGGCAATACCATTCAGGACATAGGCATGGGCAAGGACTTCATGTCTAAAACACCAAAAGCAATGGCAACAAAAGCCAAAATTGACAAATGGGATCTAATTAAATTAAAGAGCTTCTGCACAGCAGAAGAAACTACCATCAGAGTGAACAGGCAACCTACAGAATGGGAGAAAATTTTTGCAATCTACTCATCTGACAAAGGGTTAATATCCAGAATCTACAATGAACTCAAACAAATTTACAAGAAAAAAACAACCCCATCAAAAAGTGGGCCAAGGATATGAACAGACACTTTATTTTTTAATCTACCTTTTTCTTTTCTTATTGCATTTGGTAAGATCTCTAGGATATTGTTGAAGGAAAATCAACATAGCAGATATTCTTGTTTTGTCCTGAATATAAAGAAAACGCTTCTGAAATTTAACCATTAAGTATAATATTTGTTTTAATTTTTATTATATAATATTAATCTCAATACATAATATAATCATGATGAAAATCTACTATTATGATAAATATTTGATCATAAATGGCTTTTTATTGCACATTTTCAAGAACTTGAAATAATCACATATTTACTTGTCATATTTTAGTGCTGTAAGTTCCACTGGAAAATTTTCTCAATTCAACCATTTCTGAAGTGTATCCTGTATTAACATATTTGTGATTTTTTCCCCCACATTACTGTAATTAAAATTAGTATTCTGTCTGTCTCAGGTTTGGGCATGAAGCTTATGTTAGCCTCATGATTTAAGCTGATTACTTTTCCTTCTCTATGTATTCTATGTAGCAATGAAATTGAAGCCATTAGTATTTGTTATTTGAAAGTTTTCTAAAGCCCACTTGAAACACCATAAGCCTAGTACAATTTGAAGGAGAACATGAGAGGTTTTCAATTGTAATTTCTGTAATGCTAATGGGATTACTCATATGCCTTCTTTTTTTCATTTCAGTGGCAAGTTTGGTACTTTACATATACTCTAGAAAATTATATATTTCATTTAATTTTTCTAATGTAATGACAAACTGTTTTGTCAAGGTTTTCTTTTATAATTTTAAAATTATGACTGTATCTGATGATATAGTCCTTCTAATATTATTTACTGGTACTTTCTTTCTTTCACTTGTTTGGTCTTGCCAGACGTATAGTTACATCTGGCCCTTTTTGAGGAAATAGCTCATGGATTGACTATCATCATGGTTTCTTTGCTTCATCTTTCATTGATACATGTTTGTTTCTGCTTTATTTACTTTGCTCTGCTTTCATTGGGATTACTTCTTTTTACAGCATTTTGATTTGCAAACTTAGTTCAATAATGGCCAGTCTTTTTTCTTTTCTAATGGATGCCCCTGAAGTTCAAAATTTTCCTCTAATTACCATTTTAGCAGCATCACTCAGGTATTGATACACAGTCACTCTTTATCATTCACTTATAAATATTTCATGATTTCAATTGATTTATATACCCCTTGAATTATTTAGCAGAGTATGTTTAATTTCCAAAGGAATAAGGCTTTTTGGCTATATTTTGGCATTGATTTTCATCTTTGAATAGTTATTAGAGACTATCATCTTATGTGTACGAAATTGATTATTTGGTATTCATTGGGGTTGGCTTTGTGGCCTAGTACTTTCCAATGTCAGTAAAAAGTTTATATAATCCCTAATTGGGTACAAACTCCTACAACATATATTCATTAATTCAAGCTTGTTAATTATGCTATTCAAATGTTCTTTATCTTTACTAACTTTTGGTCTGATTGGCTTCTTTAATACTAAAATTTTCTTCATGGTTATGGGTATGTCCATTTTTATTGTAATTTTGTACATGTTTACTTCATTAAGTTTCAGTTTAAATATTTTAAATGATTTTGAACATCATTCCTATGTTTAAGACTCATTTAACTCTTCTCATCTGTGATCTGACTATTCAAGTCCTTTGCATGTTTTAATATTGGTTTGTTGGTCTTTTTCTTATTGATTTGAAATGATTAAGAAAACAAATTACTTGTCTGCTATATAAAGGCAAATACTTTTCCCCAGTGTGTCATTTCTCTTGCTTTGTTCATACACAACACATAAAGTATATAATCAGGTCATCAACTTTCACAAAATAAAGAAGTCTGCTGGAGTTTTGATTGGGATGGTATTGCAATATTGTCTCCAATCTATGAGCATGGTATATCTTTCCATTTTTTTCACATACGATGGAAAAAAGGGAAATTGTAAGTAAAAGAACAAATTAACCAAATAGAAACTAAACATGTAAACACAATTGGCTTGTACTTTGAGAAAATGAATAAAATTAATAAGTCCTTGATAAAACTGATTGCAAAAAAAGAAATAGTAGGAAAAAAAACAGAACTAAAAAAAAGAAAGTAAGAATTTGCTGTACCCTAAAAAGGCAAATTAAATAAAATGGACAACTTTCTAGAAAAATACAACCTACCATACTTGAAACAAGATAAACATGTGAAACACAACAAAAACTTACATGCAGATTTATTAACCTTCCAGTGAAAACAGTGCGGATCTGAATGGTTTCACCCAGAGTGTTACCATGATGGTGGATAAGACATTCCGTAAGTCCATGAGTGGTAGTGTTGGCAGAAGCATTGCATACAGGGAAGGCAAATTTATATCCAGAGAAAATATGCATTTCGGTGAGGACAAAATGCTATCCCTTTATTATGGTGCTGTAACCAAGTCAGCCTTGGTGAGAGTAGTTCATGTGGCTGAGCCCTTGGAAAACCTTCATCACTGACACCATAGCCAAATTATTCATGAGCCTACTGAAGGATGACAGGGGTGGCTGGGGAAAGAAGCTGAGTGGTATCCACAAAATGGGTCATCCTATTTTCTTGATTATTAAAGTCCTCCTCTGCTCACTTAAGCCTTTGCTGAGCATTCATATGGGACATAAATATATTCATATTCTTTCCCCATGCAGAGAGGTCTATGCTCATACTCCTTTCCCAGATACCTTCGTCACCAATAGTTCAATCTTATTCTAAGTCCCTGACCATCCAGCCAACCCACAGGCTACAGCCCAGGATCTGGTATACAATTGCACATCTGGCCATTTCTTCCCATTGAGAAGATTTCCCTTCACTACTGTCCTTAATGGCTGTCCCAGAAAGGGGCATGGTGCCACAGCTGCTCGCTTTCTGGTGATGCCTACATATCCTGCAGAAACATCTGTAAACAAGGTTCTAGTCTTTTCTAGTGTGATCTCTACTGATCATAGAGAACTTCCCACGAGGTCATAGATACAGGGAGAGAGAAAGCAGTGTAGCAGGAGTGGAGACCATGGGCATTTGGCCACTTCAGCATGTAACTTGCTTGTACCTTCAGGACATGCTCGGGCCCAGTCATGTATATTTTACTTCCATTTGATGATGGAGTGCTGCTGTGCATACCCAGCTATATGGCTTTTTGTGTCCAAAAACACCCAGTTCATGATAAGCTCAGGTGGCAGAGTAACTTTATGGCCCATGGTCAAGCATTCAGTTTCTACCAAGGCCCAATAGCAGGTCGAGAGCTGTCTCTCAAAAGGAGAATCATTATATGAAAATGATGGCAGAGTCTTTGTCCAAAATCCTAACGGCCTATACTGCAACTTACCTACACTGGCCTTCCAAAGGCTCCAGACAGCCTCAACATCTGCCACTGACACCTCAAGTACCATCGGATTCACTAGACCATGTGGTCCAAGTGGCAGAGCAGCTTGCGCAGCAGCCTGCGCCTGTTGCATAGCCTTCTCCTGCTCTGGGCCCCACTCAAAACTAGCAGCGTTTTTAGTCACTAGGTAGATGGGCAGTTGGTCCAGTGGGTCCTTGAATCCATCTTGTGGATATTTCCCTGTTCCAGATGCATAATCTGGAATAAACTGACTGCACCTAAATCTAAACAGATCCATTATTTTGCCTCCAAATCTAAATAGACCCACTATTTAAATAGACCCACTATAAGAAAAGGGCACTATGCCTTTTTCTCGGTTTTAGAAGGGCCAGATGCAACAATTTATGCTTTATTCTAGAAGGGACATCTAAACACGTCCCACACCACTGGATCCCTAGAAGTTTAGTAGAATGCCCCTGAATTGTAGTCAGATTTATTTATTACCCTCTGATATGCAAATGTCTTAATAAATCTAGGGTACTTGTACTTCTTATTCACTAGTTGCACTTCTTGCTGAGTGTTTTTATGCAGTCAGTTTATCATCGATATAATGGACCGGTGTGATGTCTTCTGGAAAAGTAACATAGCCAAGTTCCTTGCAAACTAAATTATAACATAGGGATGGCATATTGATACACTCCTGAGGTAGGACAATGAAGGTGTATTGCTGGAAAGCAAACTGCTTCTGATAGTCCTTGTGGACAGGTATGGAGAAAAGGCACCTGCCAGATGATCAGCTGCATAACTAGGTACCAAGATATGTGTTAATTTGCTCAAACAATGAAACCACATCTTGCACAGTAGCTGCAACTAGAGTACCACTTGGTTAAGCTTATGATAATCCACAGTCATTCTCTGGACTCCACCTGTCTTCTGCACAGGGCAAATAGGACAGTTGAATGGAAATGTGGTGGGAATCACCAGCCCTGCACCTTTCAAGTCCTTGATGGCAGCACTAATCTCTGTAATCCTTCCAGGGTAGCAGGATTGCTTTAAATCTACTACTTTCCTCTAATGGATTCCACTTGGCCTTTCCCACTATAATGGTCCTTACTCCACGGGTCAGGGAAACAATGTGGAGATTTTGCCAGCTGCTAAGTATGTCTATTCCAATTGGGAAATAACCGCAAGATGGGTTCAACAACTCATTGGACCCACTGTGAGTTGGACATGAGCTAAAAATCTACTGATTACCTGACCTCCATAAGCCTCAACTCTACCTGGAGGGCCAGTGATATTTCAGGTCTCCTGGAATAAATGTCAGTTAAAGGACAGTATGCAGCAGTCCCTGAAAGTTCTGATTATTTCTTTATTGGAAATGCACAGTTACCCTGCCAGAAGGTCCCAGGACCCTTTGGGAAGGATAACAGAAAGATTAAAAGTATAAGTTGTCAGTAATGTGCCAGGCTTCTTCCTCAAGAGGATCTAGCTTCTCCTTCATTCAAGGGATTCTGAGTCTGAAAACTGCTCAAGTCTGGGAATTTATTGAGGGGCTGTGAATCTCTGTTTTTAGGATTTGAGTTAGACTTCCATTCATTTAACCTGGAAGTTTTTTGTTTATATATATGAAGGAAGAATGTAGTGGGCTTCCTATCTACTTTACTTCTAGGAACGCATGACTAATTACCCAATGCCATGAGTCTACATGAGTCAGACTATTCTCACTGTTGCTTTGTCTCTGCTATTCGTTACAGTAACTATGCCCACCTTGTTTTCTGCAGTTGAGTTCCACAACTTGGCCCCTGACATCCTGTAATCCGTTTATTCCCACTGCATTTAAGCTTTCCAGTTGAGTAACTATGGTTCCCACTGTAAGGTCCGGCCTGCAGAGAAGAGCGGTCAGGGAGCTCTTTAAGGATGCAGGAGTCCCCTCACAAACCTATTCCTCAAAGCATTGCTGAAAAGTGTGTCTTCTAGGGCTTCCCACACAGGACCCCTTTCCTTCCCCATCAATGTCCTCACTTTAACAGTAGACACCTTATGAGGCTGAGTTCAATATTACCATAATAAGAAAAATGCAAATTAAAACTACACTGGGATACCGTTTCTCACCTATCAGATTGGCAAGTCCCAAAAGCTTAAAAATATACATTAAAGCTGTGGAAAAACTGGCACTGGCACTCCCAGTCATATAATGTGGGGGTATGAAATGCCCCCATGCCAACAGAGGGGAATTTCACAAAATCAAGAAAAATGTTTTATCTTTTCCCTAGGAATCCCATTTCTAGGAATCTATCCATAAAACACACTGCAAATATATGAAGTGACATATGTGCAGGGTTATGTATCACAGCACTATTTATGACAGCAAAAGACAACCTTGAAAGTCCATCAGTAAGGACTGATGTGACTAATCCCAATGGTTTAGAAGTTGGTGGCAAAAACTTTCCAGGAAGATTTATTTCAAGTGACCCCAACCACAACACTTTAACTATACACCCTCAGTGAGATAGATGCACTGAACTAAAAGAACTATTGTTACTCAGTAGTGTACTTTTTATTATTAATATTAGTATTGTTTTAAAACAGTTACGTGTGTGCATATATAGTATAATGAAGCAAATAGTGGTTACTGTCATCAGAAACCAAGATTTCTAACATAAGTATGAAGAAGTTAAGTAAAACTCCTATAGACTTACATTTGAATTGGAAACATTAGTACAATCTCTTTTCTTGTCTCTCCTTTTGAAAAAGTAAATGCATTTCCCAGCTCTGCCCACTCAAAACTTAAAAGTAATGCCTATGACATAAAAGCGAACACCTCTGGGACACAAATTGTGGTATGTATCATTTGCCTTAAGAAAAGAACCAGGGACCCTTGGCGAAATAAACGATTACAGGTTTGGGATAAAAACTTTACATGAATCTGGGATTTTTGTGTGCCAGAAAGCAAGTTAGCTATCAAACACTAATAGGTTTGTGTCAAAAGAACACGGGAGTGGATAAGGGGGAACAACTGTACTGAATTCACCATATACGTAAAAATCAACTCCAAGTGGATTATAAATTTAAGGCAAAAAGCAAAGCAATAAAGTTTAAAAAGAGAGTATAGGAGATTTACTTTATAACCATAAAGTAGTAAAGATTTCTTCAATGACACAATGTAGTCAGAAATGAGAAAACACGAAGAGCTAGAGTTTGTCCTGAGGATATATTCTGGTCCCTGCTGATCTACAGCAGTGTTTTTCTAACTTTATATGTCTTTACCCAGTGCACATACCTTCAAATACACACACACACACACACACACACACACACATGCATGAACATGCACCCACACGTTTATATCTAAAACTGAATTTCACAAAACAACCCTGTCTGTGAGGCAGCCAAACATTTTATTTTTCTGTTATATTATTCTTGTCTGTTTTTAAAATCCTGTTTGTAATCTATTAAAATAAGCATGAACTACTAAGGGTTTGCAACATTCTGTCTGAAAATCATTAGTCTAGCCAGGCGTGGTGGCTCAAGCCTGTAATCCTAGCTGCTTGGGAGGCTGAGTTGGGAACATCGCTTGAGTCCATGAGTTGGAGACAAGCTGTGCAATAAACAAAAAATCCTTAGTCTAAATCTAAAGCAAGAGTTATAGCATACAACTCAGGTGGAGAGGCATAGAGAGCCTGCACAGCAAGAGGAGAGAGGGGCTGAATGGAACCCAGCTCCTCAGTGGGTGCACCAGGTGACAACTCCTCTGCAGAGCGGGTTGCAGGTCTATATAGCTCTCTCAGGGGTGCTGCAGGATAGAGTACTGAAAAAAAGTTCTTCGAAAATCCTCTCCACAAAAACATGCTTTAAACTCAGGCCTAAAAGTTCCCACAAAATTCCAAAGAACACGAGCTCATCCAAATGACTGAATTTGTGAAGGAAAAAAAGCCATCACGAACACACGTCAGCAGAAACCACAAACTTCAGAAGCTGATACATAAAGCCTGAAGATATTGGAATTATGCCGCAGAGCATGAAATACACACATTTAATGTTTGAGGTCATAAAGAGGGGGTGAAAAGTATGCTGAAGAAAGACAAGACTGTAAAAACAGAGCACATTTGAAAGTAACCAAGGAGCATTCCTAAAAATGGGAACTCTCATCATAGAAATTAGATTTAGACAACAGATTAGGCCGGGCACTGTGGCTCATGCCTGTAATCCCAGCACTTTGGGAGGCTGAGGCAGGCAGATCACGAGGTCAGGAGATCGAGGCCATCCTGGCCAACATGGTGAAACCCTGGCTCTACCAAAAATACAAAAATTAGTTGGACATGGTGGCGCATGCTTGTATTCCTGGCTACTCAGGAAGCTGAGGCAGGAGAATCGCTCGAACCGGGGAGTTGGAGGTAGCAGTGTGCTGGGATCGCGCCACTGAACTCCAGCCTGGTGACAGAGAGAGACTCCATCTCAAAAAAAAAAAAAAAAAAAAAAGAAGGGAAATCAGTATCAAAGAAATATTTGCACTCCCATGTTTATTGTAATACTATCTATAATAGCCAAGATATGGAATCAAACTAAGTGTCCATCAACAGATGAATGGAAAATGAAAATGTGGTAGATAGACACAACGGAATACTATTCAGCCATAAAACAGCATGAAATCACGTGCAGCAATGCAGATGGAACTGGAGGGCATTACGTGAACTAAGTCAGAACAGAAAGACAAAAATACTGCAGGTTCCCACTCGTAGGTGGGACCTAAAAAAACTGATCTCATGGACACAGTGAATTGAATAGAATGGTGGTTACTAGAAGTTGTAAAGGGTGCTGAGGAGGCAGAGGGTGAAGAGGTGTTGCTTAACAGGTACAAAAATACAGCTCAATAGAAGACATACGTTCTATGTTTGATAACACAATAAGGTGGCTGGTGTTAATGACAATTTATTGTATATTTAAAAATAGCTAGAAGAAAAGATTTGAAATGTTCCCAACACAAAGAAATGATAGATGTTTGAGGTGATGGATATCCCCGTTATCCAGATTCAATCATTCTACATTGTATGCTTGTACCAAAATATCACATCAACTTCATAAATATGTACAGCTGTTATGTCCATAAAATTTAAAAACAAAAAACAAGGAAGAGGGGAAGGATAATATACCTCCCAATGTGAAACAGGCACTACAGTCAAATTTTGTAATATGAGACTTAGTAAAAGGGTTGTATAAAAGCTACGGGCAGTATTTGTAGGGAAACCACAAGGAATAGGGCAGCACCACAGGGTGGCGATGCCATGATCACCACGGCATTTAGGGGGCCATGATCTCATGCAGATCGGAGGAGCAAAAGAAGGAGTGGTTATCAAAACCCAGGTAAGAGAGGTCTGTGCAGAGACAGCTGTAATGGATGCAGCCCGCCGGGGCACAGCACAGGGAAGGAAACAGGGGAATAAACTCCATCCTCATTCTCCTTCCTCCCTTTGATCTCATTCCAGGACTCCCATGAGCTATACCCAAGCAGAATCCAGTGGGCAACAGAGCCTTTGATGCAGCCCATGAGGGCACAGACAAGGCTGAGCACATGGAGAGTGGGTGGGGGAATGCCACATGCACAATTCACCTCATTTGCCTTTTGACTCATAACTCACGGTAACCCAATAGCTGATGAGCATGCATTCCTTTACAGCTAATGAATTCAGAAGAAATGATCGAATTAGAATATTTGCTTTCTCAAACCCCTAATGAAGTAATGTATGCAGGCAATGGTCATCATTGGCAGCTGGAACTATTATTTGATAGGAAATTTTATAATGGATAGATCTTCCTGATAACATCTGAACCCACAGATCAATATTAACATCAAAAAAGGAGATAGACAATAGGTATCTCCTGATGCAACATAATAGCAAGCAAATGCACTAAACATACAGCGTTCCTGCCACAAATATTGAGCCTGAATCTAATTAAGACCATGTTTTACTACCAGTTTATAGGAAATACAAGGGACAGAGGAACGTGTTCAACACTCCAGGGCTGCAATCAGCAATATCTAGACTGTGGGATGTTCCACAGGGCAAAGGATCCAGTTTTATTAACAGACACCTTGCAAGATATAAAAATAGGGAAGGGGAAACCTACAGATAGATTTGAGACATAACCAATCTATGTCTGGACCTTTTGTGAAACCTAATTCCAAAAAACCGGCTATAAAAACGTTTTTGATGCGAAATGAGCAGTTTGAATGCTGACTGGATAACTCGGTGGTATTGAAGAATTGTAGACTTTCAGGTATAAGTAACAGTATTATGGTTATGTTTTTTAAATTTTTATTTTTTTAATTTAATTTTATTTTTTGAGATGGAGTTTTGCTCTTGTTGCCCAGGCTGGAGTGCAATGGCACGATCTCAGCTCACTGCAACCTCTGTCTCCCAGGTTCAACCGATTCTCCTGCCTCAGCCTCACCAGTAGCTGGGATTAAGGCGTTAGTCACCACGCCCAGCTAATTTCTGTATTTTTAGTAGAGGTGGGGTTTCACCATGTTGGTCAGGCTGCTCTTGAACTCCTGACCTCAGGTGATCCACCTGCCTCGGCCTCCCAAAGTGCTGGGATTATAGGCAAGAGCTACCATGCCCAGCGGTTATGTTTTCTTTTTTCTTTTCTTTTCTTTTTTTTTTTTTTTGAGACAGAGTCTCCCTCTGTCGCCCAGGCTGGAGTGCAGTGGCACAATCTCGGCTCACTGCAAGCTCCGCCTCCCGGGTTCACACCATTCTTCTGCCTCAGCCTCCCGAGTAGCTGGGACTACAGGCGCCTGCCACCACGCCCAGCTAATTCTTTTTTGTATTTTTAGTAGAGATGGGGTTTCACTGTGTTAGCCAGGATGGTCTCGATCTCCTGACCTCGTGATCTGCCCACCTCGGCCTCCCAAAGTGCTGGGATTACAGGTTCGAGCCACCGCGCCCGGCCCCCGGCAGTTACGTTTTCTAAAAAAGAATCAATGTGTTTCGGAGACAAGTACTGTAGGATTTATGTATGATGTCTACTAATTGACTAAAAATAACGCAGTGGGGAGAGTGTGGAGTGGGTGAAGAAATGAATGAAACAAGATGGACCATGTGTTGGCAATTTTGAAGCTAGGTTATTAGTACACTAGATTACTAGTATACTAGTCTCTCTACTGTGTATATTTTATTTTTTCCCTAACAAAATATGTAGGAAAAAATTGCATGCAGAGGGTATGAACTGTCTGTTACATAATCTCATGACCCATAATCAGCATTCAGGGACAGAGGGAAAGCAGGGGTCCCTGGGAGTTGGAGATGTCTACTCTGGAAGAACAAAGGCCTCAAGTGTTTCCAACACTATGCTCATCACAGGTTCCCAGTCCTTGCAAAGCTGTTCTCATCTCAGAGGCCCCTCAAGGAAACAGAGAATCCCCAGTGAGAGAATGAGACTAACCGGGATTAAGCTTCTCTGTAAAATCGAGAGGTCATAGTTAGGGGACTGAATATGAAAATGCCCATTCAGTCACTGAATTTGGCAATAGGATAGGAAGCAGAGCAGGAGGGTATATTACTTCAATTGTGAAGCAAATGTATTATTCATTGGCACAAGAAAGGCATTTGGGAAGGTGATCAAATGCATATGCTTTATAAAGTCACATGCTCCAAAAACTTTGAAGAGCAGGTATTTTCCGCTTTTTGAAACTATTTTATAACAGTATAAACAGCTGAAAGGAATGAGCTCAGTCTAATGTGTACCCACTTTCATACACTAACTTAGCGAGAGAAGGTTGAATTCATTTATTTACTTATTTTGTAAAGTCAATAAATTTTTATTCAAGGAATTTCATGTTTTGATTTCTTCCACTGCCCATCAAGGTCACTTTAGATCCTCTGAAGAGCTGGAGTCAAAATTTATTTTCAAAAATTACCTTCAAGTTAGCCCTTTCAAATGAAACTGACATTTATTTTAATCCAGTTGTCCTGTCAACCCATAATTCTTTTATTTTGGCTTCTGTCATCTCCTTTTAATATGGATATACTGACGAAGACTTCAAAATTCACCAGTAGTCTTTGGGATCTGATTTCTTCCACCAATTTACTTTAGGGTCATTTTTAGTGTAGGTGGATCTGCCTGGTTCTCAATTTGACACCCTCTCTAAACATGAATGAGTTCCAATCATATTCGTTCCTAAGTGATCAAATTCAAGAATAGTACAGATGTGTGGAATATGCCAATACCTAAGGTAAAAAAGTAAATTATCAGGTCTTTACTAAGACAGTTACTGAACTAAAGACAGTTTAGTAACTGTCTTTTTCATACTTCAGCAACTGTCTTGTGGTTCCTTCCCACAGATGTAACAATAGTCCTGTAAGTAAAGTAAAATCACAGAGTTACTCTATGAGGCATTTCCAACAACGTGCAGGCTACAGGAAAAGACCTATCGGGATAGACCTCAACGGAATGTTGAATTTAAAAAGCAAGTCACCAAATATCACTTAAGTAAAATTTATAAATATACTAAACAGCAAACTACATCAATGTTTCTCTTTTTCGGTTTTAGGAATCTCTTACTCTCCTAAAATTATTGAAGTTCCAAAGAGATTTATTTCATTTGGGTTGCATTTATTAATTTTTTCTATATAAGAAATTAAAGCTAAAAAAGTTTTGAAACACAAGAATGCAAGTATTCATTTCCTTAGGCATCAGAGCATTTACACCTTTAGGTAGCTCCACTGTATCCTCATGAAAGAATGAGAGTAAAAAAATTTCATATAATGTCTTAGTATTATTATGTAAATATATTTTATCTTATTTCCCCCCAAAAGACTGAAACCATTTTATCTTGCTTTCACCCTTTTGTGATCCAGGGATCACACTTTGAGAACCAATTCACATATGGTTTAGAGATATATTTTATATAACACGTTTAGTAAAATCATAAAAACATGTCTTGGCAGGGCACCCTTTATAAGTAAAGGCTAAGTTATGCTGCAATAACAAATAATGCTCCACACCCCTGCCCCCTCGCTTTTTTTCCCATCCTATTATGTTACATATCCATCAGCCACACCATGGCACCAAATCCTCTTCACTCTGGAATCTGGTAGATAAAGCAGACACTCTCAGAGTTTGCCAGGCTCATGGCACACGGAAAAGAAAAAGTGAAACTACTTCTGCTGAAAGGGACAAGGATCATTTATGCCCACATTTCCCTGGCCAAAGCAATTCACACAGCCAATCCTAATGGCAGCAAGGTGGAGAAACTACTCCTCCCCCAGGAAAGGGAAGCAAATACTTTTCTTCTTTTTTTTTTTTTGAGACAGAGTTTCGCTGTCGCCCAGGCTAGAGTGCAGTGGTGCGATCTCGGCTCACTGCAAGCTCCACCTCCCAGGTTCACGCCATTCTCCTGCCTCAGCCTCCCAAGTAGCTGGGACTACAGGCACCCGCCACCACGCCCGGCTAATTTTTTGTATTTTCAGTAGAGACGAGGTTTCACCATGTCAGCCAGGATGGTCTCGATTTCCTGACCTCGTGATCCGCCCACCTCGGCCTCCCAAAGTGCTGGGATTACAGGCATGAGCCTCAAGAAGGGCAGCAAACACTTTTCACAAAAAGTTAAGTCTTCCCCACACCAATGTCAAGGTTAGCTTTGGGTAGATAAGGAGATAGGATGGGGTAATGACAATTTTTAAAGTAACAGTAATAAAATAATAGTAAGAGTAAAAGAAATCATTTTAAAAAACAGAATTCTGAACCAAAGCAAACAAATAAAAAAATGGTACAAACCAGAGGTGTTCTCTTTGTGACTGCAACTGACTTGACCATACTCCTCAAAATGATTAAATTAGGCATCATTGGCTCAGCCATAGACATTATGACCCAATGGTAATGAGGCACAGACTGTGCATGGCAATATAGCTTAGAGGAAAAGAAAAGATCATTGTCTTTTTGATTATTTTATTTTTCAGATGGCATATACTCTGTCGCCCAGGCTGGACTGCAGTGCAACTTCTGCCTCCCGGGTTCGAGCAATTCTCCTACCTCGGCACCCCAAGTAGCTGGGACTACAAGCATGCACCACCACACTCGGCTAATTTTTGTATTTTTAGTAGAGACGGGGTTTCACCATGTTGGCCAGGCTGGTCTCGAACTCCTGACCTCAGGTGATCCACCTACCTTGGCCTCCCAAAGTGCTGGGATTACAGGCATGAGCCACTGTGCTCGGCCAGATCATTGTCTTTGACTCTACACTTCCTGTCTTCGGTTTCTAACCATGGGTCGTTAGCCACATCACTCAAGGTATCTATGCATTGAAAGGGGGATTATAATGATACTTGCCTTATAAGGTTGTTGATAGGTAAGTCTTATAAAAGACTCGGTCTGTTGAAGTGCTCAGAATAGTGCTTAACTTAAAGGAAGTCCTACTTAGCCCAACTTCTGAAGCAAGACATAGCAGTTAAAGTTGTGACCTTATTCATGTATGGAGAGGTGAGAATTTAGGTACCACTTACATGAGGGTCTAATATTAATAGGTGTCCAATTCCAGCCTTGAATGAGAAAAGTAGAATTACTCAACCTGTTGGAATAACTAAGATTTCCCCGAATTTTTGTATCTGTGAGATAGAGGTATCTTTTTCTGAGAGTAGCACTTTGGAAAAGACAGATACGATTTGTGACAAAATTATGGGGGAGGCATTATGACATTTTTTTCAAACATGTTGGAAACCAAACCATTAGCTCCCAAACTCCAAGGCCATGGGTGACAGATGAGGTTGCTGAGAGGTTTTGCTGGTTAAACAGAATAGTGGGAGCTCTGCTTCTTGTTAGAGTGTAAAAGGTTGTAAAAAGCTGTTGCTCGCAATATAACAATGAGGAAATCTTGATTTATTCCAATCATCACACGTGACAATCAGTAGAGACCTGAAAATGCATAGAAGTCTAAACGCACAACATTCAAGGGAGGGACGAGCCTGTCCAAAGCAATAAAAACCTGCAACTGCTTTTATCTCTGGGGTGTGGTGGGAAGAACAAGCCAGCCATAAGCAGGGAGGACTCGGCTCTTGGCTGAGACAAAAAGAAACCAAAGAAATCTAGAAGGACCCTGTAGGCCAGGCGTGATGGATTCAAACCCAGAAGCGCCCCCAAAGTACACTCATCTACGTGCCCCATAAATCTTTTCGTTCAGACATTTCATCTCAAATACAGAGTGATGGCTGGGCACCTGGGACAGGGTAGGATGGCAGACAGAAGGAGAGGTCCTGTGGAGTCGGAAGCCAGGGCAGGCTGCAACATGGATTTCTTCCAAGGTACGGGAAGCTGGAAATGAGCGAGAAAGCTTAGGGAGACCTCAGAGTCTTAGCTCTCTATTCCTAATGAAAGGAGGGCCCTGGCTGCTACCTTTGAAATATATGAAACCTGTGGTAAACTGAAATTAATTAAATCTACAACCCAGACCAAAACCAGCTCAACTCCAGATTGAGGGGAAAATAGAATTACACTGTTGTAAGTTTCTTACACTTTTTTAATGAAGTTTCACAATACTATTCACAAATAGATTGTGATAAGTTAAAAGTACATGACCTAGAGAGACAACAGAAAAAAATCTCTAGATACTCTGAAATTAAATAATACACCTTTAAATAGTCTATGGTCAAGAAGGAGATCCAAGGAAATTTCAAAAAGTACACATAGAATTGAATAAGAATAAAAAGACAATAGATCAAAATATGTGGGATGTAGCTAATGCAGAGCTGAGGGGGATCTTATAACCCTAAACGTTTATGTTAGAAAAGAAGAAAGGACTCAAAACAGTAAGTTTTTCCCCTCAAAAAACTAGAAAAAGATTAGCCAAAGAAACCCAAAGCAAGCAGAAGGAAATCATAAAGGTGAGAGCAGAAATCAACTAAACGGAAAACAGGAAAGTAGAAAAAATAAAACAAAAAGCTGCTTCTTCAAAAATATCAATGTCACTCTAGCAAGACTGGCAAAATTAAAACAGAAGAGACACAAATCAACAGTATCAGTAATGAAACTAACCACAAAGCCCACAGCCATTAAAATGGCAGAAAGGGAATATTATAATCAACTTTATGCTCATAAATTTGACAATGTAGAAAAAATGAATCAGTTGCTCAAAAACCAAAAATTACCAAAATGCAACCAACACGAAACAGATAATCTAAGTGGTTCTAGTAAAGAAAACTATTTAAAAATGGAATTCATAATTTAAAAGCTCCTAAAAAACAACTTGCAGCTCCACTTCATTTCCCTGGAGAATTCTACCAAATATTTAAAGAACTGACGAAATTTTACACAATTTCTTCTAGAAAATAGAAGAGAAAGGAACACTTCATACTTCATTTTATAAGGCGGATACCAAAACAAGACAGAAACAGTACCAAAGAAGAAAAATATAGACAAACGTTTTTCATAAACTTTGACACAAAAGCCATCAACAAAATATTAGCAAATTAAATACAAAAATGTACAAAAACATTTTTAAATAGTGATCAAGTGTGATTCATTCCAGGAATGTAAGGTGGGTTTGACATTTGCAATCAATTAATGTAATCCACCATGCTAACAGGCTAAAGAAGGAAATGACACAAAAATGAATTTGACAAAATTTAGTACTGACACATGCTAGAAACTCCCTAAATTAGGAATACAGAAGAACTAAGTGACCTCGATAAAAAACACCTACAAAATCCTACAGCTGACATTGTACTTAATGGTGATAAACCGAATGTTTTCTTTCTAAGATCAGGAGCAAAACAAGGATTCCGCCTCTCAACACTTGTATTTAACATAATATTGGAAGTTTTATCTGCTGCAATAATGCAAGGAGAGAAAAGCAAAAACATGCAGAAGAGAAAGGAAAAGATAAGGCTACCTCCAATTGCAGATGACATGATCATCTTCATAGAATATTCCAAGGAATATACAAAAATAAAGGTCTAGAACTAAAAGTCACTTCAGCAAAGTAACAGAATACAACATCAACACAAAAAATATTAATCACATTGTGCCCAGAGTTGGTTCCTTCCGGATGGTTCTTTGTCTCGCTGACTTCAGGAATGAAGCCACGCCTACCTTCACAGTGAGTGTTACAGCTCTTAAAGATGTTATGTCCGAAGTTTGTTCCTTCAGATGTTTCTGCCTGACAGTGGGTTCGTGGTCTCACTAACTTCAAAAACGAAGCCGTGGACCTCCTCACGGAGTGTTACAGCTCTTAAAGGTGGTGCGGACCCAAAGCGTGAGCAGTAGCAAGATTTATCGTGAAGAGCGAAATAACAAACTACGCACGGGACAGAAGAGGACCCCAGCGCGTTGCTGCTGCTGGCTGGGGGTGGCCAGCTTTTATTCCCTTATTTGACCCCGCCCACGTCCTGCTGATTGGTCCATTTTACAGAGCGCTAATTGGTCCATTTTACAGAGTGCTGATTGGTCCATTTTACAGAGTGCTAATTGGTGTGTTTGCAATCCTTTAGCTAGACACAGAGCACTGATTGGTGCGTTTTTACAGAGTGCTGATTGGTGCATTTAAAATCCTTCAGCTAGACACAAAAAATCTCCAAGTCGCCACTCGACCCAGGAAGTCCAGCTGACTTCACCTCTCAATATTTCTATATACTAAAAATGAGTATGCAGAAACCAAAATTAAAAACACAATACCATTTACAACTACTCCAAAGAAAATGAAGTACTTAGATATAAACCCAACAAAAAGTGTACAGTATCTGAATGCTGAACATGACAAAATACTAATGAAAGAAATCAGAGACCTAAATAAGTGGAGAGAGGTACTATGTTCATTTAAAGACTCAACATGGTGAGTACACTTTCTCTCCAAATTGACCTATAGGTTTAATATAATTCCCTCCAAAATCTAAGCAAGTTTTTGTAGATGTTGACAAGTTTATTCTAAAGATTATATGGACAAGCAGGGACCCTAGAGTAGACAAAAAATAATCTTGGAAGATAAGAATAAAGTGACAGAAAACACTGTACCCAATACTAAGACTTACTACATAGCTACAGTAATGGAGAAAGTGTAGTATTGGTAAAGAAGCAAACATGTAAATCAGTGGTACAAAATAGTGAACTCATAAATAGACCCATATAAATATCCTGAAATGATTTTTGACATAAAGGCAAAAGCAACTCAATGGAAGAAGTAGATCTTTTGGAGCAATTGGAATCTCAACCAAAACCTCACACCTTATATATAAAAAGAAAAACCTCAAAATGGATCACAGACTTAAATTTATAACTGTATAACTTTTAGAAAAAAAAGCAGGAGGGGTGTTTGAGATCTAGGGCTAGGAAAGACTTTTTAGGCACAAAAAGCACGATCCTTTAAAGGAAAAAAAGATAAAAACTGGACCTCATCAAAATTAAAAACTTTTACTCTGCACAAGACCCTGTAAAAACAATGAAAATGCAGACTACATACTGTGAGAAAGTATTTACAAAACACATACTCAAAAAAGTATTACCCTGTAGACCATGTAAAGAATTCTCGAAACACAACAGTAAAAAAGCAAAAATCCAGTTAGAAATAAGCCAAATATATCAATAGACATTTCACTGAAAAGAATATACAGATGGCAAATAAGCACATAAAAATGTTTAGTTTCATTGTTTACCAGAGGAATGCAAATTAAAACCACAATGAGATATCACTGTATAGCTATCAGAATGGCTAAAACAAAAATGTGACAGCATAAAATGCTGGCAAGCATGCAGAAAAACTGAATCAGTTACTCATTGTTGGAAGGACTGTAAATTAGTACAGTCACTCTAGGAAACAGTTTGGCAGCTTCTTATACAATAACTATACAATTAGTATACGATCCAGCAATTGCACTCTTGGGCATTTATTCCAGGGAAACGATAACTGAGGTTCACATAAAAATCAGTACACAAGTGTTTTTAGCAACTTTATTCATAATAACAAGAAAAACAAAATCTAGGAAGCAATGTCCTTCAGTAGGTCTGTGGCTTTAAAAAAATGTGATATGTGAATACCATGGAATAATATTCAGCAATAAAAAAGAAGAAACTATTGATATATGTGACAATTTAGATAAATCTCCAGAGAGTTACAGTGAGTGAAGAAAAAAGCCAATTCAAAAATGTTACATACTGTATGATTCCATTTATATAGCATTATTGAGATTTTAAAAAAATAACTGAGGCAGAGAACAGATTAGTGATTGCCAGGATTAGAAATGGGATCAGTGTGGAAGGGAAGTGAGTATTGTAATAAAAGGGCAAAGTGAGGGATCCCTGTGGTGGCACTCTTCTGTATCTTGGCTGAAGTGGTGGATACATAAAACCACACATGTAATAGAATTGCATAGAGCTGAATACACACACCTGAACTCACCTAAGTGAGTACTATAAAACTGAAGAAACTGGAATAAGATCAGTGGATTGTATCAATGTCAATTTCCTGGCTGCCATGGTATAGTTTTGCAAGATTATTGTATTTGAGAGAACCTAGGTAAAGAGTACACAGGATCTTTCTGTATTATCTTTGACAAATATACATAAATCTATCTCAGTATTGAGCTGCATGGGAATTATCTCAAGACAAAATGTTTAATAAGAATATATGTTGTAATTGGCAGAATACAGAGCATTTTTAGTGGAGTGAAATCATTCCGTAGGATACTACAACAGTGGGCACATGTCATTATGCATTTTTCGCAACCTATAGAATATACAGCGCCAAGAGCGAACCCTAGTGTAAACTATGACTTGGAGTGGTGATGACGCATCAAGGTAGGGCCATCAATTATAACAACTATACCACTAAGGTGCAGGAGAATGATAAAGGGGGGAATTGTGCCTGTGGTGAAGATAGGGGAGGAGGGGTAGATAGGTACTCTGTATTTCCTGCTCAGTTTTGTTGTGAACCTAAAACTGGTCTAAAAAATAAGTTCTATTTCTTAAGTCATGTTGTAATTTCAAGAGAAATATTTAAAAATATAGATATAGCTAAAAACTCAATGAAAAAGACAGTAATAAAAATACATCATCCAGAAAAGTCAGAAAACTAACTAATGAAGGATAAAATGTCAGATGACACAAATCGTGACCAAATAGCAAGATGGTTGATGTACACTCATTTGCATCAAAAATTTCATTAAAAGGAAATAGATTAAGCACTTCTTGAAAAATACATCATAAAACAGGGTAAGCTGACCCAACGATATGGTGTTTTCAAGAGACCTGATTTAAATTCAAGGACACAGAAATGTTGAAAGAAAAAAAAAATGAAAAAATACACTTTGCAAACACTAACCACAAGAAACCCAGTGTTTCTATGTTAATATCAGATAGGAAAGTTGTGTCATATGGCTTAATAGAAAGCCACAAAATATTGCTGAACAAAGTTGGTAAGAAAACATGATCTTCATACATTCCTATTTCCTTTCCTTCTTAAAAGTTTTCCTTGAGTTCTTTGAACATACATATGACAGTTTCTTTGGGGTCTTTGTCAAGTTTAACATAAAGAGGGAGAAATCCCAGGCTAACACACCCCAAATTTCCACTGCTATTACTTGAAAGCAGTCTTTCTTGAATAAACTCTTATAAATTTGTTGTACATCTCTGGCCAGTTTCAGAGTCCTGAAATGGATGTTTTTGACAAAAGTTTTGTTCAGTTTTATCATTGCTTTTTGGGAGAGAATTTGCCTTCCCCCTCACTCCACCATTCTGTAAGACTCTGGTCCAGGTTTGGGTGCACAGCCAACACTGTGACTTGCTCCAGGGCAGCTGATGCAAACGAATGGGAGAACTCAGCAGCCCCTGACCTGCATTCCAACAGGCACATTCACCAGAGCAGTTTGGGAACCAAGAGGACCCAAGCAGCCTATAAAAGTCCAACTCTCAAGGCAGTAATAATAAATGGTTTGACCCTAATGAGGATTGCAGGAACTTCTGTAGATGAGCTATACAACCTTCCCTGGATTTGAAATCTGTGCTTCATTTACCATTTTTGTGAAACCTAGTATATAAATATCCACAACCTTTCTTTACTTTGATGATGCAAGGAGGTGCTGCAGGAAAATGCAGTCTACTTTTTGAACAATGGTATTGACGGCCAGGTGTGGTGGCTCATACCTATAATCCTAGCAGTTCAGGAGGCCAAAGCAGGAGCATCACTTGAGGCCAGGAGTTCAAGAACAGCCTGGGCAACATAGCAAAATCTCGTCTCTACAAAAAGTTACATTAGCTGGGCATGGTGGTAAGTGCCTGTAGTCCTAGATACTCAGGTCACTGAGGCAGGAGGCTCATTTGAGCCCAGGGATTGGAGGCTCCTGTGACCTATGATTGTGCCACTACACTCCAGCCTGGGTGACAGAAGGAGACTCTGTCTCTAAAAAATAAATAAATAAATAGTTATCAAGTATGTCATGTTATTTTAAGGGCATTTTTAGCAACATAAAGAAATGCTCAGCCAGGCGGGGTGGCTCACACCTGTAATCCCAGCATTTTGGGAGGCCAAGGCGAGTGGATCACTTGAGGCCAGGAGTTTGAGTCCTGTCTAGCTAACATGGTGAAACCCCATCTCTACTAAAAATACAAAAATTAGCCAGACATGGTGGTGCATGGTGGTGCATGGTGGCATGTGACTGCAATCCCAGCTACTTGGCTACTTGGGAGACTGAGGCATGAGAATCACTTGAACCCAGTGGGTGGAGAGCCGAGACACACCATGGCACTCCAGCCTGGGTGACAGAGTGAGACTCTGTCTCATTATAAAAAAGAAAAAGAAAACCTCAGTTTGAACTTCATGAGACCACTAAAGAGGTTTAAGTTTTACAAATTATTTATTAGAAGTCTTTCTAAATTTTGAGAGAAATCATAGTTCATTAATATATTAGTTAATATATCTTATTAAATTCAGGTTTAATTGTGTTACAGTTCAGATTTCTACTGTTAACTCTGTGGTACATCATAGATCATTTTATATCCTTAATAATCTAGAATAAATTGAGTGGGTAATATATTTATGACTACTTGGGATGGGGGATTGGAGCCTACTTTAGCCATTTCAAATGGTCAGAAAAATTTAAGGTTGAGTGGTTAGTGTATCATTATGATTGTGATTTATTTGATCCTAAATGATTACTTGGGTACTCAGCCTCAATTGTAGCATTCTTTCTAGGAATAAAATATGATTTACCATCCAATTTTAACAATGCAGTTTCTGAAAGAAATGCACAGTAAAAACAAAACAAAACTGGAGTGCCTTTAATTTTTTGATAAACTATATTTATTAATTTTTCTCCATATTAAACTGGATATGCTTATTCTACATAACAAATATAACATAAACAGAGATGGTGGTTTCTCTTAATACCCTATCTTGACTCTTTGGATGGATGCAAAGTTTCTGCATCATGGTAAGGACTGGAAAGGCAATATGCTTGCTTCCAGTTTCACCCTCAAGATATAGCAGCTGGAATCTCACACTCATCTTTACAACAACAACAAAAATGCTGAACAAACAACCAAGGAATGATTTCCTTAACCCATCAGAGAACTGAGAACTCAGGCCAAGCCACTAAACTAAAATGTACAGAGACACAGGCTACCAGGGGGAGAAACAGGACCCTCACATTTATTTACCAGGGGCAGACAATAACAGATACCATAAGAGTCATTAGGGTACTACTGTAGGCATGTGAGATGCCTGGGGGCTGCGGACACACGGTAGTTGCTACCCTCTGTTAGGTCCCCCCTCAACACCCAACAAGGAAGCCCACCAAGTACTCATGGGGATGACTGGGGAGGTTCCTGGGAAAGCTTTCCTCATCCTCATAATACTGACGAAGGAATGAGAGGGCTGCAACTGATAAAATTCTACCTACAAATATCTCGTCTATCTCCCCTATGATACAAAAGCCAGTCTGCAAGGGAAACAGCAAGAAAAATTGTAGCTTGAGGCTCTCATAAAAATCCACCTCAGATGGGAGAGGGGAACAAGAAAATAAATAAAGCTCTACCCTAAATAGAGGAGCAGAAATACTGCTAGACATCACATTCCAAGTGGAGATGAGGCTGTAACAATTGTGCAAGGCATACTCCCAAGATCCAGATTCATGTGCCTGAAACTGAAGCTAGGGAGGTAGACACTGCCCTAACTGAAACGCAAAGAGTAAAAAATACTAAAGACAATCCAACAAAACAAGTGTTTCAAGAGCTGTGCAACAGTATCACTCTCACATACAGATGATTGGAATCCCAGAAGAGCTGAAAAATGGAGCAGGAAAGAAGACACATTTGAAGAAGTAAAAATTGGGCAATTGTGATTTTTCAAAATTAGTGGCAGACCCCAAACCACTGACCCGTGAAGCTCAGAAAATATCAAGCAGAATAAATACCCAAAAAAAGAGTCACACCGTATTCAAAGAACTGAAAACCAAAGACAAACGGAAATCATGAAGGCTCTACTTCAATTTTAGTTTCCGTCATTTTCACATAGTTTAAAAAAATATTATAGTGTTATGCACACAAGGAAGGTACCAATTCCAGGGCAGCTGAAAGGTCTGGATCTTGGACTTAAATAGACAATTTTCTATTTGGCAAACATTGTGCTCTGCGACCTTCATTCACCACACTTTTATAGACACAATTATGTTAACTTTTTGAACTTTTTCCTCCTTGATTTGTTCAAATTACTGATTTCACACACTCTCAATCTCTTCCAAAAGCTTTTTGTGTCACTGAATGATCAAAAATAAAGTCAATTTTTTAATGTTTTTGAGACACTAGCAAAAGTTTGTTAAACCATACTCTCAGTTTTTCTCAAGAGTATGCATTCCTGACAGTGATTTTCTCCATTTTAGCAGTGTTTGCTATTTGGATAGGCTGCCACTTCCCAAATCATTCACTCATGGTTCCTTTTTGCTTAACAGTTATTTTCTGAATGTATCTCTCTCTTCTCATGTTTTATTATAGGCAACAAGATGAGTCTGGGTTGTGCCTTCAACACTTAGTTTGGAAATGTCTTCAGCTAAATGACAAAGATTGTTGTGTATGTTATACATTTCATATAACTGCAGGGCACAATTTTACTAAGCTCTCTGCCAATACATGACATGGATCCCCTCTCTTTAGTTTTCAATAGCATTTCTTTTTATTTTGAGATGGAGTCTCGCTCTGTCGCCCAGGCTGGAGTGCAGGGGCGCGATCTTGGCTCACTGCAAGTATGTTTGTGGTGACATGGCTACTCTCTAAGAGAATTTATGGTTTCTCTACCAAGTCTTTTACTTCCTTCTGAGTTCTCACTACCAGAACCCTTAAAATATGCATCTTTACTGTCTGTGGAAGGCAATATAGGCCTTTTCTATCATGCTTCTCAAAAAGGTTTCAGCCTCTGCTCACTGCCCAATTCCAAATCTATGTTCACATTTTTAGGAATTTATTATAACGGGACACCACTTCCAAGTACTGAATTCTATATTCTTCTCCTTTTTTTTTTTTTCTTTTTGGAGACAAAGTCTCACTCTGTCACCCAGGCTGGAGTGCAGTGGTGCAGTCTTGTTTCACAGCAGCCTCTATCTCCCGGGCTCAGGCGATCTCCCACCTCAAGCCTCCTGAGCAACCGGGCCTACAGGCACATGACAACATGCCCTGCTAATTTTTGTATTTTTTGTAGCAACGAGGTCGCGCCATGTTGCTCAGGATAGTCTCGAACTCCTGGGCTCAAGTGATCTTCCTGTCTCAGCCTCCAAAAGTTCTGGGAATACAGGTGTGAGTCACCGCGCCCAGGCTGTATTCATTTTTTTCTGTTGCCATCTCGACATATTCACAGATGTATCACTAGATTGGAGGGTCAGAATCATGGGGAACCAACATTCCGCCTTCCATACTGTCACTCTTGCTAGGATCCAAGTCAGAGCTCTGAATATACCATTATAATTAGCCAAAGCCTAATCCTCAGCTGAAGTGATGCAGCATTTCAATATGGCAGGTAATGCTGGCGGAAGAGGAGCTCATGGAAACAGACTAGATCTACTCAACAGGATCTCAAACTGGAACACTAGAGGAAGGAGTGGAGAAACCCTCTCAGGGATTTTCCAAAGAGGGTGAATTACACTGTTTATTTGCTTTTTCGTTGTTCTGGTTAGGTCAATTTAATGATGCAAGATTGACTGTTATGGATAATTACATTTTATATTACAGACTACAATGTGCTAATTAAAGTATTAATTGTTAATTAATCAAAGCATTATAGAGCCTATGAAATTATATAGTGTTCTAAAATTTGCAGAGTGCTTATATAGGACAGATATGAGACTAGCATATGTAAGTATGGCTGGAACAATATTTAAAATACTGAAATACGTTCTTTCTAAACATTTCGCTTCATTTCACAGAAGGGCACCTAAGGCAGGTAGAAGAATGAGGTAGTTCCTGCATTTTTCCACCTTGCTGCTCCCTCCAAAACCCACATGCATGCACACACACGCACACACACATGCACACAATTGCTGCAAACCACTGCATTTACAGGATTTTTTTACACCTCAGGTGGGCCTGTTAGTTTCTAATAAACCTACTTGCCATCTATTTTTGGATCTCATCACCCTAATGAAAGGATCACAGAATGCTTCACAGCCAATTACCTGGTGCAAGATAAATGCATGTATTTATTCATTCTCCATAATGATGATTAAGAGGGAGTTCATTTCACTGTAGTCTTGCAGGTGTTTAAAATATAAATGAACTGACTGCAATAAGAAGTACCCAAAACCTCATCTAAGGAAAATGCCATCCTAGATAATGCTCTCTTGTCCAATCCTATTAACATGAAATCACTTTTCTATTCCTTCAAATCTCACTAACAGGATGAAATAAAGCAGATGCCAGACAGATACCCCTCAAAGGAGACTGGCTCTCTCTTTTGCATCTGAAAAGCCCAAACCCCAAATCTATTCTCTGTCCTGGGTTTTCCTTTTCCTTAATGCTTTGTTTCCCTAATGCAGTTTCATTAGACTGTATTTGATATTTATTTCTCCAGAGCAGAAGTAGTGTATTCCCACAGAAAAGATTTGTCTAAATGCATCTACTATTGAGGCTCTCTACTGGGAGAAAAATTTTAAGCAGTGATGTGTGTTTATGGATATACATGTTTGTAATCTTATCTTCGTGGAGGCCTGTTGAGAATTCCTGAGGCACTTACTGAAAGACTTCCTTTCCTAACATCATTATTGCTTATTTGCTCCAGATGGATGTCCTGGGAATGAGCAGCTTGGAGACCCATGCACCATGTGTCACCCCCAGGTGACTGGTCTCCTTGTCCAGGCTATCAGACACGGGTGAACAGCATGCTCAGCTGGGCCTATCACATTCCACACGGCAGAGCCTTAACATAGCCAGGTGCAAAAACGTACATTTTAATGGAAATGGAAACCACACTTATGCTTAGCCTTGGTTGTTAGTGTTTTGAGGAGACAGGATTTAAGTCTTTCCCAGTAGGGACATGACAAGCACTGCCTTTGGGGGTTGATGAGGCTTCAGCAGGGCTGCTCCCCACCTGTGCACCACTCTGGAAACATTCCTCACATCCAGCCCATAGACTCTGACTCTGGCCTGTTTGCACCCAGGTTCCAGAATGCATGAGGAAACTCTGAGAGAGGAACGTGATGGAAAAGTAATAAATTTAGCACTTACTTAAACTGTGATTTGATCTAGCAAAAATATTTCCCAAATGTTGGTGACCATGTTTTGGCCAAAGGAAGTGCTGTGGGAGGGTCTTATCTTCATTCTCTCCTCTCCGCAAAACATGGCAAATAATTGGCTTTGCAATCAAATGCACCAACGAGGAGAGAACACAGCAGGGGAATAGGGTCAAGGTGTAGGTGTAACTCGTGAATACTATATTTTTCACCTTTTATTTTATGACTATGTTACAAAATATTAACAAAATATAAGATATCTATTTTTGAATGCTTACAAATGTGTGTATATATTTCAGATATATAAATATATATGTATACACAATGTATGCTATTAAATATATATTTAATAGTATTATTTAAATTGTAATTGATCCTTGAGCAACATGGGGGTTGGAGCACTGACCCTCTGCTTAGTTGAAAATCCACATATACCTTCTAACTCTCCAAAAACTTTGCTAATAGCCTACTGTTGACCATAGCCTTACTGATAATGTAAATAATCAATTACCCCATATTTTGTATGTCATATGTATTATATGCAATATTTTTACAATAAAGTAAGTTAGAAAAAAATGTTATAAGATAATCTTAAGGAAGAAAAAATATATTTACTGTTCATTACAAGAAAGTGGATCATCATAAAGGTCTTCATCTTCATTGTATTCACGTTGAGTAGGCTAAGGAGGAGGAGGAAGAGGAGGGATTGGTCTTGCTGTCTCAGGAGTGGCAGAGGCAGAAGAAAATCCATGTAAAAGTGGAACTCTACTGAAAATCCGTGTAAAAGAATTTTTCTACCCATGAGAGAAAAGGAAGAATCAATATCGTGAAAACGGCCATACTGCCCAAGGTAATTTACAGATTCAATGCCATCCCCATCAAGCTACCAATGCCTTTCTTCACAGAATTGGAAAAAACTACTTTAAAGTTCATATGGAACCAAAAAAGAGCCCGCATCGCCAAGTCAATCCTAAGCCAAAAGAACAAAGCTGGAGGCATCACACTACCTGACTTCAAACTATACTACCAGGCTACAGTAACCAAAACAGCATGGTACTGGTACCAAAACAGAGATATAGATCAATGGAACAGAACAGAGCCCTCAGAAATAACGCCGCATATCTACAACTATCTGATCTTTGACAAACCTGAGAAAAACAAGCAATGGGGAAAGGATTCCCTATTTAATAAATGGTGCTGGGAAAACTGGCTAGCCATATGTAGAAAGCTGAAACTGGATCCCTTCCTTACACCTTATACAAAAATCAATTCAAGATGCATTAAAGACTTAAACGTTAGACCTAAACCCATAAAAACCCTAGAAGAAAAGCTAGGCATTACCATTCAGGACATGGGCATGGGCAAGGACTTCATGTCTAAAACACCAAAAGCAATGGCAACAAAAGCCAAAATTGACAAATGGGATCTAATTAAACTAAAGAGCTTCTGCACAGCAAAAGAAACTACCATCAGAGTGAACAGGCAACCTACAAAATGGGAGAAAATTTTCGCAACCTACTCATCTGACAAAGGGCTAATATCCAGAATCTACAATGAACTCAAACAAATTTACAAGAAAAAAACAAACAACCCCATCCAAAAGTGGGCGAAGGACATGAACAGAGACTTCTCAAAAGAAGACATTTATGCAGCCAAAAAACACATGAAAAAATGCTCACCATCACTGGCCATCAGAGAAATGCAAATCAAAACCACAATGAGATACCATCTCACACCAGTTAGAATGGCAATCATTAAAAAGTCAGGAAACAACAGGTGCTGGAGAGGATGTGGAGAAATAGGAACACTTTTACACTGTTGGTGGGACTGTAAACCAGTTCAGCCATTGTGGAAGTCAGTGTGGTGATTCCTCAGAGATCTAGAACTAGAAATACCATTTGACCCAGCAATCCCATTACTGGGTATATACCCAAAGGACTATATATCATGCTGCTATAAAGACACATGCACACGTATGTTTATTGTGGCATTATTCACAATAGCAAAGACTTGGAACCAAGCCAAATGTCCAACAATGATAGACTGGATTAAGAAAATGTGGCACATATACACCATGGAATACTATGCAGCCATAAAAAATGATGAGTTCATGTCCTTTGTAGGGACATGGATGAAACTGGAAGTCATCATTCTCAGTAAACTATCGCAAGAACAAAAAACCAAACACCGCATATTCTCACTCATAGGTGGGAATTGAACAATGAGATCACATGGACACAGGAAGGGGAACATCACACTCTGGGGACTGTTGTGGGGTAGGGGGAGGGGGGAGGGATAGCACTGGGAGATATACCTAATGCTAGATGACGAGTTAGTGGGTGCAGCACACCAGCATGGCACATGTATATGTATGTAACTAACCTGCACAATGTGCACATGTACCCTAAAACTTAAAGTATAATAATATAAAAAAAAAAGAATTTTTGTTCATGGGTCATGTTGTTCAACGGTCAACTGTAGTTATTACATTTTTATTTAAACACAAAATAGTTTAACATTCAGTTAAATAATTCTAACACAAGTGAAAGTGATTAAGGGCAGTACCTGCAGAATTTTTTTTTTTTTTATAATCTCAACGTTTACTTTACATTCAGGTGGTACATGCACAAGTTTGTTACTGGGTATATTTTGTGATGCTGAGGTTTGGGATATGAATGATCCCCTCCCCCAGGTACTGAGTATAGTCCCCAGTGCATAGTTTTTCAATCCTTGCTCCCTCCCTTCCCTCCTGCCTCTAGGAGTCCACAGTGTCTATCCTTCCAGTCTTTATGTCCATAAGTACCCAATGTTGGGCTCCCACTTATAAGTGAGAACATGTGGTATTTGGCTTTCTGTTCCTCCTGCAGACATTTTTGTTTTGTTTACACAACTGATTTGCACAACAGTTCTCTGTTCTTGGCAAGAAGAAGTCCCTGTGATCTGGCCAGCAGCATCCTCAGCCTTCTACATTGAATCATCGCTTCACCTCTACCTCAACATCACATGAATTCTCAACACTTGGTAATTCCCAAGCTTATCCAGGAACTTTCATGCTTACTGATCCTCTCACTGATAAGACCTTTTCCTCCTTGCCTAATATCAAATTGCCATTCTCCTTTCAAAGACCTGTTTGGGGGTCAGTTTCTCGCAACTTGATGCTCCAACAAGTCTCCTTCAGGGCTGCTCCCTGTTCTACCACATGTCCTGCAAACGTCTACTCCACTGAGCACAACGCATTTTGAATGTGTAGTCACTCATCTGTCTCTACCACCAGAAGTCTGGTTCAGAGCCTGGTACACAAAAAGTGCCCTGTGGATATTTGTGTCAATCAATCCATGGGCCCAGGGTGACTTACTTGTAGGACAAAGCAAGGAGCTCCTGCTTTGGGACCTGAATTTATCACCTCTGCCAAGTGGGGCCTTTGCTGCTGACTTTCTGGTTTCTTCTCATTTAGACCCAAGGCATTGTCTGGTCTTTTCCTAAAGCTAGTCACCTGAGGTGGCTGCAGGCGAGCCAGAGGCATCCCATAAGCTCTGTAACTCTACAGGCTCAAGTGTCTTGCTCCTATCTGGGCATTGCAATGTCAGGACTAGAAGCAGTGCATGAAACAGGCCTCATCACTGCTTGCCAAGTGCAGATCTCAACTATGAAGTAGTTATCAATATTAATATAATTAATTAACATATGGGCACCTCTTGAAAAATTGGCAGATCTGGGACTTCACACTGCTGGGAAGAAGGGACAGCTTAGAAGAGCGTGCTCTGTGATCCCTCCTCTGGATGCTGCTCCTGACTCTCCCCCTCCATCGTCCTCTGCCCACAGGCCCATGCTAGCCTCCGGCATCTTCCAGGTACAATGATGGATGTGCCTGGATGGATGTTGGAGCAAGAACACCAACACTCCCTCAGGCTTCGCCAAAGCCACCCTAAAACTTGAATGCCTTCTGCATTCTCAAGCCACTTCACACTTGTCCCAAAAAATCTATGTGGCTGCACCCAGAACCCACCCCCTGCCAGGATCCCCATGGGCCAGCATGCCTACCACTCCACCCACTGAGCAGCCCAGGCAAGTGGTCTGCTCTCCGGAGTGTACCTCAGTAGCTGCCACTCTCGGCCTGCTAGCTTGCCACTCTTCTTTCCATTGCCTTCCCTCCCCCTGCCTTCTGGGTACCCAGACTTCCTGAGCTCTGCCCCCACTCAGCTCATATCAGTCTCGCTGTTCATCTTTCCCCAGTCCTCATTCAAGTGGAACTGAGCATCTCATTCTAAGAACCCTTTTGATTTTAGTATCTCCATAGCTTCAAAAAAGACCTGAACACCAGAACACCGCTGAGCAGCAGGGATGCTTCCCAGGGTGCTATTATCATCCCCAGTTTGCACATGGGGAAACTGAGGCAGAGAGCGCTAAATAACCTCCCCAAAGTCAAATAGCTGGCAGGTGGCCAAGCTAGCACCCAGGTGATTGGCTGCTGGTATGGCAAGAATGAGGAAATAGGAGGGCTTCTCCCTGGCTCTGCTGGAAATCCCAACTTCCCCAGGAGTGTGGAGCTGAGTGGTTCCATATCTCTAACATTCTTGTCTTTGTGCATAAGGGATTTTTAGCTTCCCAGTGAGTGATCAACAAGGGAAAGTTGTGGGATACTGCTTATTGACTTCTTCCTGAAGTCAAGGTACCAAGAGGGTGACAGAACAAAGCTGAGAGCCGAGAGTAGACATTTTTCCCAAGTTACTTAGAATCCATGTCAGCAAATGCGTGCAGACTATGGAGGGGTCCACAGAAGAGCTGAGCCTCCTCCTAGCAGCCAACACCAGCTTGCCGGCGATGTGAGCGGCTGCCTTGGAAGTGGACCCCCTGCCCCAGCCCAGCCTTCAGATGATGCAGTGCCAGCTGACAGCCCAACTACAACCCCATGGGAGACCCTGAGCTAGAGGGTTCCAGCCAAGCCACATGTGGATCCTGACCCAGAGGAAGTATGTAAGATAATAAATGGTTGTTTTAAGCTGCTGAATTTTGGGGTAATTTGTTACACCAAGATAGATAACTATACTATGTATTTGCATGTATTATCTCCTATATTATGGTTTAGTCTCTTTAAAATGATGACTCAAATATATGATGTTGCCTCTAGTACAGTGGCTGAAATCTGATAGATCTTCCAGAAATGTTAATTGCATCCATGAATAACTGAATGAATTTGTGATCAACTTCAGGGCTGATTTTATTCATCAAACACTTATTCAGAACCTAATTGAAGTCAGGCATTGACCTAGGTGCTGGGGACCTGTCTGAGTTGGGGACCGCTGGGAGCCCATTCTGGGACGAGGCTCTGAGCATGCTCATAGTCATCCTACCCAAGGCTGGGGAGGCTGAGTGCTCACCTACCCACTCCCCACCAGCTTCTCTGGCTGAGGGCTGCTTCTGGAACCTCACATTCTGGCTTGCCTTGTGTGTGGTTCAAGTATACACCCAACACCAGCACACAGCATTCAGGCAAACAACCTCAGGTGTGTGTGGGAAGCAGCCTTTGGACAGGCAGGGCACCAGCAGCATCTGCTGTGGCATGAAATGTAAAACCAGGGCTCACGATACAAAAGAATTATAATTATAATGAAATGTAAAAGAGAAAGAGCCAAAGTATGTTTCTATACCTGTGGATGTGGTCACTGCCTAGTGGACTGTGGAAGGTGTCACAGGAAGTTATATTTGAAATGGTGCTGCGGAGTGAGCAAAAATTTGCTGGTGGCCGGGCACAGTGGCTCACGCCTGTAATCCCAGCACTTTGGGAGGCCGAGGCGGGTGGATCACCTGAGGGCAGGAGTCCGAGACCAGCCTGGCCAACATGGTGAAACTCTGTCCCTACTAAAAATACAAAAAAACAGCTGGGCGTGGTGGCGGGCACCTGAAATCCCAGCTACTTGGAAGGCTGAGGCAGGAGAATCGCTTGAACCCGGGAGGTGGAGGTTGCAGTGAGCCGAGATCACACCATTGCACTCCAGCCTGGGCGACAAGAACTAAACTCTGTCTCCAAAAAAAAAAAAAAAAAAGAAAGAAAAGAAAATTTGCTGGGAAGGCAAATGGGGAAGATGTGCGAGGATGAAAGAGCTGCACATACCAAGGCATCCAAGTGTGAGCACTTGCAGTGTATCAGGAAACGGGAAATGTCCGCCTGTACCTGGGGCCTCAGTCACACAGGAGCCAGGAACACATGAAAAGCTTGCAGCCAATACCTCATTCGCTTTGTAGGTATTTCCTGGTAGCAGAACCACAGCCACTAGCAGGCAAGCTGGACCCTCTGTGAGGATTAGAGTCTGCGCTTTTGAGGCTCCCAACCTCCCAGCATTTGAATTATCCCTAACACTCCCAACCGTGCCAGGAAGCCGCATCTTGTACCACATGAGATCCTGGCCACTCAAGTAAATTCACCCACGGGCCCGCCCCTGCTGGAGAGAGGGAGAATCGGGGTCTTCACTGTTTGTTTGTGGCTGTTGCACAACTGACACCGTTTTCTATATTTGGAGCTGTTATGGACTAAATGTTTGTGTCCCCTCAAAGTTGACTTGTTGGAGCTCTAATCCCCAATGTTATCAGGAGGGAGGACCTTTGGGAAGTGATTAGGTGAATCACTAAAGTCCTGAGAGTGGGGCTGTCAGGATAGGATTAGTGCCTTTGTAGGGAGAGACTGCTCTTGCTCTCTCTCTCTCTGCCATGTAAGATTCAGTGAGAAGGCAGAGGTCTGCATCCAAGAAGGCCCACACCAGAAGTGGACCCTGGTCCGCCCCATTCCCAACCCCTAGCCTCTAGAACTGTGAGAAATACATGTCTATTCTTTAAGCCCTCTAGTCCATGGTGTTCTGTTATGGTAGTTTGAGCAGACTAAGACAGAGACTCTGCGGAAATTCTAGTCTCGGAGAGGCAGGGGTTTGCTTTCTATGGCAGAAACCAAGAGGGTTCAGACATTCCTGCATTTAGCCCCAGAAGCCAGGTCACAGGCCGTGAACTGGGCTAGGTCCATGAGATGTGAGTCTGCAGAGAACATTAATGTGCAGGGGCAGTTTTGAGGTGACACTGATGCCTGGGGACCTGAAGCATCATCCTGGCTCCCCTGCTAGAGTGAGGACGCCTGGGGAATTGCATAATAAATGCAGACCAAGCCCACTCACAGGGGCCTTTGCAGGAATTACACTGATAGGACATGTAAAGTATTCCTGGTAGCAGTCCTCATTCAACGCATGTCCATTCTCATGGTTTCTTTCTTTTTTTTTTTTTTTTTTTGAGATGGAGTCTTGCTCTGTTGCCCAGGCTGGAGTGCGGTGGCGCAATCTCTACTCACTGCAAGCTCCTCCTTCCAGGTTCACGCCATTCTCCTGCCTCAGCCTCCGGAGTAGCTGGGACTACAGGCGCCCACTACCACACCCAGCTAATTTTTTGCATTTTTAGTAGAGACAGGGTTTCACCATGTTAGCCAAGATTGTTTCGATATCCTGACCTCATGATCCGCCTGCCTCGGCCTCCCAAAGTGCTGGGATTACAGGCGTGAGCCACCACGCCAGGCCATTCTCATGGTTTCATTGTCTGCTAGTGACTTGCGGGCTTCTCAAAAGAGATCCCTTCTCTTGCATAAGGGTGAGTGGCTTTGATCTAACCCAGTTCTTCTAAACTGAAGATTTGCTTTCTCTCCATGTTGACATCCACGAGCAAATGTCACATCCCCTGATAGCCCTTCTGCCAGTGGGCACAGAAATGTCTCTTTGAGCTTCCACATTCACTGTGGGCTTCACGCTAGGTGGAGTGAATTGTTATCGCCTTACATCTATAGATGAGATCGTTTCTTATTTGGGGTTTTATAGGTACAGCAGAAGAAAATCATTGTGGGCATTATTATTGTGATTTGAAAGTCTAATGGATTTATTTATTTTGTTGATGGTTTTGCCTCAGGGATTTAAAAACATGGTAATTTTATGTGTCTTTGTTTTTTTTTAACAGTTGTTTTGTTTTTACAGATTTTTTACAGGTTTTTTTTGTTTTGTTTTGTTTTACAGTTCCCATAGCAGTAAAATATTCACTCCATAGTGAATTTTTTTTATAAGTTTTCAACTGCAGGTGGAAATAGATTACATCTATTTGTACTCTAAAGTGCTGGCAATAAAGTTTACTCTCAATAATATCTTTTTTTATGTGCCTAACATTAGCTGTAAAGCATAAATGAAAGAAACTAGTAGGACATGAATCCCAAAGTTTCCAAAAAATGTAGCTCTATGTGTATACAACAGAAGTTACTTTGTAAGCTCCCTTCCACCAATGGCGGAAAGGAAATTCCAAGGAACGTAGGTCTCCCTCGCACACACATGCACACATGCACGTATGTGTGTGTCTTGTCCCAGCTGCCACCGAGTGTGGCTATTTTGGATGGCTCCTTTGTGCCATGACCTAGGGGTGGCTGGGGTTGGGTGTCTGTCCCATCATCTCCTGTCTGTCATCCCTGAGGCTGCATTGTCAGGGTGAACGTCAGTGTGTGCAGGGCGAGGCTCAGTCACCCCTTGTTCCTGGGTGCAGGGCCCCTCCAGTACAGCATCCTCCCAGCTATTTCAGGCCACTCCTAGGGGTCTGGAAGGAGCCCTCTGCAGCCTGTGGCACTCTGCGGCCAGAGGGAACATGGGAGGACTCAGGTGCCTGACTCCTGACAAGGGGGAAGTAGTTTACTGCCTCCCAGGCGACGCTGGAGTGGGAAGGAACTCTGTGATACTGTGTGTGTCCGTCAGTCCAAGTGGCAGGATAGCCAGAGCCTTCTCCACACTGGGAGAAGGGAGGGCACTCAGAGGAAGTGGGGTTAGCTCCACCTTTCCGCCCCGCCTCTCCACTGTCTCCACCCTGTCCTCGCTGCTAGGGTTCAGGCACTGGGGAGAGCCCTGCACGTTTTCCTGGATCTCCTGACTCCACTTCTTGCTTTTTCCTCTGACATTCTTTCATCCCTTCCCCAGCCCAGGAAAACATCATCTGTTTTTCAGGGTGAAGAAAACAAACTCAGTATGAAGGCATATTGTTTCTCAGGGCCCAGCTTTTGAAATTCAAAATGCTTTCCTTTCAGACTATTGCTTCAAACTTGAATCTCGAAAGTGTAATGCTGATAAAATTTAAAGTAGACTCTGAAATGCCAAGTCTCTCTCTACGCTCTACCGTGCATGTTATTTGCAGGAGGTGCTGGCTGATGCCTCAGTGGGGCAAGGCGGGACAGTTTGGACACATTGTGAAAAAGAAATCTGTTGTTTCTGGGTATCAACAATCAACATACTACCAACTGCAGAGGTAAATATTGAAATGCCATTTGGAAGGGGCTTTTTGTCTCTCTCAGATTTATTGGTAGCACTAATAACAAATAGAGTTTTGAATTGCTGAAAATCACAGGCTGAATTACTTTGAGAGACCAGGTTTCATCCTGAAGTTTTGGAGCAGCTCTCCAGCGTGGCCGGTCCTGACTGTACAGTCATGTCGGTGGCTTTAGGGGGACTTTTTTAGAAGCATGAGGCTGGGTAGGCTGGTTGGAGGGAAATGGAAGGACCTGAAGAAGTTTAGTATGAGTGTTCTCTTTGTATGGTCTCTGTTCTCTTCCTGCTGCAGAGAGGCACAGTGGAGGGCAAAGGGCTTTGCCTGGGTCCCCCTTTCTCTGGGTACCCTCCACGCAGGGCTCCCAGAGACTACTGTGGACACTGGGGGAAGACAGTGGGTTCACCTGGACCCAGTTCTTCCTAACTTCCTCACACTGCCCACATACAGCCCTTCAGCCCTCCAACTCCCTTCAAATTTAGACATCAAGATTTATCTCTTTCTTCTATTCCTTAAGAGCTAAGCTGATACAACAGTTCAACCCGAAGCATTTCCACATTGTCTCACACTGCTCTGGGCTGGGGTTGCATCTTAATCGCGGAGTGAGTGGAGCCTCCTTGCTTCACCTATGGGATGAATTTCTGTGGCAGGCGAGGGTGGGGGATATTGTGGGCTCTGCCCTCAAGCCACACACCAGAGCTGTTCTGGGCTCTCAGGCTGGCTCTCAATGGTGAAAATCACCGAGCTTCTCCCTACGGCAAGGAAAGAAGTACTCAAAGTGTATGCTGATGAGCTGGGCTGGAAGGCGCCCGGGCTCACCAGTATTTGGAGGGAACATATAGGAAGAAGAAACATGTTGGTGAAGTTGTGAAATTTAAAGTGTATCTCAAGCATTTATAATATTAAAAACATAACAAACACACACCTGGGTCCATCATGTGAATTTTCGGGGGCAGAACATCACTACCTCTGTGGTGCACTGTACCTACCTATCTTTTTAATGAGGCAGCCTCACTCACCAATCTGGTTGTTATACAGCACTCCACCCCCAATTCAGTCTTGAGGGATTTCCCTTGGTTACTTGGGCCCCAGGGCTTTTGACATCGACCCAGGATATCCTTATGGACAGTCTCCATGCTCGTTCCTATGGCAGGAAATGCCACTTTCAGAAGACCTGCTGTGCGCCACCTACCCAGAGAACCCCAGGCCATTCTGCACAGCAAGGACCCTCTGCGGAAGGACAGACAAATGCAAATCCCCAAATACAGTGCCCAGAATGAGTGCTGGACACTTTTCCTGCAGTCTCAAGGGCTAGGTGAACCGCTAGGTTCTAAACAAGACGTTGGAATTAGGAGTTTTATGTAGTCCAGAGATCTAAGCAGATGAAAAGTTCAAACATTCTCGACTGACACAACGTTAGATTTTGGAAGGGACTGCAGAGATCTTTGACCCTGACTCTCTCTCTCAGTGTTGAGAACTGGCTGCCATAACAAAATATCATAGAGTAGGGGTCTTAAAAAACAGAAATCCAGGCCAGGCACAGTGGCTTACACCTGTAATCCCAGCACTTTGGGAGGCCAAAGCGGGTGGATCACCTGAGGTCAGGAGTTTGAGACCAGCCTGGCCATTATGGTGAAACCCCATCTCTACTGAAAATACAAAAATTACCTGGGCATGGTGGTGGGCGCCTGTAATCCAAGTACTCAGGAGGCTAAGGCAGGAGAATCACTTGAACCCAGGAGGCGGAGGCTGCAGTGAGCCAAGATCGTGCCATTGCACTCCAGCCTGGGTGACAAGAGCGAAACTCTATCTCAACAACAACAACAACAACAACAACAACAACAAAACAAACAAACAACACAGAAATCCAGGTGCTCAACCTGGAGGCTGAAAGTCCAAGATCAAGGGTTCAGTAGGGCTGTTTTCTCCTGAGGCCTCTCCTTGGCTTGTGATGATCGCATCCTTGCTGTGTCCTCTCGCGGCCTTCTCCCTGTGCATTTGCAGCCCTGTTGTCTTTTCCTTTTCTTATAAGGACATCAGTCCTATTGTGTTAGAGCCCCACCTTATGACCTCATATAACCTTAATTAACCTCTTTAAAGGCCCTATCTCCAAATACTGTCACACTGCAGGTTAGTACTTCAACATAAGAATGTGGGGAAGGGGGCACAACTCAGGCCATAACAACTCACTCCACTGCATCATGACTTAGAACAAGACATTATTACACCATCTGCTGGGTCCAAAATAATCAAGGTCTGAGTAGAATAGATTAGACTGTGCAGGGCAAAATATCCAGGATTGAAGTCAGACACATCAGGGCAGAGGCCTGACTGTGAAACCCACTGGCTGTGACCAAGCAAGTCACTTGACTTCTCTGAGCCTCTCTTTCTTCATTTGGAAAACAGGGAGAGTAACATATATCCTGCATGGATGGGAGTGTTGGAACTAGTGTTTGGAAAGTGACTACTCAAAACAGAATGGCTATTCTTATGAGTCACCATCATTCTGATATTCCATGGGATTCCAAGGTCTAGTGAAGCCCTTGGCCCCCTTCTGAGATGCATTTTTCTGGTGAGTTGCTGCACATTGTGCTATGGAACTGTGCAACCCTGGATACAACACTAGGCTTGACACCTGAGCCACCAGCCAGACACAGGGGCCTGATTCAAGGCCTACCACCCTCTGTGAGGACTTTCCATGGGCTCCTGAATAGGTATGTGACTTCCCCTGAAGACCAGATCCCCTGCTGATCACACACCCTGTGTTTCTCCATATGTACCAATATTTTCACATAAAACTTTTCACCTTATAGTCACTTGAACAAGGCTCATTCTGTGCCTTACAGCCTGGAAAAATAAATAAATAAGTAAATAAAAGCCTTCTATCACATAACAGGGCTACATGAGGGAATTGCTCAAAGTTATAAACTACAATGTAGTTACTGTGGAGACACTTTGAAATGCTGTATTAGTCCATTCTCATGCTACTATGAAGAAATACCCAAGACTGGGTAATTTATAAAGAAAGTGGTTTAATTGACTCACAGTTCCACATGGCTGGGGATGCCTCAGGAAACTTATAATCATGGCGGAAGGCGCCTCTTCACAGGGTGGCAAGAGAGAGAATGAGTCAGCACAGGAAAGACTAGCATTTCTAAAACCATCATATCTCCTGAGAATTCACTCACTATCATAAGAACAGCATGGGGGAACCGCCCCCATAATCCAATCACTTCCCACCAGGTCTCTCCCTAAATACCTGGGGATTACAATTCAAGATGAGGTTTGGGGGGGGACGCGAAGTCTAACCATATCAAATGCCTATCCCTGGAGGAATGCTCTAGGATCTAGGGTCAGGCAAAGGAGGCCAAGTAGCATCAGATGGTGGGGCAAAGTGCTGAATATGTGAAAATGGTATTCTTGGCTTTGGACCAAGGTGCGCCACCTGTTCTGTCACTACATCATCACAGCTCATGAGATACAGTCATCACAGGCTAAGAAGAGGTTGGATGTGGATAGGACCTGAGCAGCCATGTTACTTGCTCCAAAACCCTCATAGAGGCCTAAAGAGGTACAATAATTGTTCCAAAGTTACACTCTTATTTACTGGCAGTGCCAAGGCTAAACTTTAAATCTTATGACCTCTAGCCCAATATTTTTTTCCACCTTTAATCATAGATTCTTAAAAATTGTATTTTGCATGTGAATATTCAGTTGTCCCAACAACATTTGTTGAAAAGACTATTCCTCCCCCGTGGGATAGTCTTAAGACCTTTGTTGAAAGTTAGTTGACCATAGATATCTGAGTTTATTTCTACTCTCAATTCCATTGCATTGATAAATATGTATATCGTTGTGCCAGTATCACATTGTCTTAGTTACTCTTGATTTGTAGTAAGTTTGGAAATCAGGAAGTGTGACTTCTCCTACTTTATTCTCCTTTTTCAAGATTGTTTTGACTGTTCTGGTTCCTTGCAGTTCCATATGAATTTAAGAATTAGCTTATTATTTCTGCAAAATAGGCTGTTGGGATTTTGATTGGGAATGAATTGAATCTGTAGATCAGTTTGGGGAGTACCGCTATTATAATAGTCAATGGGTCAAAAAGTAAATAAAAAGAAAAATTAGGAAACACTTTGATATGAATGAAAAAGAAGGCAAAGCATATCAAAAGTTATATGACACAGTAAAAGCAGTATCATATAACACAGGGAAACTTAGAGCTGCAAATGTCTATATTAAGAAAAAAGTTATCAAATCAGTAACCTAAACTTACATTTTAAGACACTGAAAAAAGAGGAGCAAGCTAAACCTAAAGCAAGCATAAGGCAGTTGTGTTAATCCATTTTGCATTGCTCTACAGAATACCTGAGGATGGGTAATTTTTTAAGAAAATTACTTGACTCACAGTTCTGCAGGCTGTGAAGTAGGACACCAGCATGGCTTCTGGTGAGCGCCTCAGGAAGCTTATAATCATGGAGGAAGCAAAGAGGAAGTAGGCACATCCCATGATGAGAGAGAGCAAGAGAGAGGAGGGAGGTCCCAGACTCTTTTTAACAATCAGATCTCCTGGTAACTCATTACCACAGGGAGGGCATCAAGCCATTTATGAGGGATCTGACCCCATGGCCCAAACACCTCCCACTAGGTCCCACCTCCAACACTGGGGGTCATTTCACATGTGAAATGTCAATCACATTTCAACACGTGATTTGCAGGGGACAACTATCCAAACCATATCAGGAGGAAATAATAAGAATTAGAGTGGAAATTAATAAAATACAGAAAAGAAAAACAATAGAGAAAATAAATGAAACCAAACCCTAATTCTTTCAAAGTATCAACAAAATTGACAAAACTTTAGCTAGATTGATCAGAATTTTTAAAAAGAGAAGACTTAAATTGATAGAATCAGAAACAAAAAAGAGGACATTACTACTGACCTTATAGAAATAAAAATGAATTACAAAAGAATATCATGAAAAAATTGTATGCCAACAAATTAGATAACATTAGTGAAATAAACAAATTTCCTGAAAGACACAAACTGCAAAAACTGACTCAAGAAGAAGTTGACAATCTTAATAGACCTATAACAAGGGAAAATATTAAATTAGTAATTAAAAATCTTCCCACAAAGAAAGCCCAGGCCCAGATGGCTTTACACTGAGCTATACATTATTATTCTTTTAAATTATACTTTAAGTTCTTGGATACATGTGCAGAACGTGCAGGTTTGTTACATAGGTATACATGTGCCATGGTGGTTTGTTGCACCTATCAACCCGTTATCTACATTAGGTATTTGTCCTAACGCTATCCCTCCCCTTGCTCCCCACCCATCAACAGGCCCCGGTGTGTGATGTTCCCCTACCTGTGTTAATGTGTTCTCATTGTTCAATTCCCACTTATAAGTGAGAACATGCAGTGTTTGGTTTTCTGTTCCTGTGTTAGTTTGTTGAGAATGATGGTTTCCAGCTTCATCCATGTCCCTGCAAAGGACATGAACTCATTCTTTTTTATGGCTGCATAGTATTCCATGGTGTATATGTACCACATTTTCTTTATCCAGTCTATCACTGATGGGCATTTGGGTTGGTTCCAAGTCTTTGCTATTGTAAATGGTGCTGCAATAAACATACGTGTGCATGTGTCTTTATAGTAGCTATCCCATACTTTGTTCAGATATCCTTAATTTTCACATAATGTTCTTTTTATATTCCAAGATCCCATTCAGGATAGCACATTATGTGCAGCTGTCATGTTTTCTTAGGCTTCTCTTGGCTGTGATTGTTAATCAGAATTTTCTTAGTTTTAAAATTAGCAGGGTGTGGTGGCAGGTGCCTGTAATCCCAGCTTCTTGGGAGGCTGAGGCAGGAGAATTGCTTGAAACCAGGAGGTAGAGGTTGCAGTAAGCAGAGATGACACACTGCACTCCAGCCTGGGTGACAGAATGAGACTGCGTCTCTCTTAGTTTTGATGACTTTGATCATTTTGAGGAGTACAAGTCAGGTATTTAGTATAAATAATGTGCTTCAACTGAAATGATTATATTGTAGTTACATGAATTTGGGAGGAAAACCACGTAGGTAACAGGTCATTCTCATCACACCATATCATATCAATTCATCACATACTGTCAAAATGACTTATCACTGTTGATATCGATGTATATCACCTGAGGTAGTGTTTGTCAGATTAATCCAGAAGTTTGAAAAAAAATTTAAGAGCCGTAAAAAGGTTATATCATTTAATAGTTCTGCTTTTAGAATTCTAAGTAAATTTTGAATGTATGAAGATTTCTATGCAGTGATGAGCAACATCATGTTACCTCTACAAATATTAGTTTGAGGGATAAATCCATAAATATTTATATATCAGTGAGTGAGTAAATAAATCATGAGACATTAGAATATTGAACAGACACTAAAATTGTGGGACAACTGTTTTTATCATATGAGAAAATGCTTGAGAATTACATTAAATAAAAGTAAATACAGTAAATAATATACAAATTTTGACCCAATTACATGTCCAGATATGAATATATTTTAAATTATTTGTCCCAAGATCTGTTATGAATATTGAATCTAAAAATTCATATTTTCCATTATTTTTACAATTATCCCTTTGAATATTGTTTCTCTTTCATTTTTGCTATTCCCCTTTTCTTCAAGTAGACATGTTAGATTTATTCATTCTGTCCTTGGTGCTTCTTAATCTTTTGTTCACTTCTTTATCTTCTTATACTGCATTTGAGTAATTTCCTGTTCCCTATCCTCCAGTTTATTATTTCTCTCTTCAATTGTGTCAAATCTGCTTTTTAAATACTAATTGAGTTTTACAGTCTTTGTCAGTTCTAATATTCCTAGGGAACTCTAATGCTATATATTGTTTCTGCTGTCTTTCATTCACTGTGGATTATTTCCTTAAATGTGGTATAACTTTGACATGTAAATTTTTCTCCTGTAAGATCTACTACATAACTGTTCTATGATTTTCTCCTGCTTAGAGATTTTGGCTATAACTGGCATGGAATCTATTTTTATATTAGTTTTTTTAGATTATGAGCTTTGGAAAGACACAGTTATTGCAAATTTGATCTCCACAAATCCATGCAATGCAAGTTCTGGCTTTGAATATGTGTGTTGAACTTTTTCTCTTACCCAGAGTCCAAGCAGAGATAGGTAAGTTTTCTGGTTGATTTTCTAAGTTAATGACTATATTTCTTTACTAAGCCACTCTTTTCTAGAGGTACAGTTCTTTTTTGGTCTACCATTCATACAGAATTCTCAGTTCTAGTACTCAAACCTGCCTCCTGTGGGGCCTAGAATTTTCTGTAATCCCCCATGCTTGACAGCTGGGGTGGGGCATTCTGGCTGGCCAAGCAGACCCAGAACATGAGCTCTCTGCTGCGGGAAACCCACCTAAATCCTTATAAGTGGTCTACTCCCAGAAAAATGTGGTCTCAACATTAGAAGAAAAAATGTGAAACCTATCTACAGCATTCTATGCTTCCTTTTTGGTTTTTAAGCTGCCTTATTGATTCTATCACACAAGGATTTCTTCTTCCTTGTTGAAAGCTCACCTATGCATTTAAAACATGTCTGTTCTATTTTATACAGTATTTACAGAGCTTTGTAAGAATTTTTAAGTTGTACAGAGCAAAATATTACTGGAATCAGAAATATTTTCTGTACCATTTAGTATATTTAATTTTAAAACTGTCTTCTGGGATAGACATTGTTTATATGTCATAGTTAAGGACAGTGAAACATTTTGCCTTTTGTCATCCAAGCTAGCATACAGCAAAGGTAGAACTGAATTCAGATCTTCTCTTTAGACTGCAGGGTTACTTCTGCTGTATCACAGATCTATATCACAGTTCTATGAAATTAAGAGAATCTTAGCATTTTTTTCAGGCTAAATACATGAGATATAGGAGATCAAATCTCCATTTATTCAACAAATATTTTCTCTGTGTCTACTTAATGCAAATATAGAGATAGAGGGATAGATAGATAGATACACTTATAGGTGAGTATATGGATACATCTATCATGAGGTATCACTTGGGGGCCAAAGAAAGGGAAGGAGATGTGTTGCCAAGGACAAACCTTTTCAGAGAGTTAGAAAAGAAAGTTAACTCCCAAGTACGTTTTGTGTAACTCTAGGCCTGTGTAGGAGAAATAGCAAGTAGATTACCTAATATTCAGTCTTCCCTGCTGGTGAAGCCAATGTGCCCAGTTAAGTAAACAATTTACTTTTCCCAGCTTCCCTTGCAGGAATAACTTGGCGACTCTATTATGGCCAAGACATTTTACATGAAGCTTGTAGGGAAACTTTATTAGAAGAGGGCTGTGGCCATTGGAATAACAGCCACCCAACCCACATCCTAATGCCTAGAACCTGAGAATGTATTACTTCATATGGTAAAAATGACTTTGCAAATGTGATTAAGGGTAAAGACCTTGATATAGGGAGGTTTTCTTGAATTATGCAGGTGGCCCCAACTAGTTACATGTGTTCTTAAAAGTGGAGAACCTTTTCTGGCTCTGTTCAAAGAGAGAGATGTGATGATGGAAGCACTCAGAAAAATGTAGTGTGAGGACTCACCCTACTGCTGGCTATGATGATGAGAGATGGGAGCCATGAGCCAAGGAATGCAGGTGGCTCTAGAAGCTAGAAATGGCAAAGAAACAGATGTTCCCCCAGGACCTCTAGAAAGAAAGGCAGCCCCTTTGTTCTATTGATTTAGCTCAATGAGATCGGTGTCAGACTTCTGACATTAAGAACTCTCAAATAATAACTTTGCATTGTTCAAAGTGACTACATTTTTGGTAAGCTATTATGGCAATAGCAGAAATCTCATACTGGGGCAGACTTTGCTGGAACATCCATTTTTGGACTTTCCCCTTCCCTTTCTTTCTGTTTGGAATATGGACAAGATGTGGCCTCTAGCTTGTGTGTGTGAGGATGAGGATGAGGATTAGGATGGGAGAGGAGACAGTCAGAAGGTACCTTGGTTCCTGCTGACTTTCTAGAGTGTAGGCTGCCTATCTCCTGACCAACCCTATTTTGTTGGTATTCTGTCACATGCATTTTAACCCACTTCACGACTCACAGCAAACCTGACTTAGAGTAGAAGACCTAGGGCTGAGTCCTGGCTGTATCATTTAGAACTTTGACCTGCATGGCCTTGGGTAAGTCATATAATCTCTTTCGGCCTCAGTTTCCTCATCTATAAAATGGAGCATCCAAAATAGCCCCCAGGAAGCTTGTGAAGATGAGATGAAGTACCTTGAGAAAGCATCCAGCACAGGACATGGCACACAGCAGGGGTTCCTCAGATGTTTCTTCGTTTTCTCTCTAAATATAACCTACACAAATTTTATTGTCACGAATCCACATCTGTAAATATTTAAGAGAGTTGGCACAGATGAATGCCTAATCCCCAGGGCAGAAGATTTGCCTTTGTTCAGCCCCAGCTCAGTTCCACTGAGTACAATATTCCAACTCCATCCTGCAGCCAGAACTCTGCAGACCCAGCACCATCATCGCTGAGGCTCACAACAACACGGGTGAGCAAGCCCAGGCTGCTGTGATGACATCAGGGGCTCTGGGATGATTGCTGGGTCAAGTTGGAGGAACACTCCCCTCCACCTCTCATGAATGTTGGGATATCATCTGAAAATTGGTGTTAGGCAAGGTCTTCCTTCGTAAGGTGATTAATCACTCCTGGAACAGTTAGTGGAGAGGATATGGCTTCTCAGTAGAAAGCTAAAAACGAGTAAGCTAGAGAGATTAAGCTCAAATGAACATGAACAAAAGCTAGAAGTATTGGTTTCCAAAACTTGGATGTCCAGGAGCACAGCTGGGTCAAGACACCCAGTAACATCCCTGGGCTCTGACTCCTGCACTGCTCACAGGTTCTTTCCATGCTGTAGAAGCTCTAGCTCCATATACACCTTCCCAACCCTAGGAGAGGAGGGCTTTTGAATAGTTTTGGTAAAAAGATAAGTTTTGAGTGGATTCTGATCATCCTGATATGGATTACATGCATATTCCTGAACCATGCTCATCATCTGGGTTGGGGCACTCTGGCTTGCCAAGCAGACCCAGAACATGAGATATCTGCTTGGGAAACCCACCTAAATCCTTATAAGTGGTCTACTCCCAGAAAAGAATGATCCTAACATCAGAAGAAGGCAGGAAAAGGTGATGGGCAGATGGAAACAAGGCATGTTCACTGGAGGGTCCTGGGAATATGAAGAGAAGTGTTCATGTCCTTTACTCTCAGATATTCTCTCCTGAGCCTTGTTTTGAAAACCCAAGGTTTTTATGCACATATTCCCCAGAGGTGGAACTAAAATGATACCACTTACAGGAGGTCACTAAGGAACTGGGATGGGAGGGAGCCACCCTTTATTAAAGAGACTTCCTGGAAATGAGGTCTACTTGGGTAGGACTTTAAGGTAAGAACAGAAAGGGTTGAGAAAGCAGTGGGTTGTCTCCCACCAGAAAAGCCAACCTTACCACCAAGGCCCTGATGGAGGCACAGTTGTCCAAGGCTCTTCACCTTCCTGATGGGCTGTCTTACTTTCGGCAAAGCTGAGAGTTTAGTCTTAACCAATCTTCGGTCATCCTTCCATACACGGTGTCCCCAGTTTCCTCATACATCAGATGGAGATGGTAATAGTGCCCACCACTCTGGGGGATTCAGAACCAAATGAGATCATAGATGTCAAGCACAAGTGCTGAGTAGACACCAAGCAAATGTGTGACATCATCCTCGTCATTGCTTCTACTGCTCCTCAGTGAGTCATTTTCTTTGTCTTCGGGCTTGAAAAGATATGCAGCACAGTTAGCACTTTAAAATAATTTGATTTATACGGATTTGAAATTGATCAATATTTTGAATTTGGGACCTAAATTTGAGGCTGTTCATCCCACTGAACCAACAAACAAAAAAGGAGATACTGTGGTCACAAGTGTGATGGATCATAATTGCAAAGGAGGCCTCGCAATGGGCCAGGGAGGTAGTAATCTCTGCAAAAAAGAAACGCTAACTTCACCTTCCAGATAAAATGGAATAACAGGAAATACATTTACTCTCATGCCTGAGACAGCCAAGAAAAAAAAACAGAAAAAATATACAAAATAACAGTTTTTAAGTCCCCAGACATTAGGCAACAAAAGACAGTGATTCCTGAGAGAGAGAAAACGGTGAACTCCACAGTTGCCTTGACATTGTCTCCACGCTATGGCATAGAAAAGTGGAACTCAGGCAGAACCCTAAAGAGTCCCTGAGTTGAAGAGACAGCTGAGATTCCAGGACAACAAGGCAGATAGCGTGCACAGAACAGAGCTGCACAGGGAGAAAACTCCAGAGATCAGCATAGAGTCCTTGTTGAGTGTTCAGCAGTACTGATCAAGGCATGCATGTGCATAAACTACCGGAGGTTGGGTGTGATGTTTCATTATATGTGTCAACTTAAATGGGCCATGGGTACCCAGATGGAACATTGTCGTGGGCGTGTCTGTGAGGGTGTTTCTGGGTGAGATTAGCATTTGGATTGGTAGAGTCAGTGAAGTAGATTGCCCTCCTCAAGGTGGGGGTGCATTATCTAATCCACTGAGGGTCCAAAAGAATAAAAGGCAGAGGAAAGAATTTGTCCCATTTTTCTTGCCTTACTGCTTGAGCTGAGACATATCATTCTGACTTCTCCTGCCCTCCCACGGGTTTACACCACTGACTCCCCCCGGTTCTCAGGCCTTTGGACTTAGACTGAATTGCACCATCTACTTTCCCATAGGGCTCCAGCTTGCAGACTGCAGATCCTGAAACTCTTCCACCTGCATAGTCACATGAGCCAATTCCTCATAATTAGCAAATAAATATATATATTTATCTATCATGATGATATATATATAACACATATGTTAATGTTAACATTTTATATAATATATTCATGTTAATATATTATATAATTATATTAATATAATTATATATTATATTATAATCATATATTAATGTTAATATATCAATATATTAATATAATATTTATTATAATATATAGAGAGAATATATCCTATATATATCTATTTTGGTTCTGTTTCTCTGGCGAACCTGACTAATACTCTAAGAAAAGAACTCCCCAAAATTAAACAGTGCCTAGCACTCATACCAGGCCAAAATTTGTGGCCAAACTGGTAGATAATTTATGAGACCTTGTGTAAATGCTATGACTTGAAAGTATGTGTCCCTCCAAAATTCATGTGTTGGAACTGAAACCCCAAGGTGATGATATTAAGAGACTGGGCCTTAAGGTGTTAAGTCATGATGGTGTCACCTGCATGAATGGATTAGTGCTCTTATAAACGAGGTTGAAGGGAGCACCCTAGTGCCTTTGGCCCTTCCATCCCTTCTGCCTTCTGCACCATGTGAAGACACTGTGAGAAGATACCCTCACCAAACACTAAGTCAGCCAGTGCCTTGATTTTGAACTTCCCAGACTTCAGAAAATAAATTTTGTGTGAATGTTCGTGTGAAAAATGAATTTCTATTCTCTATAAATTACCCACTCTCATGTATTGTGTTACGGCTGCACAAATGGACTGAGCCACTAGAATACTCAGAAGGGTCTTGCCTCAGTAGCAGAGAATAAGTAGCCATAGACTGAACATGAGGTCCTGTATAAAAATCTTAAAAGCACATGCAAAAGGATCAAATTGCTTCGATGTAACTTAGTGGCAAACAAAGCTCAAGAATATTTACAGCAAAACAAAAAAATCCATCACTCAACAAGATAAATTAACATTGTTGGGCAACCAATGAAAAATTATCAAGCATACAAAGAAGCAGAAAATATGAGGTAACACGAGAAGAAAAAGTAACCAATCACACCAACACAGAACTGATACAAATATTAGAATTAGCATACAAGAATATTAAAATTGTTATTGCAACTCTATTCCCCATGTTCAAAAGGTTAAATAGAAATGTGATCCAAATCAGACTTGAAAAATGAAAACTACAAGAATGAGATAAAAAATATAATGCACTGAATAGCATTAAGTAGACATTGCAGAGAAACAGACTTGCGAATTTGAAGACATAGCTGTAGAAACTACCCAAGAAGGAACACAGAGAGAATTAAAACAGACTCAATACATACATGAAAAGAGCATAGGTAATCTGTATAACAAAACATTCAGAGCCCTAACGTGTGTAATCAGTGTTAATAAAAGGGGCAGGGCAGATAAATATCTGAAGAAATAATAGCCAAAAACTTTCCAAATTTGATGAAAATTATAAACCCAATTATTGAAGATACTTAACAAACTTTGTGCACAAGAAGCATGAAAAAAATCACATGAAGGCACCATAATCACCATAACCAAATTGCTCAAAATTCCTGAGAAAGAGAAACATCCAGGGGGGAAGAAAAAGATTTATTATGCACACAGGAACACAAATAGGGATGACAGCAAGTTTCTCATAAAACAAAAACCAAGACCAGCAGGAAGACAGTGGAACAATATATTTAAAGCAGTGAAAGAAAACCTTAGAATCTTATACCCAGAAAAAAAAATACGTTTCAAAATGAGAAAAAATAAAGACATTTTTAGACATGCAAAGCCAAAATAATTCATCACCATGAGGCCCACATAACAAGAAATGCTCTAGAAAGTCCATCAGGCAGAAGGAAGTTAGTATGTATCTACACACAGGAGTGAAGGGAACCAAAAATGGTAACCACCTTGGATAAATGCACAAGGTTATTTCCTTGTATTTAAATCTCTTGAAAAGATGATTGATTTTTAAACAATATATATTGACTTTTTAAACAATAATAACAATGTAATGTGGAGTTTATAAAATATGTAAAATCACATGTATGATAAGGATAGCACAAAAGCTGAGACACCTAAAAATATACTGTCGTAAGGTACTTATGCTATATTTGAAGTGAAATAACATCATTTGAGGACTGCGATAAATTAGACGTGTATACTATAAACCTTAAAAAGACCACTAAGCAACAAAATGAGGAGTTATAGCAAATAAGCCAACAGGTATTAAAATCAAATTATAAGTGATACTCATCTTACCCCAAAGCAGGCAGAAAATAGGTGAAAAGGGAAACAACATACAGAAAAGACAAATAGAAATGAATAGCAATATTTAAAGCTAGCAAGTCAATAATTACAGCAATTTTAAAGAGTTTAAAAACTTTAATTAAAAGTCAGTATTATCAGATAATCCAAGCCTCAACTGTACGTTGTCTTCAAAAAGGATAATTTTAAATATAAATCAACAAAATACATAAAAGAAAAAAACAGAAAATTATATAATGTATTAAAATTAATCTAAAGAAAGCTACAGTTGCTAGATTAATAACAGAATAAGTCAATTTTGGACTGCAGAATATTCTGACCAAAAGTAACATTAATTCACAATGATAAAGGGTTCAATTTATCAAGAGAACATAAAAATTCTAAAAATGTATACATCCACTAACAGTGTTTCAAAATATTTGAAGCAAATACTGATAAAACTGTAAGGAGAAATAAACAAATTACTAATTATAGGCAAATATTTCAATAACCCTTTCTCAATAATTAATAAAACAGGTAGACAGGAAGTCAGCAAAGATAGAGAAGACTGACAAAAATGTCAACTCACTTGACCTAGTTGACATTTATGGAACACTCCAACACTCCAACCTCCAACAACAGAATATATATTTTTTCCACATGCGACAGGACATTTACAAAGGTCAATAATATTCAGGGCCCCAAAACAAATCTTATTAAATTTAAAAGAATTTAAGTCATACAAAATATGTTCTCTAACCACAAAGCAATTAAACTAAAAATCAATAATAGAAAGAGCTCTGGAAAAATCAATTCCCAAACATTTAGAAACTAAGTAGCACACTGCTAAAGAACACAAATCAAGGAAAAACTCTAAAGGGAAATGAGAAAGTATAAATTGAATGAAAAAATGAAAATACAGCAGGTCAAATTTGTGGGCTTCCACTACAGCTAAATTAGAAAAGGAAATTGTCTCAAATCAATGACCTTAGAGTGCATTTTAGGAAACCAGGGAAAAAAAGCAAATGAAATGGAAAGTACATGGAAGAACTGAAATTATCAAAAGATAAAGGTGTCACTCAGTGAAACAGAAAAACAAAGCAATAGAAATAAGTCAATAAAATTAAAAAGTTTGGGCCGGGCGCTGTGGCTCACGCCTGTAATCCCAGCACTTTGGGAGGCCAAGGCGGGCGGATCACGAGGTCAGGAGATCGAGACCATCCTGGCTAACAGTGAAACCCCGTCTAAAATATAATTTTTTGTACTAAAAATACAAAAAATTGGCAGGGCGTGGTGGCAGGCACCTGTAGTCCCAGCTACTTGGGAGGCTGAGGCAGGAGAATGGCGTAAGTAAACCCAGGAGGCGGAGCTTGCAGTGAACCGAGATCGTGCCACTGCACTCCAGCCTGGGCGACAGAGTGAGACTCCATCTCAAAAAAAAATAAAATAAAATAAAATAAAATAAAAATAATAAAAATAAATAAATAAAAAGTTTGTTCTTTGAGAAGCTTAATAAAGCTGTAAACCACTAGCCAGACAAATCAGGAAAACAGGGAGAAGACATAAATTACAGTGTCAGGAATGAGAGATAGAATGTCACTACAGATCTATAGATATGCAAAATAATTATGAATTATTAGAATAATTTTATATTAATAAATTTGACAAGTTAGATGAAATGGATAATATTTTTAAAATATACAAACTAGAGTGTTAAGAGGAAATTGATAATATGAATTATCTATCTACTAAAGAAACTAATATTGTACTTGACGTCCTTAAAACAAACAAAATAAACAGAAAACATCTTCCAAGGTTAAATGCCTTCACAGAGGATGGTAAACAATTCTACACAAACTCTTACAGAAAATTGAAGAAGAGGGAATATTTCCCAATTGATTCTATGAGACTAGAAGTACTCTGATGCCAAAACCGGGTGAAGACATTACAAGAAAACTACAGATCAAGTTATTTCATAAACACAGAAAAATCTTTGAGAAAATGTGAGCGAGCCAAACTTAGCACTATATAATAGAGATTATATCCCTGGCCAATTTGGATATATCCTAGCAATGCGAGGTTGATTTAACATCTGAAAATCACTTAATTAATATACCATGTATTTCAGTCTTTTCATTCCTATGAATTTATTCCCCAAGTTAAATAAAAGCATACATCCACATAAAGAAATGAGCAGATATGTTTATAGAAGCCATATTTTTAATACCTCAAACTCAGAAACATCCCAGATTCCCCTCAACAGATGAATAGATAAACAGTCTGTGCTGTATTCATACAATGCAATACTACTCAGCCACAAAAGCAATGAACAGACGATCCATGCAGCAGCACAGATGAATCTCAAATAATTACGACAGGTGAAGGAAGCAGAATTTTATTTAAGTTCTACAAAATGCAACCAATACATAGTTATAGCAGATCAGTGGCTACCTAGGTATAGGGGCAGTGGTATTGGAGTGATTCAAAGAGGACATAAAGAAATATTGGAGAATGTCATATATTCATTATCTTGATTGTGATGATAGCTTAATAGGTGTATACTATTGATACAGGAGCAGGGCAGGGAAGTTCTGGGTAGAGAAGGGGGGACAGTCCCTGGGGAGGCCACCACCCTCAGGCCTGTCCCCACGGACCTAAGTGAGGACAGGCACTCCTGTTTTTGCGCCCAAATGTTGCATTTTCCAAGACCACTGTGGCCGCCACACACCCCATCCTGTGTCTATAAAAACTCCGAGACCCTAGCGGGCACAGACACAAGCAGCTGGGCGTTGAGAGGAACACACTGGCAGAAGAACACACCGACAGATGCCGGCAGGCCATTAACAGCACAGCGACACGGTCACGGAGGGAAATTCAGCCCAGGGAGGTCAGAGGAAAGCCCGGCCATGGAGCGGCTGGACTCCAGGGAAAGACCACCTTCCCACTCCATCCCCCTTCTGTCTACTCATCCGTCTGCTGAGAGCTACCTTAACCACTCAATAAAACCTTGCACTCGTTCTTCAAGCCCACATGTGATCTGATTTTTCTGATACACTAGGGCAAGAACCTGGGATACAGAAAGCTCTCTATCTTGCGATAAGGCAGAGGGTCTAATTGATCTGATTAACACAAGCTGCCTGCGGACGACTAAGCTGAAAGAGCACATTGTAACACACATCAACTGGGGCTTCGGGAGCTGTGAACACTCAACCCCAGAGGCTGCTGTGGGATCAGAGCCCCAGCTCCCCGCGACCTGCCTGTCTGCATGCTCCCCCTAGGGGTTTGAGCTGCCCTGCGAGGGGGGATAAGGGAAAACTCCTACCGTTTCACTATATTAAAACTTACCAAACTGTACATATTAAATGTTGTGTACACTATTGCACTTCAACTATATTGCGATAAAGCTATTTTATAAAGAAAATAATAAAAACAAATTTTAAAAAGAAGCTATAAACCATTTGAATCAGAAGCTAAAAATAAACTATAGAAAAATGGCTTCTGCTTCTACTTAGGATATAGAAAGTCAGCACAGATATAAAAAGTACAAGGCGAGAAACCAAACAACCTACAAAACCATAGAGCGCTAAGAATGCGAAGAAACTTAAATAAATGAAAATCCAGATATTGGCAAGCCCCTCTTAAGAAACAGGAGACACAATATTGTTAAGGTTTAATATTGTTAATGTGTCAAATATCCCTAAATTGATATATAGATTAATGATTCCAGAAATCTTTTAAAAAGAAATTGACTAGATAATATTCAAATTTATATAAAAATGCAATGGCCTTTTATAAAAATAAACAAGAAAAATAACCAAAATGAAAAAAAATTGGAGGCCTTACTCCACCTGATGTCAAGACATCATATAATGCAACAGTAATCAAGACAGTGCAGTATTGGCATGGAGACAGACTAATAGATAAATGTACAGAACAGAGAGGCTAGATTTCATTTTGACAACAGTTTCAAGTCAGTTTCATTAAAGAGTGTTGAAACAATAGGAGAGCCATTTGCAATAAAACAAACATCAACCATTACTTCAAAACATAAACACAATTCCAAATGAATAAAAAACCTAAGCTGAAACCTAAAACTATAAAATTTGTTAAAAAAAAAAACAACAGTAGAAAAGCTATGTGACCTTCAGGGTACGAAATGATTTCTTAGATAGAACACAACAATGGTAAATTATTTTTAAAAATTGAATTTTATCAAAATAAAAAATTGCCATACAAAGGTAACCATTAAGAAACTTTAACAACAGAAAAAAAGCAAGCTATAACCTGAAAGAAAATATTTACAACAAACATATCAGACAAATGATTTGTATTCAGAAGAAAGAGTTCTTACAAAACAAAAACTAAAGACAAGCTAATATTAAGTGAGGAAAATATCTGAATAAGCATTCACACAAAAGAAATATAAATAGCCAACAAGTACATGAAAATATGCTCAACGGTATTAGTCTTCAGGGAAATCAAATTAAAATCACAATAAGATACCATCCATGCCCATTGTAATCACCAAAGTATTAAAAAATCTTTGACAGTACCAAGAGTTAGCAAGAATATAAACAAATTGGCATGCTCTTTGGAAAACAATCTGATAGTTTCCTAAAAATTAAACATACACTTACCATATAAGTCAATGTTCCGGTTATTTATCCAAAAGAAACGAAAACATATGGCCACACGAAGACTTGTAGACATGTACATAGCAGCTTTATTTATAACGGCCAACCGCTGGAATCAAGTCAAATGACTATCAACAAGTGAATGGATTTATAAATTGTGGTATATCTATACAATGGAATACTACTCAGCAACTCACACAACAACTGAATGAATCTCAGAACAATTATGCTGAGTGGAAAAGCAAGGTAAAAGTGCATATTGTGTGATTACATTTATATAACTTCTGGAAAATGCAAACTAACATGTAGTGACTGAATGAGATCATGGTTGCTTTGGGATAGCGGTGGAGAGAGAATTTTGGGTAAAATGGAAATGTTTGTTATCCTGTTTGTGGTAATGGCTTTATAGGCATATATGCAAGTCAAAACTGATCAAACAGATCCCTTCAGGTATGTTCACTTTAGTGTACTTCAATTATTCTTCAATAAAAAATTCTACTAATAAAAATAACACAGAAAGCCCCCAATGGTCAAGCCTAGAACAACTTGAGAAACAAAATAAACAAAGTAGTTTTAGATTATAACCCTAAGTTTAAAATAAATATCCATATATCCATACAGACATAGATAAATGATTAAATAAGTTAATGGGAAAGAAGAGAAATATATTATGTGCAGAAGAATTTCAAACAGCTTAGGTAGATACTTTACCCATTAGGAGGTAGAGTATAACGCCTTACTCCCTAAGTGTGGGCTGTGCATAGTAAATTTCTTCCAAAGAATAAAGTATGGAGAAGTTAAAAAAAAAAAAGTAAATTTACAATGGACAGCCTGGGCACGGTGGCTCACGCCTGTAATCCCAGCACTTTGGGAGGCTGAGACGGGCGGATCACGAGGTCAGGAGATTGAGACCAACCTGGCTAACACGGTGACACCCCGTCTCTACTAAAAACACACAAAAAAATTAGCTGGGCATGGTGGCGGGCGCCTGTAGTCCCAGCTACTTGGGAGGCTGAGCAAGGAGAATGGTGTGAACCTGGAGGCAGAGCTTGCAGTGAGCTGAGATGGCGCCACTGCCCTCCAGCCTGGGTGATAGAGTGAGACTCCGTCTCAAAAAAAAAAAAAAAAAAGTAAATTAACAATGGAGAAACCTATCAAACATTATCTCCAAGTGATTAAGGTCAACATCAACAGTGATAAATTGTGTTGAATGTACCCTTGATCTATCTAGCAAGATAGATCAAGAACAAAACAAAACAAAACAAAACAAAACAAAAATTTACAGCCTGGGCAACATGGTGAAGCCCTGTCTCTACAAAAGATTAAAAATATTAGCCAGACATGCTGGTATGTCCCTGCAGTCCCAGCTACTTGGGAGGCTGACATGGGAGAATTGCTTGAGAACAGGTGGTCGAGGTTGCAGTGAGCCAAGATCATACCACCACACTCCAGCCTGGGTGACAGAATGAGATTTTGCCTAAAAAAAAAAAAATAAAAATTACTAATGCTAATATCACTAACAGAAAAAATGCAACATCACTACAGGTCCTATGGACATAAGATAATAAGAAAACATAATAAACTTTTTTTTGCAAATAAATTAAAAAACAAAGATGAAATTCTTTGTAAAGTACAGCTGAACAAAATGGACACAGCAATATATTAATATAAAAAGTCTGCATGTATCTGTTAAAGAAATGGGATACTTAAATAAAGACGATGAAGTATTCACAAAGTCATTGAGAGAATAGATGAGGCTAGTATAACCCTGACATAAAACCAAGCAGGGACATTGCAAGAAATGAAAATTAGATACAAAATACAATGAAGAATGACAAAAAATCCTTAATAAAACCTTAAGAAATCAACCCTATCAAATATAAAAATACATCATGAACATGTGAGGTGTACCCAGGAATGCATTATTGGTTTATCTATTAAAAAATCAATGTATTTCACTACATTAACAGATTAAAGGAAGAAAACATCATAAATCATCATAATAGATACAGAGAAAGCATTTGACAGTAATTTGCACCTATTCATAGTATAATATTATCAGCAAAGTAAAAACAGAAGAAAAATTCCCCAATTTAATAAAGGATCTCTAGAAAAAACCTACAGCTAACATATGCAATGGTGAGAAAACAAATGGTGCCTTCATAAAAGCTGAAACCAGGCAAAATATATGCTTACCACTTCATCTTCATATTGTACTAGATGTCCTAGCCAGTACATTAAGACATGAAAAAGAAATAACAGCATAAATACTGGAAATAAGAAAAGTAAACATGCCTTGACTCACAGATGACATGATTACTTATGTATTAATAGAAAATCCTAAGAGATCCACAACAAGAAAAAAAAATCAATTAATGAGTAAATTTAGCAAGGTGGCAATACACAAAGTCAATATATGAAATTGAGTGTATTTTTTCATCCTACCAAAAATAATTTGAAAAATTAGCATTTATATACCACTTACAATAGTTAAGGATAGTTAAATACTTAGGGATAAATTTAATAAAATATGTGTAAGACCTGTAAACTGAAAACTATATAACACTTTTAGGGAAATTAAAGAAGACGTCAATACATGTATTATGTATATATCATGTTAATGGGTTGGAGGATTCAATATGTTTAGGATTACAATATATTTAGTATGTTCAAAGTGATCTATAGAATCAAAGATGGTGCCAATAAAAATCCCAGCAGATATTTTAGTAGAAATGAACAAGCTGATTCTAAAATGTACAGAAATACAAAGATTAAGGATGAGTAAAAATATATCTTGAATAAGAAAAAAGAATGTTCCATAGTGTTGAAAATGTTTTACATCTTGATAGGGGTACGGGTTATATGCATGTGTGCATTTGACAAAACTCATTGAATCATAAATTTATGATCTGTATTTGTACTGTAAACAAATGGCATCACAAAAAGAAATAACAAAAAATAAGTCCTCAGATAGTTTAATAAGCACATTACATAAAATGTTCAATAAGTATTAATTTCCATCTTGTTCACATTACCTCCCAAGGTAATATGAGCAAGGCCTCATCTCCAAATACCAGAGAAACAGAGGCCATTCTTCCTGGAGTAGACATGGATGCAATGCTAATATCTCCTTTCAGGCACAGGTGGACTGCAGGTTCGATTCCCTTGGAAATTAGGCCAAATTCAGCTAGCTCGCCAGCCAGTGGCCATCTCACAGATGGGGAGCAAAAGCAATATGCAACCCAACCTCACTCAGTTTCCTCTTTCTCATCTCTTGTCAAACCCAACTGGAAGCCAGAGAAGAAGGGAGGCTTTTGATGCAGATTGTCCTCCCACGGCCCAGAGCAGGGTGGAGAAAGGTAGAGAGACAGAGGAGTGAAGTGCAAAAAGGCAATTTGTCACTTCAGGCCACAGGTCTCTAGTCAAAGGAGAGCCACATCTGGACTTGATGAAAAGGTGTACTCTTCTGTGCATAGAAAGAAGACAGAACTGAGTATTTGGTGACAGAAGGGCAGATGGTGATAGTCATCAGGGAAGTTCGCCTGGTAAGAAGTCACAGCTGTCTGACTTGGTTTGGCCAATAGAATGTGAGTGGAAATGGCCTTGAGCCATTGCGAGGTTCATGATGCTCTCTTCTGCCTTCTGCAGCAGTGGTGGAGATGTGTAGAAAGGAACTCATGTGGGCCCTGAGTGCCTATGAGGAGCATAGATGCTCCTAGTGATCAGTGATGGATATGTAACAAGAGCCAGAAATATACGTTTGTTTTGTTTTGTTTTTAACTATCTGAGGTTTTCAGTCTCTTTTGTTGTGCCTTATAACCTAACCTATCCTGACCGATATCTTCCCTAACTCATTTTATGCATCTAGTATGACTTTGATACCAAAAGCAGAGAAGAAGATCATGAGAAAGAACCATAGGCCAATCTTATTTACAAATATAAATGCTATTATCCTAAGGAGAACATTAGTAAAGAAGGTATAAAATAGTATGCATTAGCATTAGAAAATAGTATGCAATAACATTATAAAAATTATTAAATATTAAAGGAGAAAAACTATTTCAGTGAATGCAGAGAAAGTATTTTTAAAATTGTCAACACCAGAAAACATATCAGTAGTGTTCTGGGGACAGGATGGGGGAAGAGTAGGGAGAAGCTGGAGGAAGGAATGACTTAGGGGTACAGGGAAACTTAGGGGGCGATGGAAATGTTCATTGCCTGGATTGTGGTGATGGTTTCTTGAGTGTACATGTATGTCAAAATCCATCAATCTGTACATTTTAAGTATGTTTGGTTTATCGCATGTCAATTATACAGTAAAACTTGTTTTTTTTGTTTGTTTGTTTTGTTTTGTTTTTTGAGACAGTCTTGCTCTGTCGCCCAGGCTGGAGTGCAGTGGCATGATCTCGGCTCACCGCAACCTCCACCTCCCAGGTTCAAGCGATTCTCCTGCCTAAGCCTCCTGAATAGCTGGGACTACAGGTGCCTGCCACCATCTCTGGTTAATTTTTGCATTTTTAGTGGAGGCAGGGATTCACCATGTTAGCCAGGCTGGTCTCAAACTCCTGACTTCAAGTGATCCACCCACCCCGGCCTCCCAAAGTGTCGGGATTACAGGTGTGAGCCACTGGCCCAGCCAGTAAAACTGTTTTTAAAGGTCAATGTGCATGCATGATACTCTTAGTAAGAAAGAAATGGAAGGGATTTACATCAAGCTGCAACCATCTTTATTTTTCCTTTTCTTCCTTTCACTTCTTCACATAGTTTCTGAAACCGCACTGGGCTATTCTTTCTTGATGGCTTGTCTCCATTCTTTCTGACATTGGTATTTGGGATACGATAAGTATATTTGGTTTATTTTATTAGTTGCTCTCTCTTTACCTGGGGATTTAGGGAGGTTCCAAATCGATACTGCTGGCTTCTTCTCAGACTCTTCTATTCAGCTGGTGATTTTCATCGGGGACACAGTATCAGTATTATTTAATGTAGTTCATCACTGATGACTTCCTTAAAATACTGCTCCTTAACCATACTTTCTTTTTATCAAGGAGTCAAAGACAAACCTGTCAGTGTCATCTATGCATGACCTCTTTTGCTATGAAGACAACTGAAATGCAGTCATGTCTCCAGCCCTCCCAACACATTGAAGATGATGAGAAAATGTCTTGTCCTCTCACCCCTAGATTTCACCCCCATGAAACTATTTATTTCCATTCCATGTGTAGCAGGTTAAACTGTCCCTCCTCTCCTGCTAAGAGATATGTCCAAGTCCTACCCTTCAGTACCTGTGAATATCACCTTTTTGGGAGTAGGGTCTTTGCCCATAAAATTATGTTATAGTTTTTGAGATTAAAATCATCTGGATGACCTGGGATAGGTCCCTAATCTGATGGCCAGTGTTCTTGTAAGAGAAAGAAAAGGAAAGAACACAGAGAGAAAGGATGAAAGGGTGGGCACAGAGATTAGAATGATGCATCTAGATGCTAAGCATATTTAGTCCTCTCTGGCTGCCATAACAAAATATCACAGAATGGGTAGCTTAAACAACTGAAGTTTATTTTCTCAGAGTTCTGGAGGCTGGAAGTCCTAGATCACGGTGCCAACATAGGTTCTGCCGAGGGCTCTTTCTGGCTTCTACACAGCTGCCTTCTCACTGTGTGCTCACATGGCCTTTCCTTGGTGTGTGCAGAGACAGAGAGAGAGAGAGAGAGAGAGAGAGAGAGAGAGAGAGACAGAGAGAGAGAGACAGAGAGAGAGAGACAGAGAGAAAGATATCAAGTGTTCTGGAGGCTCTTGTTTCAGCAGCGTTAATCCCACCAGACCAAGGCCTCACTCTCATGACCTAATCGATTCCAAAGGTCTCATCTTCAAATACCATCACATTTGGGGCTAGGGTTCAACATATGAATTTTTTGGGAAAACAAACATTCCATCCATAACACCAAAGAATGCCCAAGTCTGCCAGCAGCCACAAAAACCTAGGAGAGAGGCATGGAATGGATGCTCTCTTAGAATCTCCAGAAAAGGTCAACCTTCTTGATTCTGGACTTCTGGCCTCCAGAACTGAAAAAATAAATATCTGTTGTTTTAAGCCACCTAATATTTGGTACTTTATTATGGCAGTCTTAGAAAGCTAATACATTTTTCACAGTCTATTGCAATATGCTCGCCATAATTAATGAATTTCATTGAAAATGATCATAATTTTGCATATACTTGGAAAAGTTATAATTTTTTAAAGTCACAGTCCCCATTTCACTTATTCATTTCATGATGTAGTACACGTGATACATAAATACATTTTATGTAGTACACAAAATAATATTCCTTGACTATACTTCCTACCACTGCACAGATTTCATCATCATTATATCCCAAGGCTTGCTAGTAGATAGAAAATTGTATTTCAAAAGGGGAAGGGACATGTAAAAATATTTTCGCAAATAAGTACATTCAGCCTTCAACAAATGTTTTGTGGTTTTTCATTTTGTTATTTTTTTTTTATTTTTTAGAGTCAGAGTCTCACTCTGTCACCCAAGCTGGAATGCAATGGTGCAATCACAGCTCACCATAGCCTTGAACACCTGGGTTAAGCGATCCAACTGCTTCAGCCTCCCAGAACTAATAGGGATCTCCAACCTCAAATGGTATCTACAGAAGCCTTCAGCTAACCACATACTTAATGATGAAAGGTTGAATTTGTGCCCCTAAGGCCAGAAACAAGGCAAGAATGTCTACGCCCATCTCTTCTCTTCATTCTTTCATTAGAAGTTTTAGCCAGTGTAATTAAGCAAGAAAAATAAATAAATGGCATATGGATGGGTAAAAAGAAGAAAACAGCTTTCATTCACTGAACACAAGGTTATCTACACAGAAAAATCCAATGGAGTGTATGAAAAAGCTCCTAGAACTAATAAGGTTGCAGAATATAAGGTCAGCAGACAATAATCAATCATATTTATATATACTAGTAATGAATGGTAGAAATGGAAAAAAATTTTTAATTGACTACATCTACAAAGGAAATAGAAATAAATCTACCTAACCATGTACAGAATCTGAATGTTTAATTATAAAACATTAACGAGAAAAATCAAAGAAAACCTAAATAAATGGAGAGACCTATACCATGTATACTTGTTGGGAGACCCTATATAATTAAGATATTAATGGCTGGGCATGGTGGATCACACCTGTAATCCCACTATTTTGGGAGGCAGAGGCGGGCAGATCACCTGAGGTCAGGAATTCAAGACCAGCCTGGCCAACATGGTAAAACCCCATCTCTACTAAAAATACAAAAATTAGCCAGGTGTGGTGGTGCACACCTGTAATCTCAGCTACTCAGGAGGCTGAGGCAGGAGAATCGCTTGAACCCGGGAGGCAGAGGTTGCAGTGAGCCAAGATCCCACCACTACACTCCAGCCTGGAAGACAGAGTGAGCCTCCCTCTCAAAAAAAAAAAAAAGAAAAAAAAAAAGAAAAAAAAAAGTCTTCATTTTCCCCAAAGTGAGCCACAGATCTAAATCTATTTTCATCAAAACCCTGGAAAGAGTTTTTATAGGTACACATAGGCTTGATTCTAAGTTATTCAGAAAGGCAAAGGAACTAGCCCAGCCACATTTTTTTGAAAAGGAACAAACTGGAGTACTCACAATATCTGATTTAAAAAATCAATAAAAACCACAGTAGTCAAGACAGCATGCAGTTGCTGAAGGGATAGACAAATACATCAATACAACACAAAACAAAATCCAGCAACAAACCCAACAGACCCACATGATTGATTTTTGACAACTGAACAAAGTGCAAATATTACTAAATGCACAAAGGATAGCTTTTTCAACAAATGGTGCTAGAAATCTAGATATCTGCATGACCCCAAAAATGTTCCTGGACCCAATCCTCACACCTAATATAAAAATTAACTCAAAATGGGTTAGAGATATACATGTAAATTGCAAAACTATACAGTTTTTCAAAGAAAACACAGAAGATGTTTGTTGCCTGGAATTAAGCAAAGAGTACTTAGATGTGTCACCGAAAGCACAAGCCACATAATTTTTTTAAATTCTAAATTGGACTTCATAAAAATGCAAAATGTTTGCTGTGAAAGAAAACTTCTCTTAATATGATGAAAAGTCAAGCTAAAGAGCTGAAGAAAATGTTTGTAAATCACATATCTGATAACTGACTTATATAAAGAATATGTGTAAAGAACCCCAAAACTCAACAGTAAGAATATTTTAAAATCCCATCAAAATGGAAAAAAAATTACTTGAACAGAAAGTTAATGAAAAAGAATACAAGAATGGTGAATCCATCCATAAAAAGAGGCTCCATATCATAAGCTATTAGGAAATTGCGTATTAAAACCACAAGAAAAGTGAGAATTATGGTTTGGGCTCTGACTGTAAAGAGCTTGGATGTTGTTGCAGCTGTCTTTACAATCAGAGAAACTGGAAAAATGGGAAAACAATGACTTTTTTTGGACCCATCAGAGAATTGAGTTGTAGGACAAATTGTCATCCAGAAATCTGAAGAGACAGGTGAAACCAGACAGTCACAGCTGAAATCTGCTTACCTGAAGAAGCTGCTAGGGCTATAAACTGATAGGAACACTTAAATGGTAATTTTGACAAATTACTGGAGTCTGGGCATGGACTAGCTTGAGAGTGAGAAACGCCTGGTGGCTCAGTCTCGGGAGGGCCCTCATACCTTCAGGAACATGACCTCCATCAACATCACCAGGTTTCACAGTGGCAAGCCAAAGAAGAGTCCCTCCTGGCTCTGGAAGAAAGAGGAAAAAAGCAATCCTTGTGAAGTGTATCCAGAGCATTCTCCATGTGACAGGGTTACTCTTAATGGGAAAAAACCTTTATCAGCATCTTTTCCCAGAGCTGTGGAAAAGGAAATTCCTCTCAACCCAGCCCCACAGCCTGGATGTCTCTGTCTCACCTAAGGGGGCAGCGGGAAGGAGGAATGCTGGGCCAGAAGAAACACTTATGAGAGTCACAGGCCCACTAACAGGCTGAGACAGGGACACAGGCTCACTAACAGATTGAGATTTCACTGGAAGATTATACAACACTTCCCCTTACCCATACCTTACCACCACACCAACAGGGCCCCACTGTAATCACAATGGCTTACAAATAAAGAACTATACAACACAGACTGTCTCTAAGGAGGAGTACACAGGGAGGCCCAAATTCAAGAGAGGAGACAGAAACAAGGACACTAGAGCAATGTGAAGCCTCTGATCCTTACAGCCACACCAGACCTTAAACATACATACCTATGTTTAAATATTAATATATGTGTGTATTATATATATATGTGTGTGTGTATGTGTATTTATGTATGTGTGTATTATATATACCTCTTTGGTGAACACTGGCTGATACAGGCTGTAATGGAAAAAAGTAGACAACCTGCAGCTGAGCACGATGGCTCATGCTTATAATCTCAGCACTTTAGGAGGCTGAGGTGGGTAGATCACCTGAGGTCAGGAGTTTGAAACCAGCCTGGCCAACATGGCAAAATCCCATCTCTACTAAAAATACAAAAATTAACTGGGCTTAGTGGTGTGCACCTGTAATCCTAGCTACTCAGGAGGCTGACAGGAGAATGGCTTGAACCCAGGAGGCAGAGGTTGCAGTGAGCCGAGATCATGCCATCGCACTCCTGCCTGCATGACAGAGCAAGACTCCATCTCAAAAAAATAAAAAATAAAAAATAAATGAATAAATAAAAATAAATAAATTTTTTTAAAAAGTAGACAACCTGCAAGAATACATGGGTAATGTAAGCAGAAAGATGTAAATTCTAAGAAAAAAAATGCTAAAAATCAAAAGCACTGTGACAGACAATGAAGGATGCCTTTGATGGGCTTGTCACACAACTTGACATGGCTGAGGAAAAGAATCAGTGAGCTTGAATATAGGTCCACAGAAACTTCCCAAACTGAAATGGGAAAATAATAATAAATGGAAAAAGAAGTACAGACATCCAAGATCTGTGGATAACTTCAACAGTTTTAACATATGTGTAATTATTTGACCAAAATAGAAGAGAGAACATAGTAGAATAAATGTTTGAAGTAATAATAGCTGAGAACGTTCCAACATGAATGACAGACACCAAGCTGTAAAGCTGTGTAGGTCAGACAAAAACAAACAGGATTAAAGAAACAAAAAATGAAACTAGGCATATAATTTTCAAACTGCAGAATACCGAAGCAAAAACCAACAAAAAAAAGGACAGAAAAAGTGAAAATCTTGAAAAAAGCTGAATTGGGGGTATGAGTGCAGTGGCTTGCCTATAGAAAAATAGGACAAGAAACACAGGGAATTTCTCATCAGAAACCATCCAAGCAAGTAAAGAGTGGAGTGAGATATTTAAAGGTTTGAAAGACAAAAAATAACCAACTAAGAATCTATATCTAGAAAAATTATTCTTAAAAAATGAAGGAGAGGCCGGGCACGGGGGCTCACGCCTGTAATCCCAGCACTTTGGGAGGCCGAGGCAGGCGCATTTTGAGGTCAGGAGATTGAGACCATCCTGGCTGACACGGTGAAACCCCGTCTCTACTAAAAATACAAAAAATTAGCCGGGCGTGGTGGCGGGCGCCTGTAGTCCCAGCTACTTGGGAGGCTGAGGCAGGAGAATGACGTGAACCCGGGAGGCGGAGCTTGCAGTGAGCCGAGGTCGCGCCACTGCACTCCAGCCTGGGCGACAGAGCGAGACTCTGTCTCAAAAAAAAAAAAAAAAAAAAAAAAAAAGAAGAAGAAAAATAGGGACTTACTTGCTGAGGTAATTCACCATCAGACCTGTCCTTCAAGAAATGTTAAAAGATTTTCTCCAGACAGAAGGAAGATGATGTAGGTCAGAAACTTGGATCTATATTAAGAAAGGAAGTGTTGGAGAAGCAATAAATGGAGGTAAAATGAAATCTTTTATTTTTATTTTCATTAATAATTTAAAGGATAACTTCTTATTTAAAGCAAAAATAGTAACAGGTCATTGTAGCATATGGATAAGAGAAAAGACTAACAGCAATGCTACGAGGAATGGGAGGGAGGATTGGGAACACACTCTTATAAGATATCTACGTTACATGTGAAACAATACCATGATTTGAAGGTGAACACACATTAGTAAAAGAAGAAAATCTATATTAGAAACTCTAGGCTGGACATGATGGCTCAGACCTGTAATCCCAGCACTTTGGGAGGCCAAGGCAGGCAGATTGCTTGAGCTAACGAGCTTGAGACCAGCCTGGACAACATGGTGAAATCCTGTCTCTACAAAAATTGCAAAGATTAGCTGGGCATGGTAAGCTACTCAGGGGGCTAAGCTGGGAGGATGGCTTGAACCCAGGAGGCAGAGGATGCAGTGAGCCGAGATGGCACCACCGCACTCCAGCCTAGGCAATAGAGCCAGACTTTGTCTTAAAAAAAAAGCAAAGCAAAGAAAAAAGAAACTCTAGAATGGCCACTAAAAAATTCTTTAAAAAGTATAATTGATACTCTTTAAGAGAAGATAAAATAGAACCACACAAAATGCTCAATTAAAATCGGAGAAGGCAGAAAAAGCCGCCACTGGCAACCAGTAGGAAACAGTTACAAATATGATTGATATTCATCCAAATAGATCAACAATTGTGTTAAATGTGAATGGTCTAAATACACCAATTAAAAGACACAGATTGCTAGAGTAGATAACAAAACAAGACCCCACTATATCTTGTTGACATTAAATATAAAGTATCTGTTTGGTTAAAAGTAAAGGGATGAAGAAAGATATACCATGTTAACCCTGATCAAAAGAAAACTGGAGTAGCTGCATTAATTTCAGATAAAAGGGACTTGAGAAAAAGGAAAATTATCAGGGATGTGAGGGGAGGGATAGGTAAGAAACTCATAATCATAAAGGGGCTAATTCTCCAAGAATACATAATAACCCTAAATATGCATGTGCCTAAGAATAAAATGTCAAAATAAGTGAGGAAAAAATGATAAACCTGAAAGAAAAAATGGTCCAATCCACTATCATAGGATACTTCAACATTTCTCTATCCATGATTGATAAGATCAGATAGGCAAAAAATCGGTGAGGATATAATTGACCTAAACAGCATTATCAACTTTATTTAATTGATATTTGTAGATCTAGCAATAGCACAATACACATTCTTCTCAAGCTGGCATGGAATAATCACCAACATTGGCCACATTCTGATCTATAAAACACACCTTATCAAATTAAAGAAAAATAGAAATTAAACAAAGTATGTCTTCATACCACAATGGAAGTAACCTAGAAATCAAGAACAGAATGATAGCTGGAAAGTCCCAAATTATTGGAAACTAAACAACACATTTTTAAAAAACATTTGGGTCAAAGAGGAATCTCAAGAATAACTAAAAACATTGATCTAAATAAAAATTAAAGTACAACTTTTCTAAATTTGTGGGATGCAGTAAAAGCGGGGATATTTATAGCAGTAAATGTATACATTTGAAAAGAAGAAAAATCTAAAATCAACAACCTAAATTGTCACCTTGGATAATAGAGAAAGAAGAGCAATTTAAGCCTAAAACAAGCAGAACAAAGAGGAATAATAAAAATTAGAGAATGAAATTGAAAATAGAAAACAATAGAAAAAAATCAACAAAACAAAGAAAAAGCTGAAAAGATGATTAAAATTAATAAACCTGTCCAGGTTAACCAAGAAAAAAAGACATTGGGCATAGTTTGCCAATATCAAAAAATGAAAGAGGCGTCATCTCTACTAATTTCATAGATGTTAAAAGAATAATAAAGGTTTATGATGAACAACTTTACACCCACAAGTTTGAATATTAGATAAAAAGGACCGATTCCTTGAATGATACAACTACATTTTACAGAAAAGCAAACAGATCACCTAATAGCTCTGTATCCACAAAGAATCAATAATTAATGAAGTCTCAAAAAAATCACCAGATTCAGATGGTTTCACCAGGGAATTTTACCAAACATTTATGGAAGAATTGATATAGGTTCTTTACAATTTCTTACAGAAAATACAAGTAAATATTACTTCTTAACTCATTTTATGAGGCCAGCATTACCGGCATACCAAAATAAATTAAAGACATTACAAAAAAGAAAACTATAGCCAAATATTTCTCATGAACATAGATGCAAAAGTCTTCAACAAAATATTAGCATATTGAATACAATGGTGTATAAAAACAATTATATACCATGCCCAAGTAGAATTTGACCCAAGTATGCAAGACCGGTTCCTTGAAAATCAATTGAAAATCAATGTAACCCATCATATCAACAAGCTAAAGAAAATAAAATCACATGACCGTATCAATAGATGCAGAAAACGAATTTGGCAAAATCCAACATTCATTCATGATAAAAACTCTGCAAACTAGGAATAGAGAGAACTTCCTAATCTTGATAAAGAAGAACTAAAAAAATCCTACTGCTAACATCATATTTAGTGGTAAGAAACTGGATACTTCCCCTAAATTCAGGACAGGACTGTTAAGAGAATGAAAAGACAAGCTTCCACTGGAAGAAAATACCTGCAAAACACGTATCAGATAAAGTACTTCTATCCAAAATACACAAAGAACTCTTAAAACTCAACCATAAGAAAACAACCTTTTTTTTTTAATGGGCAAAAGATGTGAACAAACATCTCACCAAAGAAGATATACAGGTGCATATGAAAAGTTGCTCCACATAATTTTTCAGTAGAAAATTGAAAATTAACAACGATATAGCACTATATGCCTACTAGAATGTCTAAAATTATAGATGATAGACGGATGGATGGATGGATGGACAGATAGATAGATAAAGATAGCCAATATCAAGTGCTGGTGAGGATGAAGGAAAGGGATTCATATTTGCTGACAGTTATAAAAATGCTATAGCCACTCTAGAAAACTGTTTGGTTCTTATAAAGTTAAACAAATTTACCATAAGATCTAGCAATTGCACTCCTAGATATTTAGTCAACTAATTTAAAAAATTTGTCCGTACAAAACGCTGCATGCAAATGTTTATAGAATGTTTATTCACAGTCGCCAAAAACTGGAAACCACGCAAATATTCTCCAGTGGGTGACTAAACAAAATGTGGTACAAATAATGAGACTCCCCTCAACAATAAAAAGGACTATTACTATACACAATAACATGGATGAATCTCCAAGGTATAATGATGAGGGAATAAAGTCAGTTTCAAAATGTTACATATTGCGTAATTCCATGTATACGACACACTCACAAAGACAAAACCGTAGCAATGGAGAACCTATCAGTGGTTACCAAAAGTTAGGGTTGGCGGGGGCGCTGTTATAAAAGGGCAGAACTAGGGAGCTCTTTATTGCGCTAGTGGTTACATGAATCCAAACAAGGGTTCAAGATCACAGGATTATATATCAAATAACCAATTTTACTGAATATCAATTTTAAAAGTCAAATAAATTATTAAACACTATTAAACATATACAATGTTTAAAGTCAAGCAAAAAGTCCTAAACTAAAAGTAAAATAATGATTGTTTAGAAGTACACCAGGATGGTATGGGTCATCTGCAATATAACGTCCTGTTTGGGATAAGGAAGCGTGACTACATCTACAGGGTGACGTGAGAAGGGCCCAGAGCAGCGAGCAGGTCTTGCCATCAGGGAGGGGAACCATCTGAAGGGGTGGCGTGAAAAAGTCTTTAGAGGAAGGCAAAAAATGGGAAAAGGTCAGAGAACCTTTTTGGGAGGTAAAAGGACCAGCTTTGGATTAGGCGTGATGCACAGGCCCCAGCGCAGGGCGTAGAAACTGCAGCCTGGACAGCCTGGGTGGGAGAAAGTTTGGGATGTTTAGGAAGGAAGGGTGCGCCAGCCAGGGGGAAGAAACGAGACAGGTGGCCGCAGATGGCGCGAGTCAGGCAGCAGGAAAAGGCAGGCTGTTTAAGCAGCCTTTTCCTGCAGTCCAGGCGGAGAGCGCAGAAGGAGCACCCCGAGGGGCAAGCATGGGAGAGCCGGAGCGGGCTCGCGGGCGCGCGGGCGCTGTACGTCCCCTCCTCGGCTCGCGGCCGCGAGCACGCGCTCTCCGTGCCCGGCCCCGGAGGGGCGGGGGCGGGGCACAGGCGCGGCGCGCGCACGTCCGCGCGGGGCGGGGGCGGGGCGCGAACGCGACCGGTGACGTCAGAGGAGGGCGCGCGCCCGGAGGCAGCAGGCGGAGCCGGGAGGCGGGCGTTGTGCGCGGCCGCGGGCGGAGCGGAGGGGCGCGAGGGGCGGAGCGGAGCGCGGGAGGAGGCGGGGGAGGAGAGGCCACCGGGACCGCGAGCGGCAGCTGGGGAGGGGGCCGCGGAGCCCGAGCGGGAGCAAAACAGCTGATCTGGTTTTCCTTTAAAGCGAGAGAAAATGGAAGTCGGGTAGCGGCGACTGCGGCGCTGCGGGCTGGCGGAGCGGAGCGGCGCGGCGCGGCAGGTAAGACGGCGCTGGCCGCGGTGCTGCCGGCGGGCGGCGGGGCCGGGCCCGCGGACCAGGCAGGTGCGCTCTCCGGGCGCGGGGCCGGCGCCGTCTCCTTCCCGAGCTCCGTGGCGAGGCAGGTGGGCGTTGAGGCCGGGCGACCGCGGGGCCGGGGCGCGGGGACGCGGGGGGCGCGGGCCCCGGCTGGGCTCGCCGGCGCGTCTGCATTGCGGGCTCCGCTCCGGACCCCGCGGGCTCCCGGGCCACCGGCTCCGGCCCGGCGTGGCGCGCCTCTCTCGGGCAGGGCGCGGCGCTACCGCTGGGTCGGGGCTGCTGCCTCCGCTCAGCCCTTTGGCTGTCCGCACTGGAACGTGATGCCAGGCGTGGGGCGACCGACCCCTCGGTCCGTGCGCGCGCGTCGGGGGTCCCGCGGCTCTTGCAGACGGCCGGGCAGGGCCCGGCCCCGAGCCGCGCGCGAGGCCGCTCGCCGGGCACCGGAGCTGTGACTGCGTGGGTCCCCGCGGCCCGGCGCACCGCCGTCCCGCTCGCTCTGCTGGGTCTCGCTGGACAGCAGGCAAACCATTAAGGCAATTTGGCTGTGAACCCAGAGGCCTTCCCTAGTATCTCCTCACTGGAGGGGAAAAAATTGCATCTGCGGTGCTTTAAGTGCTCCTTTAAATTTGGGAGATGTCAGTGATGTCATCATTAACTAAAACTTTCCTTCATTGGACACAACCGCTCAAGTGTACCCTCCTCCCTCCCGGTGAAGCTATTGCAGCCCTTTGAGAATCTCTGTAATAAAATGGATTTGCCTCTGCTCTGTAAACTCAGCTACCTCACACAAGTGCAAATGACTTTTATTTCTGTCTATTGGCTTGAGAATGTATAGATTTAAGAGTAGCTGAAGGGAAACTTGTGAGACCCCGATCAGGGAAACGCTTCATCCACAGCACAAGGATCCAGGGGAAAGTCATGTATGACATGCACATGGTTACCGCCAGGTGATACCTTTGTAAATGGAAGTGGGCTGTAAGAGGAACAATTTTTAAAAATATGATGAGGCAGATAATGTGTCCAGGAAAAGGTTGACAGCGGGGCCTAAATCTTTACAGGTCTTAATTGCTTCAGGAAAATCTGCAGGTGTCCTTCACCATCCTCCTCCTCCTCCTCCAGGGTGTGCCCGGAGAAGCCTGCCCTGGGCGAAGGCGGGGAGGCAGGTTCACTAGGGTCCTCCCAGCAGCCGTGTGTCCCACCAGCTTCAAAGGCCTCTTCAAGACCCAAAGAGGGTTCACGAGAACAGAGGTAGATCTGCACGGCACACTCAGTTCTGGATAAACATTCCCCACTAAATGGGATCAACACTCCATTATTTTATTGTGAGTGTGCCATTAGTACCAATTCTTATGGGAACAAAACTAAGCAAGTTCCCAAGGCAATCTGAGTATCTACTCAAGCCTATCATATCGAAAGGATATCCAATAAGGGACAAAAGTATTGACATTTTTGTATTTAATAATTAATGACACCTCCTAATTGGTTAAAATAAGCATGCCTTAAATTGTTAGTGTGATTTTATTGGATCTGTAAGGAATTTAATACCATATGCCACTCAAAAGTTGGGACCTGGTTAGGAACTTCAATCTCTTGAACCCTGTATTGGTGTGAAAAGAATGGGAAAACAGTGGTTACTTAGGCCTTTAGTGTTCAGGCTGATAATGGGTGGAAATCGCCGCTTTACGAAGTATTGCCACGTGCGGGTCTCACTTGGGCCTGGATCATAGATGGCAGGTTTTCCCTTAGAAAGTAACTCCTGAGGCCCCCAAGCTTGGTGGAGAAGGAGAGGGGACACCTTTCTCTGAGCAAGTGTGTGTAATTCTTGGCCTCTGACCTCCTGATGGTGCCGCATTTATTCCCAATGGTGTGCCTAAGTGAGATGAGAAACTGGCTCCAAGTGAGCTGCTTTTGGATGACACTGCTCCCGCTGTGTGTAGTTGCTGTAGAACTTAACTCTTGAGTTGTGGCAGAGATTCTTCTTTACAACATGTCCTCAATAGTATGAAGATTGGTTTTTCAGGGTCTGCATTGCAAACTCTTTGAAAATGGAGTCTGTGAAATCAATCTGGCCCCGTATCCATCTTTTTGTTTTCACCTGTAGACTCGTGAAAATATTCACCACGTTTATGGTTTAACTCGCTGTAGTACTAGTAAAACTTCAAACGGAAGTGTTTCCACTAAATCTTTAGGTATGGGTCACTTATTTCCCCAAAACATTTTAAAACAACCGCTTTAAAGCCTCTTCATCCCGCTTGTATGTTTAGAGTGCTTAAATTTGGGAGTTGTCAGTGATTTCCCAAAAGAGATCACTGTCACATCTTCCGTTTCTAAGAAGTAAAAATTGCCCTGATTTTCTTTCTGTTCCCTTTGGGATATTAAGGTCATTTATTCATGCCTTAGGCCCACGGAAGAAAGGTTGAATTAGCTCTTGTGGGCCAGCAGGGGGCGTGCTAAACGCGGCTTGGCGGGCCTGTGTCAGAGCCACCTTGGGAGTGGATCTCCAAGTTGAGGTGGGTGCATGTGTGTGCGCCGGTGTGCTCCGCCCCCGCCCCCCGCCCCTCCCCCTCCGCTCCCGCATGCCTGTCTTCCAAGAGATGGAAACTTAAGGAAGGGTTGGGGGCACATACTTGAATGACCAGAGGTTGTGGAGTCTGGAATGTAGGCCTCCCTAGCAGAGATTGCTTCAGTGGCTCCATGTCTTTGGAAGGTGGCTCTTAGCACACTTTGAGTCTCAGGATTGAGTGCCTTCTCAGACTGCGGAAGTGAGTGTTAGTTTGGAGAGGAGAAAGTTGACTTCAGTGAACTACAGGCTGGTGTCCTGGTCATGGCGTGAATGTGCCAGCCAGGGCAACCCCGTGGAAATCCTCTCCTGCACACCCTTGATGTTTGCTCCTGGCTTTGACTCCCGATTGACTTAGGCCCTGGGACCCTGTGTGGTAGTACTTCCCAGAGGGGCCTATTTGACCCCTTGCACTGAATTATAGGTGGCGGATGTCCACTTAGGAAGTAATTCCTGTGGCCCCCAAGCCTGGTGGAGGAGGGAAGGGGCACTTTGCTCTGAGCAAGCTGTGTGCAAGTCATGGCCTCTGACCTTCTGATGGTGCCACATTTATTTCCATGACGTGCCTAAATGAGATGGGAAGGGCTCTTGGCCTCAAAATTTCTCTGATGAAAAACGTTTCGTTACTGTGCTTTTATTTTTCCCTATAAAATGAAAACAAGAAAAAGCAACTGTGCTTTTTCACTTAAAATGTGCTTTATCTGATTTTAAGTGTGTGCCAGGTTATTCAACCACATGTTCCCTGGGAGACTTTTCCTCGCAGGGACTGAACTCAGAGAGGCCAGCTTGTGCTCCAGGGCTATTTTGGTGAGTTGGGATGGGTGTTTCCCATGCTTAGATGGTCATTGCAGCATCTGGGTGTGTTACTGAAGACCAAAGACTCCTCTCTCCTACTGAGGTTCCTCATGGAGGCCCCATGCGAAAGGGAACATCACACTTTAAAAGGAAAGAAGTTTCACAGATGCCCTACTAGAGAACTAGCCCAGTGCTATGACTGGGCATTTCTTTATGCTTCTCATTCCATTTAAATTGTGTGGAAAACTGAACTACTGATTTCAAGGGGGCAAATGGGAATAACATGTTTTTCAGCTTTAGTGAATCAGGCTCTTCACCTTGATTGAACACTGTAAATGGTTAAAGGGGAAGCGCCACTACATGTAAAATAGGTGATGCCAAATCCCTTTAGAAGCTGTTCATCCTTGAGGACAAAATGGGAATAAGATATGCTGGTTCTTTTTTGTAACGTATTTAATGTGAAAATATTTTACCCTTGAACCTTGGAAAAAGAATTTTATTTGCCTATTGGTAGACTGCCATGTCTCCCAAAAAGTTTGTGTGTGAGACCAAGAATAAGATGGCCTTAACACAGATGCCACAAGGGGGGAACCGCCTTCATCACACTTTTGGAATGGTGTTCTTCATCATTCATAGTAACAGACGGGAGAAGTGGGTTAAAAATAAGTCTTTAAAAAGCTGAAATGGAGAGAAGGGCCGGACGCTGCCTTATTACTTGCCTGTGTTGTGGAGGCGTGTTTAGCTGGCTGGTTTGCACACAGCATTTCTGGACCAGGAAGTGGGGGAGTATAGACTAGGACTGGGAGGGAGTGGGCCATGCAGCAGCTACAGCTGGCCAAGGTCTGGCCTGTCGTGCTCTAGGTTCCTCTTGGCAAAGGGAAAGAGTTAGTCTCCCATGCATCTAAAGCCTTGTTTGGTAAAATTGCATGATTCCACAAAACCCCAGTCCTTGCTATTAGCAATTACTGCTCTACAGCATCTCACATTCTGAGAAGTCAAATACACATTAATGCTAATACAAGTTTTAAATACATCTCTCTTAGTTAAGTAGATAAGTCTAAAGTAAACTCATTTTGTAGGATTGAAGTATTTTGCGTTTCTCCTTCCAAGGAAATATTTTCTATTTGAGCATATTTTATTCTTAATCTCGTTTTCCTTATAAATATAATGGAAATTTGATGTCTGAATGAATACACATGAGTAAGATGCAGTATTGACTTTTATGAAATATAAAATTAGACCTTGGAAATTCATTTCCTTGTCTGTTCAGCGTTTCATTTGTTTTATTAGATTACTGTTAAGTTTCACATGGTGCTGGGGATTGGTGTGAACAGACCATACACCCATCCCTCTGTGAGATTAGATTAAGTTTCTCAGTTACTGAGACAAAGGTTTAGGAGCTCACTCAAGAGGAGGTGGCTGCCTGGAGTGAGAGCAGACGTCTGTCTGTGGTGCAGACAGGTTGAACCTTGCTACCTCTGAGAAGACCCCAGTTTTCATGCCCCCAGGGCTAACACACCCATCTTCAAATAATTTACCCAAATAATTTCTGCGCTCACATTTTAGGAACTTTCTATGAATTAAGTTCTCCGAGTTTTTACAGTAAGCTTAGGGTTAGCCTGTTAGCCTGTCATGTCTTCGTTGCAGAAGAGACCACACAATGCACAGTGTCCTGGGACTCAGCACGTCCTCCTTCCCCAGATCACCTTACATCATCCCTGAAGTCCATGCAATACCCTTTTATCTTGGGGGTCTAAAAACCATACCATGGTTGCAGCCCATTTCCTCACAATTCCTCTAATGATGATTTGAGGTTTCAAGACAACGTGTGTTATTGTAGTGTGGGCAACACATTTGCATGTATAATTTTTCATGCCTTTTACAAAAATTGTTTGACATCCAAGAGGTACATAGTTAACTTTTTCTTTTTAAAATGTATGAATTGGAGTATTTGTTTTGACTGTCTGTTAAATAATATACCATCTCTTGAAAGAATCATCACTGAACAGTAAAAATAAATGAGACATGCTTCCAGCTCACTTGGACTTGATGACCAGTTGTGTGACCTTGGGCACAACCCCAGGGGGGGGCCACAAGGGCAGAATATCTCTTGGGCCATCCTGTAGGCTTTAGGGTGGAGCAGATGAGTGAGTGTATGCCATGGGTTCTTAAGTTCTAGATTGATAAGTTGTTCAATAAAAGGAACTGGAGACAGTATTTGTCTCACTTACCATCAGCCCAGTTTCTATCCTTTGACAGTTGATGTAGTCATAGTTTGCACTTGTAACCAAGGCATTGCTTAGATGAACTTGCTTTGACTTGTGTGTGTGTGTGTGTGTGTGTGTGTGTGTGTGTAGGAAGAGGAGGTGTGGGTAAAAAGAATGGAGGGGCTTCTGTGGCTTGGGGATTCTTGGAGTTAAAAGTCATTAGCCATGATATAGTTTGGCTGTATCCCCACCCAAATCTCAACTTGAATTGTATCTCCCAGAACTTCCATGTGTTGTGGGAGGGACCCAGAGGGAGGTAACTGAATCATGGGGCTGGTCTTTCTCATGCTATACTCGTGATAGTGAATAAGTCTCACAAGATCTGATGCATTTATCAGGGGTTTCTGCTTTTGCTCCCTCTTCATTTTTCTCTTGCCACCACCACGTAAAAAGTGCCTTTCGCTCCCTGCCGTAATTCTGAGGTCTCCCCAGCCGTGTGGAACTGTAAGTCCAATTAAACCTCTTTTTGTTCCCAGTTTCGCATATGTCTTTATCAGCAGGGTGAAAACAAACTAATACAGTAAATTGGTACCAGTAGAGTGGGGCATTGCTGAAAAGATACTCGAAAATGTGGAAGTGACTTTGGAACTGGGTAACAGGCAGAGGTTGGAACGGTTTGGAGGGCTCAGAATAAGACAGGAAAATGTGGGAAAGTTTGGAATCTCCTAGAGACTTGTTGAGTGGCTTTGACAAAAATGCTGACAGCAATATGGACAATAAGGTCCAGGCCAAGGTGGTCTCAGATGGAGATGAGGAACTTGTTGGGAACTGGAGCAAAGGTGACTCTTGTTATGTTTTAGCGAAGAGACTGGTGGCATTTTGCCTCTGCCCTAGAGATTTGTGGAACTTTGAACTTAAGAGAGATGATTTAGGGTATCTGGCAGAAGAAACTTCTAAGCAGCAAAACATTCAAAAGATGACTTAGGTGCTGTTAAAAGCATTCCATTTTAAAAGGGAAAGAGAGCATAAAAGTTCAGAAAATTTGCAGCCTGACAATGCAGTAGAAAAGAAAACCCCATTTTTTGAGGAGAAATTCAAGCCAGCTTCAGAAATGTGCATAAGTAGCAAGGATCCTAACGTTAAACACTAAGACCATGGGGAAAATGTCTCCAGGCCACATCAGAGACCTTCATGGCAGCCCCTCTGGAGAACAGGTCTGGAGGCCCAGGAGGAAAAAGTGGTTTCATGGACTGGGCCCAGGGTCCCCGAGCTGTGTGCAGCCTAGGGACTTGGTGCCCTGTGTCTCAGCCATTCCACCCGTGGCCAAAAGGGGCCTACATAGAGCTCAGGCTGTGACTTCAGAGGGTGGAAGCCTCAAACCTTAGCAGCTTCCAGGTGCTGTTGAGCCTGTGGGTACACAGAAGTCAAGAATTAAGGTTTGGGAACCTCCACCTAGATTTCAGAAGATGTATGGAAATGCCTGGATGCCCAGGTAAAAGTTTGCTGCAGGGGTGGGGCCCTCATGGAGAACTTCTGTTATGGCAGTGCAGAAGAGAAATGTGGGGTCAGAGCCCCCACACAAGTCCCTCCTGGGGCACTGCCTAGTGGAGCTATGAGAAGAGGGCCACCATCTTCCAGACCACAGAATGGAGATCCACCAACACTTTGCACCGTGCACCTGGAAAAGCCATAGACACTCAACACCAGCCCCTGAAAGCAGCCAGGAGGGAGGCTGTACCCTGCACAGCCACAGGGGTGAAGCTGCACAAGACCACGGGCATCCATCTCTAGCATCAGCGTGACCTGGATGTGAGACATGGAGTCAAAGGAGATCATTTTGGAGCTTTAAGATTTGACTGCCCTGCTGGATTTTGGACTTGCCTGGGCCTTGTAACCCCTTTATTTTGGCCAATTTCTCCCATTTGGAATGGCTGTATTACCAAATACCTGTACCCCCATTGTATCTAGAAAGTAAGTAGCTCGCTTTTGATTTTACAGGCTCATAGGCAGAAGGGAATTGCCTTGTCTCAGATGAGACTTTGGACTGTGGACTTTTAAGTTAATTCTGAAATGAGTTAAGACTTTCAGGGACTGTTGGGAAGGCACAATTGGTTTTGAAATGTGAAGACATGAAATTTGGAGGGGCCAGGGGCGTAATGATATGGTTTGGCTGTGTCCTCACCCAAATCTCAACTTGAATTGTGTCTCCCAGAATTTCCACATGTTATGGGAGGGACTCAGGGGGAGGTTATTGAATCACAGGGGATGGTCTTTCCTGTTCTATTCTCGTGATAATAAGTAAGTCTCACAAGATCTGATGGGTTTATCAGGGGTTTCCGCTTTTGCTTCTTCCTTATTTTTCTCTTGCCACTGCCATGTAAGAAGTGCCTTTCACCTCCCGCCATGATTCTGAGGCCTCACCAGCCATGTGGAACTGTAAGTCCAATTAAACCTCCTTTTGTTCCCAGTTTCGGGTATGTCTTTATCAGTGGTGTGAAAATGAACTAATACAAGCAAGCTCTGTTAAGCCATGCTAAGTGAAGTTCCTCTCACTCAGAGTAGATAGTGAACTCCCCAGGAAGCCGGTTATGTCTCCTGTATCTCAGGTGCTGCTGTGCATAAGAATAACAGGCATACAAGGGCTCATTGGGCAGGATCATTACAGAACGTACTTCCTTATCCTTGGGGATGATGAAAGATTAGTCCTTTACATGAAAAACTAGGGGGTGGGAGAGAGGAAAAGAATAGCATTCCAAAGGTAGAGTCCTGGGAGTAGATTTCAGGGAGGAGAGTGGGCAGTGACTGTGACCTGAGGTACTACCAGAGAGGGTGGTCTTGGCATTTTCCCCTGGGGGAGGCATGACACCAGGCTAGGGTCTGCACTGTCACCCCCACCCTAAGTATATTCCCTTGCAGAGCCTAGAGCTGCTCCCAGAGCATGTCCTTGGCTCTGAGACCACTGGCCATCTCTTGCCATTGGTGTTGACTGCCATGGTGAAGGACACAGGGGTGTCTGTGCCATCTGTGGGATGACATGGTCCCCCCAAGGAAGGATGTGGGTCCTTTGCAAGTACAGCATTAGATTATTAGATTGAGTGAAAACTCTCTGGTTGTCTGTTTAACTTGGCATTGTGGGTCTGCAGCTATTGGGTAGGCACATTGAAAGGCTGTACTTAATCCCTTGGAAATATGTCCTAGAATTGCCAGGATGGGTTGCAGTTCATCCCCAAATCTCTTGATTATTCTGTCTCTACCTTGTTGAGGTATTGAATGTGAACTCAGCTCTTGGGTCCACGTGGTTTTAAGTGCCCACTGACTCTGGGTTCTCAGACACGGCATGCAACCAGTTGGGACATCCCTCCAGGGTCCTCTGCCTGTTCTGGAAGAGGTAGACAAGGTTTCTTCTACCAAAGCTGACTTATCCCATTTACAATCTGGCAAGCAGTATGTTCAGAAATGCATCATCAGAAAAGGTGCTTCAGGGGCCTAGAAAAGGAGTGGATACAGGTGAGCCAGCCCACTGCTTAGCATGTATGGTTTATTAGAAGATCGGTGTGTGGTTGCATTCACATTAGACTCTTTCCATGCCCGTTGACTAGTGACTAGAGAACCTGGTCCAGGCTGGGGAAAGAAAGTGCCCCCAGCCTAGAGGAGGCCTCATTCTGGCTTGGGTCCCCACTCTGGGGATATTCTCTAGGTCTTAACTGAACATGTGAAATGAAGAACCGCAGCTGCCTACTCTGATACCCCTTTCAACTCCATGATTCTGTACAAAATTAGTTCCCTAGTTCTCCCAAAGTGCTGAGTGATCAAGGGGAAGGGAAGCCCTGCTCAATGCTGTGAGAGAACAGGTAGGAAAAATTAGGTGTCTTTTAAAAATATTTATCTCTGGCTGGGTGTGGTGGCTCATGCCTGTAATCCCAGCACTTTGGGAGGCTGAGGCAGGCAGATCACGAGGTCAGGAGATCGAGACCATCCTGCCTAACATGGTGAAACCCCGTCTCTACTAAAAATACAAAAAAAAAAAAAAAAAAAATTAGCTGGGCATGGTGGCGGGCGCCTGTAGTCCCAGCTACTTGGAAGGCTGAGGCAAGAGAATGGCGTGAACCCAGGAGGCGTAGCTTGCAATGAGCCGAGATTGCACCACTGCACTCCAGCCTGGGCAACAGAGCGAAACTCCGTCCCAAAAAATATATATATATACATACATATATATATATATATATATATACACACATACATCTATATATACACACATACATACATATATATATATATATATATATCTCCACTTCTGGGGTCGAGGAGAATACTGAGCATTTGAACAAGTATTTATAATTAGAAATGAGTTGTGTGGACATCGTTCCTCCCTTTGACTCTTAAGCCCTTGAGGAGAAGCTCATGCATTATTTTTTATTACATCTCTGAGGCACCTTGTTCAGAACAGTCTCTCCATTCATGTTTGTTAAATGCATTTAATAGCTCTATGGGAATTAAAATTAGAAATTTAATCATTTTTTCTCGAATTGCTTAGCTCCCATGAGTTCAAAAGCATCGCAGTTGAGAAAGTTGCTTATATAAAATTTGAAACATTTCATACTTAAGCTTGCAGTTCAGTGGCATGCAAAATTGTGTTTACTTGGGTTGCAAATAAACAAAAACCAGATAATTTACTGATTAGTTGTAATGGGACTTGCTTGTCATACAGCAGAGTGTGAGTTCAAAGAAGAATTATAGTTTCAGATTTTCCATTCCATAGATTTTTAAGAATGAAATAAATTAGTTGTACTACCTTGAAAATGTTAGTGATAGAAAAGAGAAAATGGAAGGTCACATGGATATGTCATATTTGAAACAATCCTTAAGGAAAAAAGAAAATTCATAATGGAAGAAAAGACATGTGATCGATTAAGATAATTGATTACAATACCTTCCTATGTTAAAAAATGGTGGCAAATCCTAAACCTCAAAATCTCTTAATATCTCCCCAGAAAGGAAGATACCACTGCCAGGCCTGTGTCACTGCTGGGTACGTGCTCAGAGTTGCGGCTGTCCTGGCTCTCTGAAGGGCCCGGGCCAGAGGTCCTCCACTTCCTATTGAAACGATAGGGGTACTTTAAAAATCTTAATGTCTGGGCACTTCCTCTAGAGGTTCTGATATCAGCAACCAAGCCGCAACCTTGGAACCCATTGGGACTTTTATAAAAGCCCCTATTGATTCTGGGTTTGAGAACCACTAGCTTCAAGGAAGTTCTTGTAACTTTATAAATGCAGGGAGACAGGTCCAGGAGAAACAGGGAGGACCATGAGTTCCTCTTCTCTTCTTATATATTATCCCACAAGGGGGAAAGAAAGTTGGTCTCCTTAAAGCAGAAAATTGAAAGACATCTGCAAGGTGAACTGGTAGAACCTTTACTATTTGATCAAATGATAATTTTATATCACTTAACTGAATATATAGCTGGCTTACAAATGTTTATGTTCATGAGATCTGTTGTATAATGTGGTGGCTAAATTAATAACAATGTATTATAGACTTGACAATTGCTAAAAGTAGAGTTGAAGTGTTTTTACCATAAAAAGTAATAAGCATGTGAGGTAAGGCATACATTGATTAGCTCTATTTAGCCCTTCCATGTACAACATGATGTGTTGTACACCAAAATATAAACAACAAAAACATACAGTTTTGTCAAGTTAAAAAATAAAATAACAACAAAAAAATACAATTTTGTTAGTAAAACAAACAATAGTAAGATGTACAGCCATGCAGAAGGAAATCAAACTGTTTGCCAGGTTTGTTAACTTGCATACAGCATATCATCATGTCTTTGCAGTTTTATAGTGCTTTGCAGTTTGCAAAATACTTTTGTGTAGATTATCTAATTTGATCTTCCCAATAACTCTGTTGTCAGGAGGGAAGTTGTTCCCATTCTACAGTTGAGGAGACTGAGGATGGCAGTTTGTGGTTTTCCACGGTGGTGAGAGTGACTGGCACACTTGGGATGCCCTGTCTTCAGGCCCCATGTGACTGCCCCTCACCTGGTGATAGTTGGTCTGGTGGGCTCCACCACTGCCTCCCTGACATTTTAGTGACGTCTGTGAGAGGCTGAAATGAAGACTGTGAGGCTGACTCTGCCGAGGCTAACACAGCGGCTAGCCCAGTGAATGGTGGGGCTGGCCGGGTTGGTGGTGTGCAGTGGGATGGGGATGTGAGGCAAGACGGGGAACCTGGCCGTTGTTCTTGTTATGTTTGCCTCATTCTCCTGTGTCTCTAGGCTTGCTGTCTTCTGTGGCAGCAGCATCTGTATAGCATTGTACATCCGTGAGAGCAAACACCTGCTTTCCCTCCTTAATAGTGTTTTCCTTGGACGAGTCTTTGTGCCCTTAACTATTCCTGCTGCCCTGTTCTGCAAGGTGGGTCCCATCCCCCTGCACTTGGGCATTTGGCAGATGTACATGGCTGAGCTGCTGCCTCTTCCTCTGGCCCCAATTTTCTCTGTCTGGAATTTCCCCTTTGTAGAGGGATCTTTGAACGAAGCCTTCCATGCTAGCCACACTGCACAGCAAGAGGCATTGGACCTCAGGGCTCAGGCATTCAGGCCTCCCAGAACATCTTGACTATGACTACTCTGGTCAGTGGCTGTGGTCCGCCTCAGTCTCCTTGCCACCCTTGCCCTCTGGCTACCTGCCACACCTGTCTTATAGGCTCTCTCCCTGCTCCAAGAGGTCCTCAGCGGGCTGCTCGGGCCTTTTGACCTCACCTTTCTGCCCCTGAACAATACTCCTTATCACCTGCCCCCTTGTTATTTTATCTTGGCAGGAGAATAAGTTCTGCCCTTTCCGGGAAGACAACAGTGCCACGACACAGTGATATACATACTTTTGTCCCCAAGGTGTTGAGTGGGAAACCATGCGTTCTTCGTAAAGTACTACTGGTTTTAAGTAATTAACCTTCCCTTGTTGATTTTCTTTTTCCCTTTCAATGTTCTTTCTCTTGGAAAAGTTGCCCAAGAAGGAACTGAACTACTGCACACATTATAATAGAGAGGGCTTGTGGTTCAGTGCTGCAGTCTCAGCAGAAAAGCCCTTTTTCAGAATTGAAAGTCCAAAGTAGACATTACTAAGAAAAAGTGAGCAATCAAGTGGTAATACCCTTCATGGTCCAGGAGATGCCCAGGATAGCAGAGCAAGGGAAAGCCAAGTGTTGAAGGACGTGGGGGGCAGTCTGGAGTCACATGTCATCCCCGCCCTGGAGCATGTGCTGTTTATGTCACAATTTTCCTAACATCGAGGGGCCCGGCTCAGGCTGCGCTGACTGCCCTGTGGCTTGCATTTACTCTATCTGTACACTCCTCCTGGGTCCCAGGCTTCTCCCAGGACAGCTTGCCATCCCTATGTGATTTCCTTTCCCGAGTGTGTAAGGGGGAGGGCGTGAGAACCCAAGTGCCAGCAGAGGGGACTACGAGTGCCCAGGCCAGGCCTGGGTGAGAGTGAGATACTCCCAGCCCCTGCCCCCACACTGGGTTTGCTTTCCATTTGTGCTGCCTCCTGCTGGGAGGCCCGGCTCCTGGCTAAGGCAGTTCAGCTACCAGCTCCAGTGTCCCTGTATGTGACATCTGCCTTACAGGTGACAGCAGGCCCTAGGTGCTACCGTGGGCTCTCGTTGGCTATTTTCCTAGCCCCTCTTCCTTCAGGACAGAGCACAGACTGTCCAGGTGCATTCATTTTTTCTTCAGGGCTGGGGCAAGTTTGGGCCAGGAGCTGGGTCTAAAATCAGCCTGGGAGCTGAGGCGTCTCAAGGAAGTGTCTCACTTCTTTAAGCCTCTATTTCCATGTTGTGGAATGAGGGTAAGACTAGGTACCTTTCAGGATTGTTCTTGTAGGATTATTTTTGTGAGGACAACAGAGGGATGGTTGGCGTTTGCCGGCCGTCAACTATTAGAGAAAGGTCACCTGGAAAAAGAGAGGGGCTCAGTGGGCAGGGGCTGGCCCAGTGACAGCGCTCTGTCCAACAAGCCCCTTCTCCACCAACTTCTGTGATGCTCCCGGCTGCGAAAGAGCTCAGAGCCAGAAATGACAATCTGGACCCGTTGGGCAGACGTCAGAATTTCCTTGTGTTCTTTCCTTTTTAGGGAGCATACCAAAGAATTGTTCAAACCTTTGTCCGCTGTGCGTCATCACTTTAATTTTTACATAGATTGTAGATGAGTTTAATTAACGTGTGGCGAGGAGGGGTTGAGAAGAAGCCGGTCCTGAGTGAGCTTCACTTTGCTTGTGGTGTTTTGAGTGTAACCATCTGTTTGGGGGAAACTTTGTGAAACATGTTCCATGAAAAACAGTGACATCTACAAAGATAAAACTAATACAGAGCTTCTCAAACCCCACACTCTCAGCATTTTGTTCCTCTCTGTGCATACAGCAAGGCAGTGGGAGTACATTGTTCTGTAAAAATCGAGTCATACTAGTTTTTACTCTTTCCTTTGCTTATTTATTTTTCATGAAAAAAAATCTAATATTTGCACAGGTTAAAAGAATAAGTTCAGCAAAACAGTAAAATGGGAGTCATTTTCTTCCCTCAATCCCCATGCCTTTCCCAGGAGGCATTACTACTAATTGCTCCTTGTGCATCTTTCTAGAAATGGTCTGTGGATATCCAAGACTATTAAACACATAGGAACATACATAGAATACTTGTTGGAGATTATTACATTTTTAGTCTACAATACATGCTATTTTAACTAAAAAAGTACTCAGTTAAATTATATTTTTATTTAGTGATTAAAGACTTGCTGAATTTAAGTTACATGTCTTATTTCTTAGAGCATAAAAGTTTCTAAAAGTTCCCTTTCTTGGTTTGGGTAGACCAGCCTGGAGTTACCATTGACGTGGCAGCCCCTCCCAGGCATGGCTCCTATAGCAGAGCCAACTGATGTGCAGGAAGTAATGTCCCCCGGCCACTCAATTTATAGTCCTGTGGGTTAGCTGAGTGCCCAGGAACAAGAGATGGATTTGGGGAGCAACTATAGCCTCCATTCAATCCCTGTAAAATTAGGGGAAACCTATGAAATACCTGTTTGCTTGTTGCTGTTTATTAATGTTGCATTTGCTGTTTGCAAACTACTGTGTATTTAGGGTTGGCATCTGCTCACTCAGGGGTTGAAAGGTTACTAAATTTGCATATTAGTGCTTCCTTTTCCTCCCACCCATTTCCCTATTTTGTTACTCACCCTATAACTTTTTACATTGTCAAGGAACATAACATGGGTCATCTCTTAGATAACTTGTTTCCACAGTTACTTATTCTTAGTGCTCTGTTTAAATAGATTCCAGGATCACACAGTATCAGTCTTTTTATCAGTAGTTCCAGTGGATACATTCTTGAGGATTTTTTTTTCGATTTGTTTTTCGGTTGTCTGGAGTTCATTGTATAGTTTGTTTAATCCCTGGCTCTGTTTTCCTCCTTTCTTGTTCTCTTCTCACATGGCTCATGGCACACTCAAACTTGAAGAATTCTTGCAAGCTTGAAAATAACTCTTGCCTGATTATAAAGGTCTTGAGTTGCATAATTTCCTTTAAAACTATATAGAGATATTTCTCCTGTCTTTTAGCACAGAGTTATGAGAAATTTGAAGTCAGCCTGTTTTGCCTAGATGTTCATGTGATTCTTTTAATTCGGTTAATTTACTTGAATGTTTCTGGATGCTGGTATTGCTGTATCACTTTCTTTTAAACTAAGTAAAGTAAAACCCTTGTAATTGACAGAGATAAGTCAGTTTATTTCAGAAGTTTTCTTGTATTATATCTATGACCTTTTTTCTGTTAACAATTCAAGAATGTTAATTATATGCACATTGTTTCTTTTGTCTTATATTTGTCATCTCTTTGATAAAGTTGATATTTCATATTCTTCTCCATTTCATTTGCTTATCTCTGGGGTTGATTGCCTTTATTCTATTATTTAGTTGCATCTAATATGGTTTTCATCCCTATTCCATTTATTTTAATTTTTATTTCTTCATTTCTTTTCCATGCTCTGATTCTCTTTCTGTTGGTTTATGATCTCTTCTTTGTTGTTGTTGTTTTTTTTTTTCCTTTTTAGGAAAGTGTGGTAGGCAGGAAGACAACCCCTCAAAGATGTCAGTATCCTAATCCCCCAAACCTGTGAATATGTTACCATGCATGGCAGGAAATTGGAACTGAAAAATGAAATGAAGTTGAGCATGGAATTAAGGTTGCTAGTCAGCTGACTTTAAAATACGGAGACTATTCCTGGATTGTCTGCATAGGCACAATATAATCAGTAGGGTCTTTCTTAAAAGTGGAAGGAGGGAGGCAGAAAGATGAGAACCAGAGTGATGGCAGCTTCAGGACTTTGCCTGACATCATTGGAGGTGGGGGACCAAGAGCTGAAGCATATGGGGGTTTCAGAAGCTGTAAAAGAAGAGGGAAACGTTTCTCTTTATGGTGGGCAGAATAATGACCCCCCAGAGATGTTCCTGTCCTAATTCTCAGAACCTCTGCATATGTCATCTTATGTGGCAAGAGGGAGTTTTCAGGTGTGATTAAGTGAAGGTCTTTGAGACAGGGAGATGATCCTGGACGACCCAGGTGGGCCCCAGGTCATCACAAGGGAAGCATAGGAGTTGTGGCAGTGAGAGCAGAGGTCAGAGTGATGTGTTTCCTGGAAGGGGTCCATAAGCCAAAGAATGAGGGCAGCCTCTAAAAAGCATAAAAGACAAGGAGCAGATCCTCCCTGGAGCATCCAGAAGGAATGCAGCCCTGCCAACAGCTAGATTTTAACCCGATTTTAGATTTCCGACTTTCAAAACTATAAGAAAATAAATTTATATTGCTTGAAACCACTCAGTTTGTGGTAATTTGTTACAGTAGTAATAAAAAACTAATAGAAAAAATGGGAAATATTTTTATAAAGTCACTTTATCTGTTTCTTTATGGGTATTTTCTCAGGCATCTGCATTTGCTCTTCTCCTTCCCTACCCTCTCTTCTGTGCCTGATTCCCATGCTGGTTGCTTTGTGATTTTAGTCACTTTTGAATGGGGTCAGGTCTTTGTTGAAGAAGAAGGATGAGGGTGAAGCCAGGGCGGGATGCACACTGGATTCAAGTTTGTGGTCTGAAATACATTTATTCCACATGAATTCCCTTTGTCTAAGGCAGGCTGTGTTCCCTAGATTTCAGGGTTTAAGTTGGGTGTTGTTCATAGCAGACCTCTTGTGTTTCTGTCATACATTTGCTGCCTTTCTCTCTGTACAAGGCCGAGTCCACAGGCTGAGGCCTGCTCAGTGGCCATGCTTCTGTATCCACACAGCCCTTTCATGACCAACCACATTGGGGCTAGGCCATTTCTCCTGGCGGGGCCCATGTGCCTCCCCAGGTTCAGGAGGTGGGTGCTGGCTCTCTGTGTCTGTTCCTGATTGCATTGGTTCTGGTACACTCAGTAGTTTGTGGCTTGTGGTTGTGTCTGTCTCCTTGATTTGTTGGGGGTGGAATATATTTCTCTTTCTAGTTTTCTCTCTCCCTTTCCTTTTTCATTGTTTCTGGGGCTTTCAAAGAAAGTGTGGAGGAGTAGATTGTTTGCTCGAAGCTGAGAAGCTGCTGTCTGCTGGATGATTGTGTGGATGCTGAGGGGTTTTGCTTGTAATCTTTGGGGACTTCTTGTGCTTTGAGAAATAGGTCACTGTTTTGCACGGATGCTGAGCATTGTGTAGTAACTTTAGGGCTCCTTTTCCAAGAAGAGTTTTTGTTTGACTCCAGAACAATTCTTCACAAAGGCTCTTTTATTAGATTAGACAAGCTATTGTATTAGAGATTTGGCATCCCAGCGAGGGCCACCCAGGCCCTTCCTTGCAGAGCAGCCTGGGGGGAAGGGAGGTGGCAGGTACCACCCTGGACGTCTGTCCCCACTCTTCCCCACCTCCTCAGCCTGTCCCTGTATACTGCCTGGTCCTGGTGGCCTTGGAGTGACCACCTGTCTTTTGGAAGTCTGTGACCTTTTGGGTATTCATCAGTATAACCTTGAATGAATTCTTACTGCTTTAGTAATTTAATTAAATCATTAATGTAATGAATATTAAATTAGCGCTGTAATTTCTAAGTGATAAGAGTAGCAATCATTGCCAAGTGCTTTGCCTATATTATCTAGTTTAGATTTCACAGCTACCCTGCCAGGCAGGTATCAGTGTTCAAGCCCACTTCACAGATGAGCCCATTGAGGAGCACAGAATTGGCCAGTTGGCCACTCACATGGCACAAGCTGTCTTCGTAAATGTCTGACTTGGTCCTTTGTATGGAGGAGGCATGTAGGTACTTTATCAGATCAAGTTGAAGGTTATGAACTTTGTGTATTATAAGCTATTTGTAGTTACAAATCTGTGAACCCAAACTGTATTTTGGAATAGTTTATTGCAATAATTTGAGATTTGTTTGTTTTAAATTCTCAGTTTAAAATAGTTATATGTTAACAACCCTTAGTTTTTTAGTTTCTCCATCTGCAAAACTTAGTTTCAAAGGCCATGGCGACTTAAAAGTGAGAAATCCTAAATTCCAAGGAACAAGAGTTGATGAAGATTTCCCTTCAGCCTGGCCTACTGTGGAATGTCCTGTGGGCACTTCCTTCAGTCTGTTGCCCCTGGGGCTCCTGCCAGCAAGTGGTGTGAAAGGGAGAGGGCACCCACACTTACTGTCTTCAATTGCTGGCAAAAAGTCTACCTTGCGTTAAAAGGCAGTCAGGGCTGGGCGCAGTGGCTCATGCCTGTAATCCCAGCACTTTGGGAGGCCAAGGAGGGCGGATCATGAGGTCAGGAGTTCAAGACCAGCCTGACCAACATGGTGAAACCCCGTCTCTACTAAAATTACAAAAATTAGCTGGGCATGGTGGTGCGCGCCTGTAATCTCAGCTACTAGGGAGGCTGAGGCAGGAGAATCTCTTGAACCTAGGAGGCGGAGGTTGCAGTGAGCTGAGATTGTGCCACTGCATTCCAGTCTGGGCGACAGAGCGACACCCTGTCTCAAAACAAAACAAAACAAAACAAAACAAACAAAACACAAAATGGCAATCAGTTGAAGTATCTAAATACTTTTCTTTCTCTGCCTGCCTCCAAGTTTGTAGAGTTCACATGGGATTGTCAATCATGGGGATGTGTAACTGGTGAACTCTGGCTTTAGAGAAGCCAGAAGGGCCAAGCCCTAGCATCCCTGTAAACAGGAGGTCAGCAGGACCCAAAGGATTAGTTCAAATGATCACCTCCATCCAACTCCATCATGGTATTATTGCAAATGTGGAGAAAAGACAAAATAAACTGGTGTTTGGAAAACACTACATCCTGGGGTCACCTGTACAACCAGAATGTGTGATATCTTGGAAAATTAGCCGTCTTGATCTTTTTGGGTTACTTGAGAAGATTAGAGAATGAACCATCAGTTTCTCTGGCCTTTCCTAAGTAGAGAATCCATGTATGACATTGATTCTATGACATTACTAGCCACTAACTCTTCATAGGTTGCCTGCTACCTCTTCTCTCTTTTCTTTCCATCTCCAATTAGTCATTTATTGATCCTTTTCATTACATCTTCTAATTTCTTAGCCATTCTCTCACATTACCTGTTCTTCCAGCTCTCTTTGGTACATTCTGGATAATTCCCTCAATGCATCCTTCCACTTCATGAATCTACCTTCTACCTAATCCATGTCAAATCCACTTTAAAAACCAGCCTCTTGGTCTTTGATTTTGTGATTATAGTACTCATTTACACACATTCTCTTCATTTCTCATCACCCTGGTCTTTTTAATATTGCCATACTGTTTACTTAGTGTTTTAATCATGTTTAAAAATGCTTGAATCAACCTTTAAAGCATTATTTTGGTCTCCAAGTAATCATTTATTACCTGAGCTTGGTGGTAGTGGTGTTGGTGGGGTGGGAGCTGTTGTCTGGTTCTGCTGTTTCTGTGTCTGTTGGCTCTTATTCTTGGGGAATTACTGCTGCTTTTGTTTTGTCACTGGATTGCAGCCTCATTTTTGGCTTGGCTTCAGGATGTGCCTGGCCAATGAGGTTGTATTTGCTTCTGTCAGGCCTCCAAGAGTACCATGGGCCGCTTTGCATGTTAACTCCTTGGGTTGTTGGTTTTGGAGCCTTAAGTGGCTCTCTGAGGTGAGAACCTTCTGAAGCTGTGCCCTTTATTGGTGCATTGTCCTGCCTGCAGCAAGGTTGTAAAAGTGCTTTGTATGCATCAGGGTTGTGGTGGGTGTGAGCAGAAGGATGGGGCCAGCCACAAACCAGAGAGCCTGCAGGCCTATTTCTTTTTCTTTCTTTATTATTATTATTATTATTATACTTTAAGTTTGAGGGTACATGTGCACAACGTGCAGGTTTGTTACATATGTATATGTGTGCCATGTTGGTGTGCTGCACCCATTAACTCATCATTTACATTAGATATTTCTCCTAATGCTATCCCTCCCCACTCCCCCCACCCCACAACAGGCCCCAGTGTGTGGTGTTCCCCACCCTGTGTCCAAGTGTTCTTATTGTTCAATTCCCACCTATGAGTGAGAATGTGCAGTGTTTGGTTTTCTGTCCTTGCAATAGTTTGCTCAGAATGATGGTTTCCAGCTTCATCTGTGTCCCTACAAAGAACATGAACTCATCCTTTTTTATGGCTGCATAGTATTCCATGATGTATATGTGCCACATTTTCTTAATCCAATCTATCATTGATGGACATTTGGGTTAGTTCCAAGTCTTCGCTATTGTGATTAGTGCTGCAGTAAACATACATGTGCATGTGTCTTTATGTAGCATGATTTATAATCCTTTGGGTTTATACGCAGTAATGGGATCGCTGGGTTGAATGGTATTTCTAGTTCTAGATCCTTGAGGAATTGCCACACTGTCTTCCACAATGGTTGAACTAGTTTACACTCCCACTAACAGTGTAAAAGTGTCTAAAAGTGTTCGTATTTCTCCACATCCTTTCCAGGACCTGTTGTTTCCTGACTTTTTAATGATCACCATTCTAACTGGTGTGAGATGGTATCTCATTGTGGTTTTGATTTGCATTTCTGTGATGGCCAGTGATGATGAGCATTTTTTCATGTGTCTGTTGGCTGCATAAATTTCTTCTTTTGAGAAGTGTCTGTTCATATCCTTTGCCCACTTTTTGATGGGGTCGATTGTTTTCTTGTAAATTTGTTTAAGTTCTTTGTAGCTTCTGAATATTAGCCTTTTATCAGATGGGTAGATTGCAAAAATTTTCTTCCACTCTGTAGGTTGCCTGTTCACTCTGATGGTAGTTTCTTCTGCTGTGCTGAAGCTCATTAGTTTAATTAGACCCCATTTGTCTATTTTGGCTTTTGTTGCCGTTGCTTTTGGTGTTTTAGTCATGAAGTCCTTGCCCATGCCTATGTCCTGAATGGTATTGCCTAGGTTTTCTTCTAGGGTATTTATGGTTTTAGGTCTAACATTTAAGTCTTTAATCCATCTTGAATTAATTATTGTACAAGGTGTAAGGAAGGTATCCAGTTTCAGCTTTCTACATATGGCTAGCCAGTTTTCCCAGCACCATTTATTAAATAGAGAATCCTTTCCCTATTTCTTGTTTTTGTCAGGTTTGTCAAAGATCAGATGGTTGTAGATGTGTGGTATTATTTCTGAGGGCTCTGTTCTGTTCCATTGGTCTATATCTCTGTTTTGGTACCAGTACCATGCTGTTTTGGTTACCGTAGCCTTGTAGTGTAGTTCAAAGTCAGGTAGCAGCCAGAGAGAAAGGTCGGGTTACCCACAAAGGGAAGCCCATCAGACTAACAGTGGATCTCTCAGCAGAAGCTCTACAAGCCAGAAGAGAGTGGGGGCCAATATTCAGCATTCTTAATTTCAACCCAGAATTTCATATCCAGCCAAACTAAGCTTCATAAGTGAAGGAGAAATAAAATCCTTACAGACAAGCAACTGCAGGCCTGTTTCTAACTCTGAAGTTGGAAATAGCTTGGGATGTGGATCCATAAAAGGACAGGGCAGCAACTGGTGCATTTGTATGCCAAGGCCTGAGAGTGCCCAGTGCATGCTCTCTGACTTTGAGTGCTGAGCTACTGTTGGAGCAATGTGGGCCCCTCCAGGAACTCTCAGCTGGGCAGAGGCAAAGAACTCACCAGCCTTTCACAACTGAGCATACCATATTTTTCAGAACTCTATTTGTTTGCTATCAACGAGATTAAAAAATACAAAGCATTGGATATGGAAGAGCACATGATCTCAAGAGATGACTGCTGAGTCAGACCAGGGGAAGGCAGGGAAAGGCTTTGGGAAGGCCGGAGGGCAAAGAAAGGAGAGAGGCAGCTTAGAGGTTGATGGCTGGGATGTTCTGGAGCCTATTTGTGGACTTCTGACTGAAATTTCTTAAATTCTGCAAGCTCAGTGAGAGAAAACTGTTTTTTTTTAAAAATAAAAAGCACAGTTTTTTAGAGTATTACCTACAACTGGGGAACCATTACTTAAAGTTCAGGGTTTGATGCTTCCCCAGGCAGACTGGTCTGCACGTCCCCCTCATCTCAATCCCACAGCAGTCATGGCTGCCTTACCCCTGTTTTTGCTATTGCCCCTCCCTGCGTGCCCAGCAGGGCCTTCTCTTCAAGACCCTAGCCCCTGCCTCTCGTGTGACACCTTTGGTTTCCCTTCCCAAAGCCTTTCCCTGCCTTTCCTTGCTCAGCACCTGCAGGCAGTGAGGCCGCTCCTGTAAGCCATGAGCCTGCCTCACTGAATGTGTGTTCTTCGAGGGACTCTGCAGTTAGGGACCTCACTCCTGAAGGGCAAGTTGCAGGTTGATATGATCTAGCTCTGTGTCCCCTCCCCAATCTCATGTGGGAACTGTAATCTGCACATGTTGAAGGTGTGGGCTGCTGGGAGGTGACTGGATCATGGGGGTAGACTTCCCTCTTGCTGTTCTCATGATAGTGAGTGGGTTCTCACGAGATCTGATCATTTAAAAATGTGTGGCACTTCCTTCCCCCTTTGCTTTCTCTCCTGCTCCAATGTGGTAAGACGCGCTTGCTTATCCTTGGTCTTTCAGCATGATTGTAAGTTTCCTGAGTCCTCTCAGCCATGCTTCCTGTTAAGCCTGTGGAACTGTGAGTCAATTAAACCTCTTTTCTTCATAAGTTACCCAGTCTCAGGTATTTCTTTATACCAGTGCGTGAATGGACTAAGACACAGGTCCGCATGGCTTTGTGAATCTTATCCATGGTAATAGTGATTTTCATGGTCACGACATTATCAGAGCTCTTCAGATCTCCAAAGCAAGGTCTTCCCTGTGTTGCAAACCCTTATGCCTTCAGTGCCCCCACAGAGCCCTGCAGTAACCAACCCCAGTAGATGTGGGAGTCAGAGGCCATTTTACTGCTTCCCTGGAGTAAAGTATGTATTACCAAGTCACTGTGACCTGGGACCTTTACAAATAGCCTCCTTCTCGTAGTAAAGGAACGAGAAGGAACATCACTAGTCCTTAGTGGAGGAGAGCGGCTGTCTTGCTCTTTGACCATGATCACACCCTTTTTTCATTTCTATCATGTACTCACAACCAACTCAGTATCAGGCATGTGTGCACAGTGGCCTGGCTCTAGGCACTGCCCTCCTGCATGTTGGGAATGGGTGGAATTGTTTCAGAAGCATGCAGCATGTATGAACTGTATTTACACCTGGGACACATATTTATGGAAAGGGTCCACTGCAGCCCCATCACGCCCTCTGTGTGCCCTGACATACTGTGCTAGCCCCTTGCAGGCCCATTCACTCACAAGGATGCCCAGGCTACGGCAGGCCTGCGGGGTGCCCTGCCCTCTTGGCATAGCCTGGGAGAGGAGGAGGACTGTCCTTCCCTGCCCTGCCTAGCAGGGAACAACAAGGCGACCCTTGGCTTTTCATTGTCTCTATCTCTAAATTTAGTCTATCCTAAATCTTGCTGCCCTTGGCATTGTGTCATCTGCTTATTCTTTCAACAGACTTTTTGTCTAAACTCGTGAAAGTAGCAAGTACTCTTTAGAAAAATACCTACTCGTTGGAGAAGACATAAATAATCATATATGCGAAAAAAGTAAATAATCATATATGCTAAAAAATGTTTTATCTGGTTTGGTTTTTCTTGTCACGGACATCATTTCTTGAGCCTTTTCCGTGTTATAAATATTCTTCTTAAACCGAGGTTTCAGTGGCCATGTGACACTGTGTTGAATGTGCGGTGGTTGTTGAACTGGATATTGATGGGGGCTCACCGGGGGCTGGGCACCATGGCTTTGCTGCGGAGGTGCTCCAGGTTGAGTAGATGAATCTTGCCAGTGCAGCCTGGCAGGTCATTGGAGACGAGTGAGCCATACCAGTTCCTGCCCGTTCTTATTCCATTGTCAGAGTTCTCCCCTTTTTCCTGTTCTTTAGGGTTCTCAGTGGGCTCCCTTCACAATTTTACTCTGATATCTGCAATATGTGCTCCTTCCAGCTTTCTTAACTTAGTCCTTGGCAACATACCCAAAGAGTTTATATGTAATCCCATACCCTTCCTCCACAAACCTCTACCCAAAAAAGAAAAAGACAGTTTGGGCCACAGGCTCTAGACTGGCCAGTGGGCCAACTTACCCATCTGGTGGAAAGCGCTCAGGAAAGAGTCATGTTGATCATATCTGAAAGTGGGATTCCTTGGGGATCTGAATTGGGAAATATGGAAGAAATCAGACAACTGGAAATAAGAGCAGAGTCCCAGAAGACAGGAGGTAGAGAGAGTCTGAAGGACAAAGGTGAGCAGAGCAGGGCTGTGGAGTTGCAGGGGCTTGAAGCCCGAGAGCCTGTCCAGCAGAGGGGCAGAGCCAGCCAAGGGCAGGGGAGGAGCAGGTGGAGGCAGCCCCTGGAACAGCTGAGTCCCTGGCATCCCACACTGTGGGGCCGCCATCCTGAGAGATCCTCCTTATCAGACCCCAGGCCTGTGGGCTCTCTTGTGCATGGTGTCCCGTAGAGTCCCCAGACCTCCTCCTGCATGGGGGAGCCACCAACCCCCAACGGGTCTGTGGATTGTCTGTGGTTGCACTCCAAGCGCTTTGTGCTCCATGCTCACTCAGGCCCTCCCTGGCAAGTGCTTAGGCCAGGTTAGAATACCACTGGGTCCTGGCACGTCTGCCAGAGTGGGTAGAGGGTACAGGGTGGAAGATGGCATTGCAGAGGTGCTAGGAGGGGCCTAGTATGAAGAGCAGTGGGAGGTCGCAGAGTCCCCAGGCCAGCCCTTCCTGAGGGGGCCTCAACATGCTGGTTGGGGGCTGGGGATCTGTAAAACATGGCCAAGTGCTGAGCATGATTCCCCTGCCCAGAGCCGGATCCTCTGTGGCCCTGGGTGCATCGTGTGGTTGGAGCCGGCGTGAGGCCAGCTTCACAGAGGACGAGAGAGATGGTGGGTGCATGTAAATATTGGCTACTCCTGTGGCTTACCCGCGTGGTTTCTGATGTGCACGAGTGTGCACCCTACCTACTTGAAACCTGGGGCAGAATCAGGACAGAAGTAGGGGCCAGAATCTGCACTGAGTGTGGCTCCGCAGCCTTTTCAATTCTCCTCCCCTTGAGATGGAGAGGTACAGGACATGGAACAAGGTGTGTTCAGAGCCATGAGGGAAACAGGTTTATGTCGCCTAGCGCAGGTGAGAGGATGCCCAGTGCCTGGGGAGGAGGGATGGCTGGCATGCTGAAGAATCCTGCTTTTTAATTATTATTTTAAACCAGCTGTAACATGGGAACCAGAAGGGGTTTGAATGGCAAGAAGGCAGCCTATTTCGGGGCTCTCTCAGGAGCCCACCATGGAGGGTGCCTCCTATCGACTGTGAAGGAGAGAAGAGCTCATACAGGAGGCTCTCTGTTTGCTGGGGGTAGCAGGGTCTTCCTTGTATCCCACATGAATTCTTATGGGAGCTCTGCCAGTGGTAGCCATGTCTCCAGCTCACAGATGGGGACACCAAGTCCTGGGAATGGTCCCCGAGGCAGTAAGCAGGGCCCTGAGTGACAGGAAGAAAGGATTTGCACTGTTCCTGGCAGGGCATTGCCTCTCGTGGCCTCCTGTGGGACCCATCTACCTATGTGGCATCAGGTCTTTTCCTTTACGGAAGGTTGGGAGTGTTGGTTTTGCTTTTGTAATTGATGTTTTCTGCTTAGTAAGGTGAACTGTGTAGAGGAACCTCCACCTTTTGAGGGACACGTTACTGGCTATGGAATCAGGAGTTCTGGGAGTTGTATATGAGGAACCAGGAGACACAGGCAGGTATCTTCACAGCAGGCTGTTAGGAGGCCAAGGACAAGAAGGCATCTCCAGTGTCATCAGGAAGGGGTCTCATGGAACCAGTGTGTGATTCTTATTTTATTTTATTTTATGAGACGGAGTCTCACTCTGTCACCCAGGCTGGAGTGCAGTGGTGCAATCTCGGCTTACTGCAACCTCCGCCTCCTGGGTTCAAGTGATTCTCCTGCCTCAGCCTCCTGAGTAGCTGGGATTACAGGCGTGCGCCTGGCTAATTTTTGTATTTTTAGTAGAGACGGGGTTTCACTATGCTGGTCAGGCTGGTCTCGAACCCCTGACCTCATGATCCACCTGCCTCAGCCTCCCAAAGAGCTGGGATTACAGGCATGAGCCACCGCACCCAGCGCAGTGTGCGATTCTTGATTCTCTTTTCTGTCATATCCTGTACTGTGTCAGTGTGGGTGCCTGGGATGCTAGAGGTCAAAAGGCACAGAGAAAAGGTGGAAAGTGTCTTTAAATGATAAGATGATTAAAGTTCACTCTTTCCCCCTGATTTTCAAATATTCCGTCGAAGTGAGTATGTCCTTAGAACTTTGGATGGGCTTTGCAGAGAGAATTAATGAGGTCTGATTGATTGGAAAACTTGAAGGTGTGGCCCTGCTCCCCTGAGGTCATGGCCCTCCTGCCTGGCTGGGTGGTCCTCACAGTGCGAACCGTGTAAACTGTGAACCTCACAATGTAAACCGTGTGGTTTAGCAGGGAGTAAACATGACTCCAGTGTATCGGGGACCATCAAAGAGTGCTTTGGTGCAGGGCTTGGAACCTGCCCACAGGGAACAGACATATGCTCCTGGACATCATATCATTATGTGATGCAGGTGGCCCTGCTAGTCCTTAACCTGTTAAGTTTGAGTTAGGCGTAGCAGAAAAAATGAAACAAAAAACAAAACAGACCAAAAACAATGACTGTGACACAGCCAGGGTTTGTTTATTGTCACCCAGCTCAGCAGGGGTTCTGCCAAGCAAGGGCTCATCTGTGATGTTGTTACAGATGTTTGCAGAAGCTGTGGACATTGCCTTGCTTCTGTGCCAGGGCCTAGAAGGCTGCTGTAATTGTGTTAAATGGAAATTGTACAGATTGTCATTTCAAAATGATACATTTTTAAAGGAAGAGCTGGAAAAGTAGCATAGGTGTGGAAAAATCACTGTCAAAAGAAATAAGGATCACTGCCAGAACATGTTTTCAAGAAGACTGACTGTGTTAAGGCTTAATGGTTGGGGTTTTTTTTTTTTTTTTTTGGAGAAAAAATATTTTAAAAATTGTCTTGAGTTATAATGCTATGATCAGAAAAAAAAAATGTCTTGTCACTGGGAAGACTAAACCTTCTAAGAGAAATTCCCCCAGAAGTTGGGGAGGTAACTGTTCCCAGCGTCCAGGCCACCTTCCTAGGGAATTTTGCCCCTTGGACCTCAGGAAAGCAATCCAGTGGGATAGACTTCCCGACTCCTCACATATGCTGTGAGGACAGAGCACAAGGGCAGCCAGGCCTGGCTGTCCTCCTTCTCATTTCTATTGTGGGATGGGGACTAGGGTCTGCATAGCAGTGGTGTGAGCCTGGATGTGTGCAGGAAGGGAGCAGTGCTTCTAGGAGGCTTGTGCACAGCAGTTTCTCGTCCATTCCCTCAGCCCTTGGCTTCCTGGAACCGAGAGCATTAATTAGGATGCATGTCACACTGGCATTTGGGGTTTTTGGAGCAGGTAGCAAATATAAGCCCATCTTTTGGAATTCTGGGCCCAACAGTGGATTTGGGATTTTCTTCTGTTCTACTATGGCTTAAGTCATGAGAGACATGCTTTAAATAGGGAGGCAGCGATGTGATTTACAGGCACTTTCCCAGCCCTAAGTAGGTCAGGGTTTTGTCACAGTTTTGAGGAGATCACAGGTGAGTCACAGTAAATTTGGAGAGTCACGAATCTTGTCAGAATTCAGAGTGCGTTTGTGATATTGTTAAATAGCATACCTTAATTACTGGCCTGTGCAGTGTCCTCTCTGTCCCCCACCAGCCCCCATTCCCTGGAGTAGATAGTACAGTCTCCATTGAAACCAGCCATCAGAGGGATTCAGCTTCACTTCCGGCTGTGAAAATCTGATCTCTTGCTGGCTTAACTGGTGGGAAAAAACAAGTTCTGGGAGCAGGGCATGAGAGGCACTCCCTCTTGCTAGCCTCTCTTTCCCTTAGTCCTTGGCTGCACCACTTTTTATGGCAGTAGAATCTCATGCACAAAGGCCACGTCAGAAGTTTGCAGCTTAATAAATGCAGCCAAGTAACTGAGCACACCTCATAATCCACACCTAGATCAGGACACAGAACACACCCACACTGCAGGAGCCCCTCATACCCCCCTGGGGTCACCACTGCTCTCACTTCTAACACCATAGATTTGCCTGTTTTGTGCTTTATGTATGTGGGACCATGCAGGATGCATGTTTTCCATTTTGCTCCTTTCACTCAATATTATGTGTGTGAGATTCATACAGGGCCTTGTGTGTAGTTGTAGCTCATTAATTCTCAGTGCAGTGCAAATATACAGCATTCACTGTTGATGGGCATGCAGGTGGTCGCCAGTTTGGGCTATTATGAACAGTATGGCTTTGGACATTCTAGAGCATGGGTGGAGATGGGAAGAGAGACATTCTAAAGCATATTCTGCCAAACATCTGGATGCATTTCTGTTGGGTGGACCTAGGAGTGGAATTGCTGGGTGGCAGGTATGCAGGTCTTCAGCATAGGACATATTCCATCTCTCCAAAAATACTCTTTCCAGCAGGTAGAAGCTAGAATAAGGTTTCCAGGTAGAGTACATGAAGTTTTCTGATTGCCCTGGAGTATATTTTGGATTAATTTTGGGTCAAGCAGGAATACAGTGGCATTTTAGTAAGCAGTTACTCTTAGAAATCTGAGAGAGGAGTACTGGTCTTGACAGAGGCAGATTCTGTATTTAAATGAAGACGTTTTAGTTCAGTGTTTGTTCGTGCAACTCCATTAACTTTTTCTTGCTATGCTCAGCCAGTGTCATCCACCAGCGGAGCACATGCTGTCCCTGATACACTGACTCGGTGGGTAGTAAGGGAAGTGACTATGTAGAGGGGCAGAGGCAGCGTAGAGCCACCACATTGTCACTGACCACTTGTTGCATGTGTCCTCGAGGCTTCCTTGTGTCCTGCATCGTCAGGGCTGTGTTTCAGAGCGTGCCTTGGACGCTGAGGACATCCACCATTCAGCAGCCTCATTTCCGAGGCAGTTCATGGTTTGACCCAGGCTCTGTCTTCTGTCAGAATCACCTCTCACTCTCTCTGAGGCCAACAGTATCTTCTGGTCCTGGGTTGAAGTCCAAGTTGAGTGCCTTGCCAAGGGACTCTGTGACGAAGAAAAAGGGGCTGGAGCTTAGCCTGAGTCTTCTGACCACACACCCCAGGCAATTCTGCCACACCACAGCCCCCACCTCTGTGTACCAAGCAGATGTATTGGAGGTGGTGCTTTATTTTATAGTGATGATTAATAGGTCCACCTAGACCACAGGCTCTTCTGTTGCTTGGCAGAGGTTCAACTTTCTGTTCTCCACATTGCACAGGTGACGGCATTCCTCAGCAGCAGGGTGTTGTGGTCTGTCAGAAGCCCTCCCAGCGTGGTACTGTGACAAGCCTGTGACTTTGGGTATTCCTTTGCCATGGCACATAGTAGATTGTATCCTCAGTAGTAGATGGATAGTGATAGATAGTAGATTCTATTCCTTTTCCGTGGTAGATAGCAAATTCTATAAAGTTATTTTAGGAAACTCTCGTAATGGGATGTACTAGATTGAGTAATGTGAAATCTAAATCCTCAAGAGAAATATTTGGGCATTATTGTCCATTTTAATATTTCCTGTTCTTGTGTGGTATTTTCTGAAACCTGAGCATTTACCTTAAAAGCATGTTTTCCACCACTACCAGTGTCTATTAAAGGGGGAAAAAAAGACCGAAAAACAGTCCAGTTAACTTCATGCTATATGTAACATTAAAGGACGCTTGATAACCTCTAGAGTGTAATGTTACCTTTCATCATTCTAATAGAATAGACTACTATCATTTAGAGAGTGAGCTTTAAGCTTCAATTTTATTTTTTATTTTTATTTTTATTTTTTAATTTTTGAGACGAAGTCTTGCTGTATTGCCCAGGCTGGAGTGCAGTGGTGCGATCTCAGCTCAGTGCAACCTCCACCTCCCGGGTTCAAATGATTCTCGTGCCTCAGCCTCCTGAGTAGCTGAGATTACAGGCGTGCGCCACCATACCCAGCTAATTTATTTATTTATTTATTTATTTGTATTTTTAGTACAGATGGGGTTTCACCATGTTGCCCAGGCTGGTCTTGAACTCCTGACCTCAGGTGATCCACTCACCTTGGCCTCCCAAGGTGCTGAGATTACAGGTGTGAGCCACCATGCCTGGCCTAAGCTTCAATTTTATAATAGTCTATACAATTATTTCAGAAACTGCTGCCTGTGTCTTGAAATTTTAATGGGGATTGCTAGTCATTGTAGGTCATTTTTATTTTAAAAAGAGATTTTATTTTGTGTAGTTAGAGTCTGGTCAAGTTAAAGAGCTAGCAAGACAAAATAACATAAACAAAAAAAAGTTTTTTTAAAGTAAATAATACAACTTCCAAAATATCATTTATATTTTGTATCTATTAAGTGAGTGCCCACAGTATCTCCCAGGGAAGTTATTACAAGATGTTTAATGTTGTTTTAAGAATCCCAGCCTTGATATAAGAGTTTATATCCCAACTTAGTCCCAAGAGGCTTTGCACATGGTGACCGATGCCCTTATTTATACCTGACCATGGTGCAGTGACACCCTTCTTAGAGCTTGTCTGAATCCCCTCACACACACAAGTTAGTTTCTCAACCCACTTTTTGGTTCAATGGAGCCGGGATGTCCCTGGAATATGGAGCCATAGAAGTTTATAGAAGAGGAGAGCAGGGCTCTCACACGTGCTTCTGTGCAGGTGCTGAGTGGATGCCAGGACAGGCTGCAGCAAGGGGTGTGTCTTTGGCAGGATATGCCTGGCTCTACTGTTTTACCACCTCAAATTAGGTTACATTTCCTTTAGAGTTTAAAATAAGATTGTTGTGAGCCCTCATCCTGTTGGTCACAGCCAGTCCACTCTTTTATTTGGTCCAAGGGCCCTCAAGGTGCTTACCTGGCCCCATGGATACCATCCTGCTGACGAGCAAACAGAAGAAGAAATGGGAATGTGAGCATGTGTCCTGTTCCCCAAAGTAGTCACTGCCTTGTGGCTTTGTCACTGAATAGTGGTGACATCCAGTATTGAGGCCAGCGCCTGCCCACTGTGGGAAGCAATCCAGTTGCTGGAGCCTGGGGCCACTGCTGGCCAGGACGAGGGTGCCCCTTTCCCCAGCATGGTGTTTCGAACGGTGCTCCAAGCCAGAGGAACCTGGCCCTGAGGCCAGGGCTCACCTGGCCAGCCACTCTGCTGGTTCTCCCACCAGCTGTCCCTATGGAGTGCCATGGAGCAGGGGCTGGGAGAGCAGCACACCAGTGTCATGAACTCCCCACCCCAACCCAGCTATCTGTCTGGGTCCTCCAGTCCATCGGATCTGTTATGGTATTTGTGGATCTCAAAGGAAAAGGGCTCAGTCATGACCCAACATGCATTTGGCAAAGGTCTCTCTGACTGTTGAGTGGATTATAAAGGAGGTGGGGTTCAAGATCAGTTAGGAGTAGTGGAGGACCCTCAAAATGAGTTAGGACTAGTAGGGGGCCTTCAAAATGAGTTAGTAGTAGGGGGCCCTCAAAATCAGGAGTAGTGGGGGCCCCTCAAGATCACTTAGGAGTAATGGGGGTCCCTCAGGATCACTTAGGAGTAATGGGGGTCCCTCAAGATCACTTAGGAGTAGTGGGGGGGGGTCTTTGAGATCAGTTAGGAATAGTGTAGCATCTTCAAAATCAGTGAGCAGTGGTGGGTGTCCTCAAGATTATTAGTGGGGGTAGCCTGAGATCAGTTGGGAGTGGTGGTTCTGCAGGCTTCCTGGAGAGAGATGTGGCAGCTTAGACCAGTGGGTGCAGATGGGAAGAGAGGCCTGGCTTGGAGACCTGGTCTTTGTGGGTTTGGGTGGATTGAATGTGGAGAGGTAGAGGGTGATGTGGAGGATAGGGCCATGGTCTCTGGCTTGGTCCCTGGATGATGGCAGTGCTAGTGGTTGAGGTAGAGATGACTAACCTTTAGCCTCTGCTAAATAAATTTTTGTAGACCAAAAGTTGTTATTGTTTGTTTTTAAATGTTGCTGAAGTCCAATTTATTACTTTTAACGTACTTTTAAAAAAAGTGACTAGCGTCACATCTAAGACCTTTTCATGTAGTGCTAGGTACAAAACATATTCTCCTACAATTTCTTCTAAACTTTTGTAGTTTTGCATTTTATGTAAAGCTGTGATCCATTTTTGATTATTTTTTATAAGACATGATATTTAGATCAAAGTTCACTTTTTTGCTTATGGATGTGCAATTGCTCCAGCACTGTTTTTGGAAAGGTGATTCTTCCATTGAATTGCTTTTTCTACTTTGTCAAGTATCAGTTGGCTGTACTTGTATGGATCTATTTATGTTGTTTAATTCTGTTCCATTGATCTATGTGTCTGTTCCTCTACCAATACTACACTGTCTTGATTACTATAGTTACTTAATAAGCCTTAAAATCAGGTATAATGATTTGTCTCATTTAATTCCTCTTTTTCAAAGTTATTTTAGCTATTCCAACTTCTTTGCCTTTCCATAAATATTTTAGATTAAGCTTGTCCATATTTACAAAAACACCTTGCTGGGATTTTGATAAGAATTTGGAAATAATTGACATCTTTATTATGTTGAGTCATCTAATCTATGAATATGGTATGTTTCTCCATTCATTTATTCTTCTATATCTTTCATCATTGCTTTGTGACTTTCAATATACAAGTCCAATACATGTTTTGTTCCATTTATACCTAAACATTGTATTTTATTTTATTTATTTTTTTTTGAGATGGAGTCTTGCTCTGTCACCCAGGCTGGAGTGCAGTGGCACAATCTTGCCCCACTGCAACCTCTGCCTCCTGGGTTCAAGCGATTCTCCTGCCTCAGCCTCCTGAGTAGCTGGGATTACAGGCACACACCACCACACCTGGCTAATTTTTTTTTTTTTTTTTTTTTTTTGTATTTTTAGTAGAGATGGGGTTTCACCATGTTGGCCAGGCTGGTCTCGAACTCTTGACCTCATGATCCACCCACCTCAGCCTCCCAAAGTGCTGAGATTACAGGTGTGAGCCACTGCACCTGGCCCAGCATTTTATTTTGAGTGATCATGAATCATATTGTTTTAATTTGTTTCATATGGGCATTGCTAGTATATAGAAACACAATTTATTTTGTATGTTTATGTTGTATCTTGTGACCTTGCTGAATTTGTCTAGTACTAGAAGATTTTCTGTAGATTCCTTATTATTTTCTATGTAGACTATGTTATCTGTAAATAGCGATAGCTTTATTTCTTCTTTATGAATCATTATGTGTTTCATTTCCTTCTTGGGCCTTATTGCATGGGCTAGAACTTCTAGTACTATGTGGAATAGCAATGGTGAGAATGGACATTCTTTTCTGTTTTCTGACCATAAGGAAAAAGCATCCAGTCTTTGTGCATTCATTATGATATAGCTATCTGTTTTTTATAGATGGCCTTGATCAGTTTGAGAAAGTTCTTTTCTAGTTTGCTGAGTGTTTTTATATCATGCACATATGTTGGATCTGCCAAATGCTTTTTCTGAGACAGTTGATATGATCTGGTGGTTTTTAGATTTAGCCTGTTAATATTGTGGATTATATGGCTTGATTTTTAAAAATATCAAACTAGCCTTGCATCCCTGGAATCAAGCCTACTTGGTCATGGTACGTAATTCTTTTTACATATTGCTAGATTCTAGTGGCTAATATTTTGTGGAGGTTTGTTGTGTCTGTCTTCATGAGGCATCTTGGTACTCTTTCTGTACTCTCTTTGGTATCTTAAAATGAGCCTCATACAATTAGTTGGGAAAATATTATCCTTAGCAAGGATTTCTGAGAAAGGAATTTTGAGTTAAATTCCATACTGTAAATTTTGTTTAGATCTTCTGAATCTAAAGTGATATAAGTTCATGAAAAGTGCAAAGAGAGTAAAAAAGGAGAGTACTTCAGAAGAACTGAAAAGTGATTAAGTTATACAAGTACCCTTTTTTTAGATTCTAAAATGGCCTGCCCTGGGGATAATTGTGAAAGACTACTTCTGCACCACAATTCTGCATTAGAGAGAGCATTTTAAAATGTTACCACCGAACATCACTTTTGGAGTTTGCTTGAAAATGTGTCTTGAATCAGAGGCGAATTATGAAACAGTGCTGTGTTTCGGAAAAAAAGTTTTGGTTTCTCGGTGGTGTTATCACAGGGGATATGCTTTAAATATTGAGTTAGTCTCCTCAACTTGTGTATATACAGGTTGAGCACCCCTAATCCAAAGATCTGAAATCTGAAATGTTCCAAAATCCAAAACTTTTTGAATGCTGACATGATACTCAAAGGAAATGCTCATTGGGGGTATTTTGGATTTCAGATTTTCAGATTAGGGATCCTCATCTAGTAAGTATACTGCAAATATTCCCAAATCCCAGACACCTCTTGTCCCAAGCATTTTGCCATTTTGGATAAGGGATACTCAACCCATGTGTGTGTGTCTGTGTGTGTATGTTTACATATGTGTATGTGTGTATGCATACATGTGTATGTGTATACAGATATATGTATGTGTGTATGTATATATATGTGTGTACATGTATATACCTATGTATTTGTATGTGGGTATATATGTGTATGTGTGTTTGTATGTATGTGTATGTGTGTATATGTGTGTGTGCGTATGTGAAATATCTATATTTAGGTCCAAACAATAGGGCAGTTTGGAGAACAAAGTGGAATATATAATTTTGAAAGGGAATAAAACAGCATACTTGCATTTCTTGTCAATGAAGACCAACCCTGGCTGCCTTGTACTTATTATTTGCGGTGAAAAATCAGTGGGGATTTGCTGCACATGGCCTCACCATTCTCTATGGTGCCCAGCTGAAAGATGGTTTTTGGAAGGTCAAACAAGTTTGTGCTTCTTTTAGTTGCCAGCTGGAAGATGATAATAATACGGGATGCCTAGTTAAATTTGAATTTCAGATGAATAATGAATAATGGTTTAACATATGCTTGAGTCAAATATTACATGGGACATGGTTATACTAAAATATTCGTTGTTCATCTGAAGTTCAAGATGAATTGGACATCCTGTTTTATCTGGTAAACCTAGCTTTTCTCCATATTTTTTCTGTGTTTGAACCTTGTTCACTTTCATCCAAGGTAAAAGCAAAATAAGTTACAGGGAGAGCGTCAAAATCTGTAGCAATAGACTGAGACAGTCATCTTTTCCTGGCAGATGAACAGGCTGGCAGACCTTGTGTAATATGTATTTAATTTTTTCCACTGGTGCTTGTGGCAAGATGTTTAGCCCTGGGCTGGGGGATGGGGTGTTACACCCCTCCCCATAATAGTTTGTGTCCTGCACCATCGTTGCTCACTCACACTTACTCTTCACAGTGATCTCACTTCATTTGTCTTGCCAGCATCTAATTATTCAGAAAGATTCTTACTCATCCACACATCTGCACCTCAGTCCTATTTGCAATTACCCTTTTAGGATGCTGCCTGAATTAGTAGTGTTCATACACTGCAGATAACCACTTTTACATACTTCCTGGGTCAGATATAGAAGCAGACACAGCGTTTATCTATTGCATGCTTTACTTAAGTTGTCAACCATCATAAGCATTGTCTTGAGTCATGTATAGTGCTTGGATTCGACAATTGGCCTAAAGAATACATACATAATAGAACTTCTCTGTCAACACCTTGAGACACCAGATCCAGCAAGAGGCAGCTCCTGGAATATTTTACAAATTACATCTGAAATCTGTACCATCCATTAAACTGGCTTATGTGGCTAGAATAGGAGAGAAGAAATAAAATGTTCACTAATATTTTTACTCCCATTAAAAATGTCTAATGTTAAGAAAACTTTAAATAAACATGATTGATTAATTTAAAGACAAAACAAAACAAAACAAAACCATATACCAGCAAGACGAAGACTGACTGGGGAAAGAGCTGTTGGCGGTCATCCTGCCATCTCTCTTTACAGCAACACTGGTCCCTGGAGCTTCCTGTTCTGTTCCTTTCTGCTTTGTTCTGTTCCAGGCAGTTGGCAGAATTGCACCGTGAACTCCAACCTTGTTGCTATGAATGTATTCTTTTATCTGTTTGATTTGTTTCAACCCAGAGGAAGGAAATGCCTGTGACTCTTGTTAGCACTTTTGGCTGGTTTTAGGGCACCTGAGGCCATTCAAATTATGACTCTGCCCAAAGCAAAAGCTAAAGAATATTACTCTTTTCAGGACAGATGTCCTTAATGTAAAGTTAGAAAAAACATCATAGGAAGCTTTACAGCAGCTAAACTGAAGGCCCTCCACGGCCTCCCTGTTTCATTAGAAAGGCTCTGAAGAATGTGGGCTCTGCACAGAGATGAGTAGGGGAGGACCCCCCAAAAAGCAGAGCGGGGCCTCCAGGGCCATCTTCTCTATGGCTTGTGAAAACTGAGCCCAGTATTCCCAAGTTTATGATGGATTCTCAGATTTCTACCATTTTCAGCTAAATTCACTTACAAGAAAGTTTAAAATCTTGTTTGTAATGATCTATTCACTCAAAATACTGAAGTGAGGAATTCGATAACTGCTAATATCTGGAATTCTAAGATATTTAAATCTAGCCTGGTTCTAAAAGAGTGTCAATAAATAGTAACTACAACACTTTTATATTGACTTAAATACATTTTATTGGTTAAACTGCATAAATACATATTTGCTAAGCATTGGTCTTTCAGTGGTCAGAATGGATATTTTCCTACAATTTTGATGCAATAGGAAGCAAATAAATACCACTTGCTGCAAGGCTATTGCCATTCGTGAGAATGTTTCTGCAGCCCTCAAGCCTGGATACAGATTTTATAAATGGAAATGGTTTATTTGGTAAATATTCTCTGCTTCTTACCTTCTGCATTGGAGCATAAAGAAATCTGTTTAGTTTCTAATAACCAGAAATTATACACATGCTTGCATCAAATGTGTATTGGCCAAACCTCGTGGGCAAATGTGTAGGGAGATCACTTGAGTTGGGCATTTTGAGGAGAAAGAGCCTCCACTGCCATCCCTGGGCATTCTCTGCCTCAATTCTCAGCTGTGGAGCTCAGCCCTCTGCTGGGAAATCATCTTGGAAATAAAGGCCTCTTCATTTTTTCTCTGGGAAAGGAGCATAGGCTTGTATCCTCTTTTAAAAAGGATCAAGAACATCACTGCACACCCATTAGGATGGCCACTATCAAAAATAAAAACAGAAAATAAGTGCTGGTAAGGAATTGGGGAAGTTGGAGCCCTTGCTCACTGTTGATAGGAATGGTGGTTCCCCAAAATATTAAACATAAAATTACCGTAGGATCCAGCAGTCCCACTTTTGGGTGTATGTCCAAAAGAATTGAACATGAAGACTTGGACAGAAATCTGTACATCCGTGTTTATAGCAGCAGTAGCAAAAAGGTGGGAGCAACCCAAGTGACCCTCAATCTATGAATGGATAAGCAAAATCTGGCATATTCATACAATGGAATATTATTCAGCCTTTGTAAGAAAGCAAATTCTGACATATGCTACAACATGCATGAACCTCAAGGACATTATGCTAAGTGAAATAAGCCAGTCACAAAAAACACATACTAAATGATTCCACTTACATGAGGTACCTAGAGTCGTCAAATTCATAGAGACAGAAAGTACAATTGTGGGCGACGAGGGATGAGGGGGGTAATGTGGAGCTGTTGTTTAATGGGGACAGAGTTTCCGTTTTACAAGATGAAAACAGTTCTGTTGATGGTTGTACAACAGTGTGAATATACTTAATGCCTTAGAAGTGTACACTTAAAAATGTTGCAGATGGTAAATTTTATGTTATGTATAATATACCACTATTTTTTTTTAAAGTATCAATGATTTGTGTCTGTCTGGAGATGGAAAGACCACTCATTCCTTCCTGTGCCCGTGTAAATGTTTCTGTATTGTGATGTAGTGTTGTGATGGGCCTGTGCTCTCCCTGTCACATGACACTCTTGAGCACATGAGGTTCCCTTTCAGGTTGCCATGCCAAGAACCCCTGTAGGTTTTCTCTGGCTCCCCATCATCTGACATAGGTTTGGCCAAGAGAGCCCCAGCGGAGGAGGCAGGATGCCTGAGATACCTCTGGGTCAAGCTTGGAGGTAAGGGCTCCCTGCAACACTGGCCCAGGTTCTCAACCTACCAGCCCAACTTTTTCTTTTTCTTTTGAGGTAAAATGAAATGCACAAATGAGATGAGCCGTGACAAATCCATACACCTGTGTAATCCAAGTCCATATCAAGATACAGAACACTCACATTCACATCATACCAGAAATCTCCCTCATGCCCTGCCCCAGCCCTTCCGCCAGGCAACCTGTCTGATTTCTCCATCACAGATTAATTTTGCCTATTCTAGAACTTCACATGAAAGGGATCCACAATGGGCAGTCATTGCTCGGCGGAACGCCCCTGTGATCCATCTGTGCCGCTGCTTTATCAGTGTCCTGCTCCTTTTCGTCACTGTCTGCATTCCATTGCCTCACCGTGCCAGGGGTTGCTTGGCTACTTTCCTGTGGCTAGAATCCTGGGCTCTTCCCAGTTTGGAGCTTGTTGGAATAAGGCTACTGTGAACGTTCTTGTACAAGGCTTTCTGTGAACGGATTCTTTAGTTTCTCTTGGGTTAATGCCTAGGAATGGTATCGGGTCACAGAGAAGTTTACAAAACTGTTTTCTTCTCCTGCCCACAAGGTCTGAGGGTTCTGGGCACTGGGCGTCCTCACCAGCATTTGGCACTGGCAGCCTGCTTTCTTAGGGCATTGGCGTGGGTGAGTAGTGGGTTTCATCGCAGTTCTCATTTGCATTTCCCTGTTATCTGACGATGCTGAAGACATTGATTGATCATTCACATACTCTTCATTTGCGAACTACCTATTCATCTCTTTTACTGATTTTTACTAGGTTTGTTGTACTTGTTGACTTGCAGCTAGTTTTTTGGGGAAGTAAAATTTTAAAATTTTTACGAAGTCTGATTTATTATTTTTTTATTTGTGGTTGTTGTTTCTGTGTCCTAAGAAACTTTTGCCTATGCTAAGGCATGAAGATATTCTGTTTTCTTTATTAAAGCTTTATAGTTTAGCTTTTACATTGAGCATTGTGATTCATCTCTAATTTTTGTGTATAGTGTGAGGTAGGGATTCAAGTTTCTTTTTTCTATGTGGATACCCAAATTTTTCAGCATCATTTGTTGAAAAGACCATCCTATCCATGACGAATTATAGTGGTGCCTTTGTCAAAAATCAAATGGTCATGTAAGTGAGGGTCTATTTCTGGGCCCTTTATTCTGTTCCATTGTTGGTCCTGCTATTACCACACTGCCTTGATTACCATGCCCTTGTACTAACATCCCAAACTTCTATCCCATGTTCTCAGCTGTGCTCCAATGTGATTGAGTTTGTAATATTAACCTGTTGGCTCACACTCACTTTCCTTGTGCATAACATGGCAACGATGTCACTGAGTGATGGTGATGACTAAGAAAATTCTGACAATGACATCAGGCACAGCATACACATAGGACATCTTCAGTAAATGTGTCTCTTCATACTGGATTCTGGAAACTGAGCTCACATCTTTGTGTACTATCACCACATCATTGTGGTATAAGTGGGAGGTCAGTTCAGGAACAACAGGGTGAAACAATTTTAATTAAGATCTTTCATTCTGTAGCAGAGAAAAAAGATGTAGCTCCAATTGCTTAGTTCCAGTGTTGACCTTGGCCATTTTATTTTGCAGCATTCTCTAATCTTTCAAAATTGACGAGTCTGAGCCTCACTTCTGTCATATGTAAAATGAAGACAGTACCCCTCAAGGTCATTGTCAGACACAGATCCATTCAGGCATGTGAAAGCACTTTGTAGGACCTAAAACATTGTAACATCCTGAAATGCTGTCTTGACCTTTCTCTCTCCATTGGTATTGCAGATATTCAGAGGGAAGGACAGATGTTTCATTTCCATTTTTTGTGTCTGACTCAGATATGAGGTCTCACTTCATTGATTTGGTATTGATTTGGCATTGATGAACAGAACGTTTAAAATCATTGACTAAGAGTGTTTACAGACTTAAAGAGCCAGCTGTTGCCTTCTTGAAGGTTTTGATTTAAGGCATAAACCTGGGCAAGTTTGAACAAGAAACAGGAACTGTGGGACACAGATGCTTGGACTCGAGCAAGCAGCAGATGGTGGTGATGAGACTGTACAGCCACCAGCCTCATGCCTCTTGAGGTATGTTTGGAATGCCCCAAAGTCCCTTAACCCAGAGGAAGGGTGAATGCCCCAGACAAGGAACAGGTGGGCATGAGAAAGACAAAGAGAAGGGCAAGAAGAGGCTACCACGGCAGCAGAGATTGTCGTGTTCACTTTGAGCCCTGAGCAGTGGCTTTGAGGCTTGTTTGGAAGTGTTTCCAACTCTTAGGTTAAGTGTGTCTGGGTCTCAGGTAAAAGACTCAGGTGTAAGGAACAGCCTTTTCCTTCTCTGTGAGTCTGCTTAGATTCTGAGCTCCCATTCCACACAGCCTGTGCCAGAATCATTTTGGATGTTTTCTGTCTCCCTGGGTTGTGTTGGAGATAGGATCTTTCTTCAGAACTGAAAGGGGGAGGTCCCCAAGAGGGAATGGCCACCCTGAGGCTGGTGGGCATTGGTCCACACAGACAGGCTCTGCAGTGTCCATGCATTTACTTGCCTCGCATTACAGGTATCTGCACATGGTGAAGGTTGGGAATGTTTGACATCTTTATTGGAACAACCCAATGTCTAGTATCCTCATATCATGCCAAGATGGTCTCCACTTCCTGGAGCTTTCACCCAGTAGTGGGCAGAAGCCCATGGAACCAAGACGAAAGATGGCAGAAGCCTTCTTTCATCTTCACAGGGTGTGACTTCCAGAACAAAACCAGCATGGATGAAAGATCAAATGTGGGAGGCCTCCCTGTCTGGAACCTGTTCCTTACCATGTTGATGGTGCCAGGCCACGCTTGAGTCAGAGAATTTGTTGGAGCCACAGAAAATAATACAGTGCCTAAGCAGACCCTGTCCCAGGTCTAGTGCCACCCCTGTCCTCCAAGGAGAGGGAGGGTGTCTTCATGTCTCTAGTCTTGACCTGTGGGCGCTTCCGCTACTGCCCCATAGTTTGCTTTGCCTGCTGCCTGTGTTCACCTTTCTGTTGGTCTCTTTGGTTTTATCTGCTTCATTAGTTGACATGATCATGTACTCATTTAACAGATGTTTATGGAGCATGTACAATGGACCAGGGGCATCAAATGCAAAAGGAAATGAGCATGAGCACTTTTCTCTGCTTGGATAGAGCCAGTTCAATGCATGGACACTCAGAGGCACAGCAATGAAGAAGGGACCATGCCCTCCTCCAGTCATAGTGTACATCTTCTGGCCCCTGGCTTAGGGACCTGCCTGGGGTAAAGCGGGAGAGGGAGATGCGGGAGGCAGCTGTGACACATCCCTGCCCAGAGGACAGGGACAATAAATGCTTTGTATTAGCCAGTGCTACCCTTGAAGGCCAAAAGCTCAGGGAGATGGGTTCCCAGGACAGAAAAAAGTACAGATTGGTGATAAAATATTCCAGGCAAATTTGAATCAGAACCATACACTCTCTCACCTTATTTCACCCGTTTTCTCCATACTGTCCTTCCATGAGTAGCTGATCTCAAAGATGACTAAGGCCTGCAAAAGAACAAGCATGCAGAAAAACCTGAACATAAAAAAGAAAGAGTTTGTATAATTACTTGTCATTGACTATAGTTATCCTACTGTACAATATACTATGAGAAGAGAGGATCTTGTGTGTTCCCACCACAAAGAAATGGTAAATGTTTGATGCGTATGCTAATTACCCAGTTTAAACATTACACGATGTAAACATCTATTGAAACATTACATTGCACTCCAGAAATAAACACAGTTATGTGTCCATTAAAAGTTTTTAAAAATTAAAAAAGAAAATACTAACAAAAATGTAAAAAAAAAGACATAAGCAAATGTCTGAGGAAGAATTGAATGATTCAGTGACCAGCTCAAGAGTTCAAAAAAATAAATTTCCATACTCAAAAAGAAACTGCTGATCTCTAAAGCAGAATTTAAGCATAGGAGGAAGACTCAGAGGAGCGAGTGAGATGGAGGAAAGTAGGGCCCAAGCTGACAGAATTCAGGATGGAAAGTGGAAAAGAAAAAACCAAAATGATGCCATCACAGAGATTAACCAGGAAGCCACAAAATAGGAAGCCTCCTTGACAATGCAAACACCATGGACAGGATAGGACCACACAAAAGGAACAAAGCCTCACCATAATTTGATTTTATGTGGTTTTTTTTTTGAGATGGAATCTTGTTCTGTCACCCAGGCTGGAGTGCAGTGGTGTGACCTCGGCTCACTGCAACCTCTAACCCCCGCCCCTCCAAGTTCAAGCAATTCTCCTGCCACAGTCTCCTGAGTAGCTGGGATTATAGATTTACCCCACCATGCCCAGCCAATTTTTGTATTTTTAGTAGAGACAGGATTTTACCACGTTGGCCAGGCTGGTCCCAAACTCCTCGCCTCAAGTGATCCACCCATCTCAGCCTCCCAAAGTGCTGGGATTACAGGCATGAGCCGTCATACCTGGCCTGATTTTCTAACAAAGAGTTTTAGAAAAGAAGGAGAACATTAAAGTATACAATAAAAAGAAAACTGTGTAAATATACAGGCCAGACTTGGCTCTGTCATTCAAAAGGAACAATTGCATTTTGGTAAATGATACAGTTTAGCTCTGTGTCCCCACCCAAATCTCATCTTGAATCATACTCCCATAATTCCCACGTGTTGTGGGAGGGACCTGGTGGGAGATAATTGAATCATGGGGTGGTTTCCCTCATACTGTTCACATGGTAGTGAATACGTCTCACAAAATCTGATGGGTTTATCCAGGGTTTCTGCTTTTGCGTCTTCGTCATTCTCTCTTTGCCTCCTGCCATCCATGTAAGACCAGACTTGCTCCTCCCTGCCTTCTGCCATGATTGTGAGGCTTCCCCAGCCACATGGAACTGTAAGTCACATTAAACTTCTTTCTTTTGTAAACTGCCCAGTCTCAGTTATGTCTTTATCAGCAGTGTGAAAACGGACTAATACAGTAAATTGGTACCAGTAGAGTGGGATGTTGCTGAAAAGATACGTGAAAATGTGAAAGCAACTTTGGAACTGGGTAACAGGCAGGGGTTGGAACAGTTTGGAGGGCTCCGAAGAAGACAGGAAAATGTGGGGAAGTTTGGAACCTCCTAGAGACTTGTTGAATGGCTTTGCCCAAAACGCTGATAGTGATATGGACAATAAGGTCCAGGCTGAGGTTGTCTCAGATGGAGATAAGGAACTTGTTGAGAACTGAAGCAAAGATGACTTGTTATGTTTTAGCGTAGAGACCAGCAGCATTTTGCCCCAGCCCTAGAGATCTGTGGAACCTTGAATTTGAGAGAGATGATTTAGGGTACTTGGTGGAAGAAGTTTCTAAGCAGCAAAGCATTCAAGCGGTGAATTAGATGCTGTTAAAAGCATTCAGTTTTAAAAGGGAAACAGCTTAAAAGTTTGAAAAATTTGCAGCCTGACAGTGTGATAGAAAAGAAAATCCTATTTTCCTAGGAGAAATTCAAGCCAGCTGCAGAAATTTGCATAAGTAATGAGGAACCAAATGTTAATCCCCAAGACAATGGGGAAAATGTTTCCAGGGCATGTCAGATGTCTTCACATCAGCCCCTCCTATCACAGGCCTGGAGGCCAAGGGAAAAAAAGTGGTTTCGTGGGCTGGGCCCAGGGTGCCCAAGCTGTGTCCAGCCTAGCGACTTGGTGCCCTGTGTCCCAGCTGCTCCAGCCATGGTTGAAAGGGGCCAACGCAGAGCTCTGCTGTGGCTTCAGATGGTGCAAGCCCCAAGCTTTGGCAATATCCATGTGGTGCTGAGTCTGTGGGTACACAGAAATTATTAATTGAGGTTTGAGAACCTCCACCTAGATTTCAAAAGATGTATGGAAATGCCTGGATGCCCAGACAGAAGTTTGCTGCAGGGGCAGGGCTGTCATGGAGAACTTCTGCTAGGGCAGTGCATAGGGAAATGTGGGGTCGGAGCCCCACACAGAGTCCTTACTGGGGCACTGCCTAGTGGAGCTGTGAGAAGAGAGCCACCATCTTCCAGACCCCAGAATGGTAGATCCACTGACAGCTTGTACTATGGGCCTGGAGAAACCACAGACACCAAATGCCAGCCCAAAAAGCAGCTGGGAGGGAGGCTGTACCCTGCAAAGCCACAGGGGCGGAGCTGCCCAAGACCATGGGAACCCCCCTCTAGCATCATCATAACCTGGATTTGAGACATGGAGTCAAAGGAGATCATTTTGGAGCTTTAAGATTTGACTGCCCCAATGGATTTTGGACTCGCATGGGGCCTGTAGCCCCTTTGTTTTGGCCAATGTCTCACCTTTGGAACAGTAGTATTTACCCAATGTCTGTACCCCCATTGTATCTAGGAAATAAGTAGCTTGCTTTTGATTTTACAGGCTAATAGGTGGAAGGGACTTGGCTTGTTTCAGATGAGACTTTGGATTGTGGACTTTTGAGTTAATGCTGAAATGAGTTAAGACTTTGGGGGACTGTTGGGAAGGCATGATTGGTTTTGAAATGTGAGGATATGAGATTTGGCAGGGCCCAGGGGTGGAATGATATGGTTTGGCTCTGTGTCCCCACCCAAATCTCATCTTGAATTGTACTCCCAGAATTCCTACATGTTGTGGGAGGGACCCAGTGGGAGATAACTGAATCCTGGGGGCAGTTTCCCCCATACTGTTCTCATGGTAGTGAATAAGTCTTATAAGATCTGATGGTTTTATCAGGGGTTTCCACTTTTGCATCTTTCTTATTCTTTCCTTGCCTGCTTCCATCCATGTAAGATGTGACTTGCTCCTCTTTGCCTTCCGCCATGATAATGGGGCTTCCCCAGCCACATGGAACTGCAAGTCCAATTAAACCTCTTTCTTTTGTAAATTGCGCAGTCTCAGGTATGTCTTTATCAGCAGTGTGAAAATGGACTAATAAAGTAAGCATTAAAAAGACTGAACAAGACTGACTGACATCCTGGTGAATTTCTCGATTTCCATGGTGATTCTTACCTGGCACAAAAGCAGAAAAGGTTAGGAACATAGGTAGGTAGAATCACACTGGGTCAGCGTCTGTCAAGCAACACTTTCTGAAAGATACTGGTTTCTGAGAAATTCTGAGTGGAACAATGGGGCCCTCAGTGATTTCCTATTTAGCCAAATTGTCCCAAGTATAAAGACAAAGATAATAGATTTTTTTCAAGCCTGCCATAAATCAGAGAGCTTAGCTGCTATGAGCTCTTTTGAATAAGGGTTTTGAATAAAACTATTGAATATCAAAATCCAGCCAAAATAGAAGTGAATAAAAGTACAGAGCTTAGTATAAATGGGTGGCAAACCTTGGATATGTATAAACATAAAAATAAGACAGGCCATCTGCATGAATTACAGTGAAAGTATGTGATGTAAATGATGTAAACCTTGCAAATAGTATTATAACTTAGGAGAGTCTTTGGCTGGGTGAAGGGAGCGGATGTGTGAATATCTAATGGCTTCATCTTTCTTAGCAAAACAGTTGACGATCACTATGTCGAAGAGGCTATTTTAAAAAATGAGGGTGATAACTTCAAGACTTTTCATAATGTTTTTGTTATCTTTAGAACAATCATTTAGGAAGACATTTCTTACAGTAAAGAGGCATTTCTCTGAAATTTAGCAGCTCTTTCTGTTTGGCTGTCTTGTCTTTCCTTTCCTTTCATTATCTTTGTAGTGAAAAATATGACTTGCCGAATGCTCAGTGTGTTGTGGGCATGGAGGATACCTGGTGAGCTGGCATTCATGCATGGAGCATCCTTGCAAAGCGGCAGGTGTTGCTATGGTAATAAAACAGGTGAAGTGATGGAGGGTCGGGGGTGAGATGTGGCTCAGGAAGGCCTCTCTGAGGAGTGCTTGGATAAGACCCAGATGCTGAGCTGGAGCCAGCCTGGCATAAGGAGCAGGCTTCAGTGTCCTGAGCATGAAGGAGTCTGTTCCAGAAACTGAACAAAGGCCTTGGTTCAGTGTCCCTGCTTTGCTGGTGCTCTAACAGGTGATCTGCCTAGTGGCTAGTGCTGCCCCTACTATGCTCTTCATGCCTTGGACTGTGTCTTCGTCTTTTCGCCTACCTAACCAGCCTGTAAGATTGTCTGGAAGATGTTCAATGAATGTATAAAGATGCATTATGAATGAAATAACCCATGAATGAATGGATTCTTTCAGGGTGTCAGGTTAATGACATATGACAGTTTATGCCATGAACTGTTTCTTATTTTTAAGTTTGACATTGTTGAAGTAGACCTCCTTTTGGAAACACAATGAAATCCAAATTTTCCAGCATGGGATTTAGGCTGCTGCTGAGGGCTCGTGACCAGGCAGTTCTAGTTTGATATTCTGGCGTCCTCCTGTGAACCACATGAATTTCTCTTCTGAGTTTTAGGTTCTAAGGTACACGTGCAATCAGAGAAATGAAGTTCACAGCCAAGATCCTTGTCTATATTTGCTTGAGAAGAAAATAATTTGAGATATTTTACGTCAGGTAGGTTCAGGAGGCGTGTCCTTTGAAAACCTTGAGTGTAATGATTTTGCTAACTTTACGCTTACCTATTCTTTGCTGTAAGGATATTTATGTAACAGATATGGCGACTCTCAAAAACAGGATAATGAGTAATTTTAGCTCTTTTAAAATAAATGTATCCTCTTTGTTGGCAGAGATTGCTTGGTGTGGGAGTCTGCATTTTGACAATCAAATACATAAGTTAGCTATTTTGTTTAAGCAGCTGTGATTTACTGGCTAACATGTGGAATGCTCCCTCTTAAGGCCACACCCCTGGGGATGGAGCAAAGACACTCATCCTCCTCCCTCGAAGCCCAGCTTAATAAGATTGGTGGGAGGTCGCTGATGCTCCTACCTGCCTGGTGAATTTCTCGATTTCTGCTGGGGGTGCAGGCCTGAGTTTGAATCACAGTCCCTCCACAGCACCGGCTTTGTGTGCGAAAGAGGTGTCCTGGGGAGACATCGAGGAGCAGAGCTTTATGTGTATGGTATTTTTTGTCTTTGAAACACAGGCTGCAGAGAGGCTGACAAAGTTTTCAGCATGTAGCTGGAACATCCTTTGAACATTATTCTCCAACCCCTTGAAATGCATGCCCCACAGGCCAAATTTTTTTTGCCCCATTTTACTCTCTGTAGTTTTTACATGGAACCATACGTCTTGTAGGTTTTATTCTGAGAATTTATAAAATTAAGAGTGTCTTTTTAAGTAGTTATTGTCTATGGAGATCTTAGAGTCCTCCGTTAGGGTACGCAGCCTTCCCCTCCACTTTGAGGTCAAGTCTATACAAAGATATTTCCAGAAATGTGTGTTACAGTGCATTTCCCAAGTGATTTGCCCTCTTGGTCCTGAGGGGTCTGCCTGGATTAGAGATGAAGTCTCTTCAGGCTCTACAATTGCTGATCTCTCTTATGTAAGAAAGTCCCGGCAACTGACACTTGCAGTGTGCTATTTAAAGAAAGTTTTCTGTGAATCTCTTTGCAAGTGAAGAGAAGCTTGTCTGGTTATTTGTGATGTTTCTTCTCTGCCCACAAAGAGGCAGGGTGGCCAGGCTGGGGGTGCAGGCTGGGGAATCACAGTCCCTCCACAGCACCTGCTTTGTTGACTGGACCTTCTTGGAACCTGTTTTCTCATCTGTAAACTAGGTACGCTGGTCGAATTTCTTGTTTTCTTTGTTGCTTCTTTGTCTGTTTCCTAATAAATAACAGAAACTGGAGGGAGCTAGGGTGCGGGGTCCGTGATGCCCAAGGGTTCCCAGTCAGGTGCAGCTGGGTCTAGGGTATGCCTGCCCCCAGAGAGCAGCGCTTTGGGAAGCCCATGCCTGTGTCTGCCTACATGGCTCCGTTTCTCACTATGCCATTTTCTGTCTCCCTACTGAGTTCCTCATACACATGGGAGCAGATGACCACCAGTAGCTGCCTCACTTCAGAGAGCTACCACTGTACGATACCAAAAGACCAGGAACAAGAGAAGAAATAAATATATTAGATCACATCAAAAGTAAAAACTTCTATGCTGCAAATACTACCTTTAAGGAAGCAAAAAGACAGTCCATAGAATGGGAGAAAATATTTGTAAATCATGTCTGATAAGGAACTCATATCCAGAATATATAAAGAACTCTTAGAACCCAATAATAAAAAGACAGCTCAATAACGAATAGAAAAGACACTTGACCAGACCTTTCTCCAAAGTTGATATACAAATGGCCAGTAAACACATGAAAGGATAGTCAACATCATCAGTCATTACAACACAAAAACCAAAAGCAGAATGAGACAGCACTTTACATCCACTAGGATGTGTAGAATCAAAAACACAGACAAGTGTTGACAAGGAGGTAGAGAAATTGGAACTATCAAATGTATGTTTCTGGTGGGAATATAAAATGATACAGCTCTTTGAGAAATAGTTTGGTAGTTGCTCAAAAAATTAAACATAGAATTTCCATATGACCCAGTAATTCCACTTCTAGGGAAGAGAAATGAAAACATGTTCACACAAAAACTTGTACATGAGTGTTTATTATCATTATTTATAATAACCAAAACTAGAACCAATCCAAGGCCCATCAACTGATGAATGGTTAAATAAAATGTAATATACAATGGCATATTGTATATTGTGTTATTATTCAGCAACATAAAGAAATGAAAAACTGGGCTGGGCTCAGTGGCTCACGCCTGTAATCTCAGCACTTTGGGAGGCCGAGGCAGACAGATCATGAGGTCAGGAGATTGAGACCATCATGGCCAACATGGTGAAACCGCATCTCTACTAAAAAAAAAAAAAAAAAAAAAAGGTACCTGGGCGTGGTGGCACACGCCTGTAGTCCCAGCTACTCGGGAGGCTGAAGCAGGAGAATCGCTTGAACCCGGGAGGTGGAGGTTGCAGTGAGCTGAGATTGCGCCACTGCACTCCAGCCTGGTGACAGAGCAAGACTCCGTCTCAAAAAAAAAAAAAAAAAAAAAGAAATGAAAAACTGATTTATGCCACAACGATTGACCCTGGAAAATATGTTACGCAAAAGGAGCCAGTCACAAAAGACCCCATATTATATGATTGCATTTATATAATGCCCAGAATAGGCAAACCAATAGAGACAGAAAGTAGTCTCGTGGTTGCCTAGGGCTGGGGGCCTCGGAGGGAATGGTAAGTGACGGCTGGTGGGTGCAGGGTTTCTTTCAGGGTGATGAAAATGCTCTAGAATTAGATTGTGCCGATGGTTGCACAACTCTGTGAATATACTAAAAACCATTGAACTGTGCACATTAAATGGGTGAATTCTATGGTAAGTGAATTATATCTTAATAAAGCTGGTCAAAAAATGAAAATTTACAAATTGAAAAAATAAAAAGAATCTTTCAGCCCTGATTTCAAATTCCTGGAGAAGTACTCTGGTCTAGCTTGTGGGCAGCCAACCACTGGATCCAGTGTTGGGACCTGTTATAAGAGCACAGCTACCAGAAAATGGTGGGGCCAGTTTTCTATGAAGCAGGCAGGCAGAGAGAGCAATAGGTATCCATGCATGAGGATAGCAATAGTGTCTTGTTACTAGGATTAAAATAAATAAATGCATGGGAAGCATTTAGTACTGTGCCTGACACACTGTATATGTTGACCATAACGATTGCATCAATGTCAGTTTACATGGGGAAGAATCGTGCGATATCTCGTAGAAAATATAGCTCAAAAAATAGTCAAGTGATGATCTCAACCTAAAGGAACCTGAAGAGAAGTGCCAGGATAAAACGGGATTTAACTCTGACTTTATTACTTGAAACTTTGAAGGCAAATGGTGTGTGGGTGATTGTTTAAGTGGGATACATCTATACCTTATATTTTTAAATGTATAGACTTGAAGTCATCTTATAGACAGTCTCAGTTACTTTTCAGTAGTAATTTATATGCTCCATTGCCTGCTTGCAAGATAATTTACTGATTTCTGTGTTTTGCTATTATTAGCTTTCCATTGTTGCTTCCTGTGATATGAAGTATTAAGTGGTTGCCAGCAGAAGCAAATAATAAGAATGTTTAAGGATGGAGTGGGGCAGGAGTGGACTTTCTTTAATCAGCCTTTGCATCTGACACTCAGCATGTGAGTTGTATTCAACTTCTTAGTTGCCATGTGAATGATAACCATTTCACAGTGTGGAGGTGAGGGACTAGATATTTAAAATGCCTGTATACCTACTCCATAATCACAAAACCATAAATACTGTCATTATAATTTTGATAATTACATATATCGAATATATTTGATATTACGTATAAAAATAACATATATACTGATACATTATATATGACATAATATATAACGACTTGTTACATGTTACTTATATGTTATATATAATGTAGTATATTTAGTTTATGTTACCTGTATAATATATAAGTATGTATATGTAAGTATATAAGCATATATGTTTGTATAAAAATGAAGTGGTTTTGAATTATACACATATGATTACGTTAGAAAAAAACAGACTACACAGATAGACAAAATAAAATACATTGGAATTTCAAAATTCCATATTCCCAAACAACCAATACTGGTATCTGTCCTTCCAGATTTTATTTATTTAGCTCTACAAATATATAGATCACACTAGTCATATTCTTTTCTCTCTGAATATTTACTAAACATCCATGTGCATTAATAAATGCAGGTCTACATTTTTTTACTTTTTGGTTTTTAGATAATTTTAGACTTACAGAAGAGTTGCAGAAAGCATGCTTACTTTCCTCTCTCTAGCACCCAACTTATTTGCAGCCTTCTTGAGCTCATCAGGCTTCCCCAAAAGTGTCATATTCTTAGTTTTTAGGTTATACTTTTCCCCCTAAGCCATTTATCCAACAAAAAGAAATTACTGGGCCTTTATTCCATTTGTGATTTATAACAGCAATTCAAGGGTTCTGCCCTTCATTAGCTCCTTGCTTTTAAAATGTGGTTTTCTAGCTCAGAGTCCATCCTTAATCTCTTATTATTTGGAGAAGAGAAGCTGTTTCATCTTCCAGCCTGATAAATCTCTACATGCATGGACCACTCCATTCATTTCTGCTTACAAACTGGCCAGTTCTTTTCTGAGCTCATCTCTTTCTTGTATCACCTTGCCAAACCCAGCCGTCAGTGTCCCTCTGTCCCACAGGACTGACCTTTTGTCCTCCACTTATTCTCATCAAGTAGAGGACCTGCCCTGAAAGATGCTTGTAGGAAGTAGTTTTACCAAACTCTCCACCCATCCCATGATACCAGGACTACATAAATTATTTTTAAATTTTTTACAGCAGCAGACCACTAGCAGATGCTCATTTCTGTATCAATCACCATGAGTTCTGTAATGCTTCAGTAATAAACAGCTTCAGAATCTCCGTGGTTTAGAAAAGCTTATGTCTTACTACCATCCGTTGTCCATCCCCAGTCAGCAGGGGCTGTCACACTGCAGGTCCAAAGAGCAGCCACTGCACAGTGGCTGATGGAGATAGGAGTGTGGGAGGTCAGGCCGTGGCTCTCAGGCTTCCACCTGGAAGAGGCACATCACCTCTCTGCCCACTCTTTATCAGTCAAAGCCAGGCCCATGGTCTCACCCCTCAAAGACAGGGAGGCCGCTGTCTCCCTTCACCTGGAAGCAGGGAAGCCAGACACACTTGGTTAGTAACACCTGTGACTACCATTATACCCTTTTGTTGAAAATGTTAGTGGTTTCTATTTTTTTCTCCCTATAAAGAGAGATGCAATGAACATCATCTTTTCTCTGTACCTCTTTGTTCCTGTCCTTTTATTTTTTAAAGATACAGTTAGAGACTTGGAAGGACTGTGTTAAAATGTTTGGCATCAAGGCTGTTGCTAGCATATGTGGTACCTGCCTAGTCCATCCTCACTGCTATAACAAAATCACTTAGACTGGGTAATTATAAATAATAGAAATGTATTTCTCACAGTTTGGGAGTCCGAGAAGTCCAGTTTCAAGGCACTGGCATATTCATTGTCTGATGCACCCTTGCTCTCTGCTCCATAGATGGTGCCTTGTTGCTGTTTCCTCAGTTGGGGGGAGATAGAAGGGCAAACGGGATGAACGTGACATCCTCACATGGCAGAAGAGATGGAAGAGGGAGCAGCTCTCTGACGGCTCTCTTCTAAGGGCATGAATCCCACTCAGGAGTGGGAGGCCCTCATGACTTAATCACCCACAGAGGCCTCAGCTTTTAATACCACCACCTTGAGGCTTAAGTTCTATCTACGAATGTTGGAAGGACACATACCATTAAGCTGCAGCAGTGCCTCTGTGTACAACTTGGAGAAAGGCAGGTGGGCAGCAGGTTGGTATGAATAAGGTGCTGCCCCTTTGCAGCCCAGGCCAAGGGCATGGGTGGTGGCTGGATTTCAGGCTCTGCTGGCCCTTGGCCTGAGAGGTGACACAGGACATCACCTTAGTTGTGGGCAGGACTTACCAAAAACCCAGGAAGCTTAGGTTCCCATGTAGAGTCAATCCATGCTTTCAGAAATTGCCAACATGTCCTGACTTTCGGAGCCCACAGGAGAACAAAAGCCTTGGGTTTTTCAAAGATCAGCAAAGGAAAGACCCAAAGGAGAGATACTTATTCTATAGAATTCATTCTAGTCCATAAATTATATTGAATTTCTGGATGGAGCACAACAAAACAGAAAAATGTCACTAAAAGGCACCTAATCTCCTGGTGTTTGATTTCTCGATTGCAGAAGGGCATCTCCTTCCTTAGAATGGAGTTATTTTTAATCAGTCCTGACCACAGGATGCTTCTCTAGACTTTCAGCAAGATCTCACTGATAAGCCATGAGTGATGGGGGGGGGCAAATGATCTAGGGTGGTGTAATACAAACAGGAGAAACTGGATGTGAATAACTGACTTAAATTGGATGAAAAGCATGGACAGCAATGGGAGCCACCCGGTTGAAATATTTGGACCTTTAAAACCTATCAAGCAGAGGACCCAGGGAAACGGTGCTCATAGACAGAAACTAGTTCACAGCCTCAGCATGATGGCGTGCCCAAGAGCTGCATCACTTCATTATTTTCTGCTTATTTGGGTTCTGAACATGTAATTCTGAAATTTTGTTGTAATTGTGAATTAAGTGAATTGAGGCAAGTTTTGGGGTTATTTGGTTTCTTTATTAGTTTGCCTTTCTTAATGTACCGTCACATGACAGACACCTTCTTGCGGTTCATATCCCCTCTCAAGTGCCCTTGCTGAGAACGCCCTTCCCATGGGACACGCAGGCATGAGTGCATATGAAAAACATAACACAGTTATAAATCTAATATACATAAATTAAATTCTGGCATTAATAATTTGTTTGCCAAAGGATTTACCCTAGGATTCTTTTAAGTAGTAAATGTCTCAGTGTATGTTTAACATGTGATTCTAATTTTTTTTTTTTTGAGACGGAGTCTCGCTCTGTCACCCAGGCTGGAGTGCACGATCTCAGCTCACTGCAAGCTCTGCCTCCCAGGTTCACGCCATTCTCCTGCCTCAGCCTCCTGAGTTGCTGGGACTACAGGTGCCCGCCACTGTGCCAGGCTATTTTTTTTTTTGTATTTTTAGTAGAGACGGGGTTTCACCGTGTTAGCCAGGATGGTCTCAATCTCCTGACCTCGTGATCTGCCCGCCTCAGCCTCCCAAAGTGCTGGGATTACAGGCATGAGCCACCGTGCCCAGCCATGTGATTCTAATTTTTAAAGTGATTTTTCTTAATATAGTGGGATTCGTTGTTAAGGGGAAGAAACTGACTAGTATTTTAGACAGCTTTTTCCTCCCTTTTCTGGTTTTGTGAAGAAGGAATCAAATATCTCCTTTGTTTAGTCCAGGAAGGACATGCTAGAATTGCATGTGTACCTGTGGGCCCTCTACCCAAGGTTTGATGTTACCACAGAGTGATTGGATGAAAAGCATTCCAGGGCACACTGCTTTTCATCTTCTGATATGGGCTGGAAAGAGGCCGGAGCCCTCAAAGCAGCATCCTCACCTGTGCCCAGAGCAGGCAATGCTTCACTCGTTCAGTGGTTTTTTTCCTGGAGGCCAGCAGAATCTCCTCATGCATCAGTGGCCCAAACTGGGGCATGTGCCTCCTCTGGTCGGTCACTGTTGGCTGAGGGAGGAGCATGGCGAATGGTGTAAGTCACCACCTGCTGTGCCGGCTGGGAACATGGTGGGGACCTTTCTCCCAGAACATCTGTCCTATGGGCAAAGAGAGAGAGCTGCCAATAAATGTCCTTGTGAGAGAGTGTTCCTCATCTCTGTAGAAGTTTTCTATTCATTATTGTTACCGAATGCGTACATTTATGTGTCACGACACAACTTTCAAAACAACCCCCGTGGGATTCCAATGCTATGCTTTGGGTAGGAAGATGGCCCGTGGTGGGAGAGGCCCCCCAGCCTGGCTCCATCCTGCCGCCACCACTTCATAGCCTAGCGCCCTGTTTCCGGAATGGACCCAACCATAGACCAGAGGATCTTTGCAAAGTGAACTCACACAGTTCCAGCCCCTCACGGGCTTTGGCAGAAGGCCAGTGGCAGAGAGGTCAGAAGCACTGGATGTTCAATGAACTCAGACACAAATTAGCTAAGTGACCTTGAGCTCGTTCCTTGCTGGGTAGATGTTTGTTCATCTGTAAGTCAGAATGATTGTACATCACCCCAGCCACCCTTGAGGGATGGCTGTGATGATCAGATGGGAGAACAGATGCGAATGGTCACTCACCTTTGGGACTGAGGAGTTGACAGTGGCTCTGGTTTCTGCAGCAGTGTCATTCTGCTGGGAGCCCTCTGATTCAGTGTCCACTTGGGCATGTTGCTTTCTCTGCTAAAATCAGAGGTCTGTATGTAATTGCTGCTATGGCTACAGCAGCACAAACGTCCTGGCAGGGGGTGTTTGGAGGGGAGTTTCCACATTGCATAGATTTGTGCAATTGCAGATTTAGATACAGCACCCTAGAAGGCCCTGGAAGCAGCAGAAGGGCTGGGGAGTTCTGTGTGCCTCTGTTCAGAGACAGGGAACCAATGTTGAAGAAACCCAGTTGTCTCCTTTGCAGCAAGCCTGGGATTTGAGAGTCAGGGAACATGGCAGGGACAATGTGGGAGCTTCAGGACTCTGCCCTAGGAGTTCATTCCAGCCATGGCAAGGCAGGGTATTTACTCAGAGCTGTGGTATAATGAATAGATACTTGGCCCATATTGCATAGATTCATATCTATGCAAAAAAATAACTGCCCAGTAAACATGAATAGAACTTACGCATGATTTTTAGGCTGGGCCCAGTGGCTCACACCTGTAATCCCAGCACTTTGGGAGGCTTAGGCGGATATATCACTAGAGGTCAAGAGTTCAAGACCAGCCTGGCCAACATGGTGAAACCTCATCTCTACTAAAAGTACAAAAGTTAGCCGGGTGTGGTGGTGCATGCCTGTAGTCCCAGCTACTTGAGAGACTGAAGCAGGAGAATCACTTGAACCCAGGAGGCAGAGGTTGCAGTGAGCCAAGATTGCACTGCTGCACTCCAGCCTGGGCAACAAAGCGAGACTCTGTCTCAAAAAAAAAAAAAAGAACTTACGCAAGGTTTTTGAATTCCATTTTCTTAAATGTTAAGGCTCTTGTTTATGTCTTAGTATCCCTGAATTAGGACGTGTCACATGAACAGGGCTACAGCAGGCATAGCCCTCCATGGTCATCATCAGTGCTGTTGGTGGGATTCTCAGTTCTTCAGGGCACTCGGCTGGGCTGACTCCTAGGCCTCTTGCGGCAGGGCAGGCCTAGGGGATGATTCTGCCTGGTGAATTGTGAATGGGAGTGCTGTGTGTAATTTCCAGCTGGAGTAAGTTGTTGGCACATGATCCTTTAGAGCACCCTTGCATGGCCGATGCCAGTGGTTGGGTGGTCTGCTCCATCAGCCTGAAACCCAGAAAGAGGGTTTGTGGAGCACAGCCCTTGGCTGATTATAGTGCATAATTAGCATGCGTGAGAAATAAGCTGTTGTGGGTATGAGCTACTAGGGTTTCGGCTGGTCTATTTGTTACCCCATGGTGACCTAGTCTACATGGATTGATGCTCTCACCGTTTCTTTTTTTATTTTTTCTTGCCAATTTCTTATCAGGCTGATCATGTGTCTTAGAATTAAGGCATTACAGTAATTCCTCTGGTGGTTTTCCATAATTCCCAGTTAAGGAATCTTTTCAAGCATTCTCAGGTGAACGTAAGTAGAGCCTCCTGACTGTTGTCCAGGTGTCACTGCGGAGGCAGGAATTGGGCCTGGATATTCTAGGAGATTGATATTTACAGAAACATTTTGAAAACTAGAAAGCTTTGTGAAATGCTGAAACTGGAAGTTTCCCAAGTTATGTTTCATGATGTTAAAATATCTTCCATTACAAAATAAAGGTTCTTTGACTCAATAAGCTTGAATGTTATGTACTATTTTTTTCTTAAAGATGCACAATGTCCATTAGCATGTCAAAGGCTCTGAGAAGGCCTGCAACATAGAAATTGTTTATTTCAGTGGAATCCAGTATTCTTCAAACTTATTTGACCAAAGAATGTCCTCCTTTACCCCTGACCTCCCCCACACATTTATCAGACCCAGTGTTTATGGGGAGGGTAAGACACGAATGTGGCATTTGCTGAATCTTGGAGCAGTAGAATAGTTCTTCATGTCAGAAAGCTATATGGTGTGTCATGCAGTAAATCATCGTGACCTAAGACACTTTACATAATTACTTCCTTTTCTAGTCTTTTAACCAAAATTTATTGAGTTTCTACTGTACAGAAGCCTAACAATGCTGGATGGTAGTGAGTGGAACACTCTGTGCCTGATCCATGGACCCAGGTATCAGCATCTGCATCAGCAACGGCATTGGCATGGGGAGGGCATGCGTATACCTGCACGTGCTTGGCCTGGACCATTACCTGCTGAATGGAACTCTATTAACATGAGGCTGGAGGATCTCTATTGAGCACATGCTACCAGCAATTCCCGGGCTCCCCGGCGTTTGACAGCTGCCGCATCAGGTGTCTTGCTTCTACCTTCTCTGTGTTTTGGGTTGGGTTCCGAAAGTGGCCAGGGAAGGGCCTGGCCTTGAGAATCCATCCTGAGGGAGAATAGATGATGTGGCATGACCTCATACCTGTGTGTGTGTGCGGAGCTTAGTGCCCTTAGAAATGACAGCTAAACCCTTATATTTTAGAAGATGTTTATCACTTGCATGTTAAGATCAAGGGTCCTGAGGACCAAGGGGAGACTCAGCTTGGGGTGTGTGGCTTGGACTAGCAAAGCTCCTCACATGGTGGATGGATTGAAACTTCACACTTGGCAGTTATACCATGTACTCGGGGACATTCTGAAGGGTGACACTATTTGAGACTGCAGGGAGTGGGAGCAGGGGATAGGGACACTTTATGGTATAGTTGGAGTGTTCTGTCTCTTGAATGCATTTCATTGCAGCCATTAGTAGGTGGGTTCTTGAGGTCCAGAAATAGGCATTCCATGAGGCAGGTCTTCTGGAATTCGTTCAAGCACCAAAAAGGGAGATTTGGCTCTTTTTACTGGCCCATGAAATGGCTTCAGGGCGTGCATTTTCTTGGAAGCTGCTATTAACCATCACCTGAAATTTCTCCCAAGGCTCTTTCTTCTCTCCTCCAGCAAGGACAACTGTAAATGAGGCAGAGTAATTTAAATTCTGTCCTTTTCACATTCAAATTACCTCAGGGTGGCTAATGTGGCCACCCTTGGAAGGCGTAGCTGAAGGGCAGTTGATGCCGTAACTGCCTGATTCCTGCACGTCTGTGTGGTGAGCTGGGGGCCTGTGGAGGAGTGTGGAAGCCCTGGTTGGGCTCCCTGAACAGGGTCAGCTGGGGCATTCTGGTTAGTATGGCAGTGGGTCCAGGACATGTTTGGGAGATGAGGCCCATGTGATGCACGGGTTGAGGCTCTGATACTGTCAGAAGCCGGGGTCCACTTGCAGAGCCCACTTGTTTGTTAATGCTCCCTCAACCCCTGCTGCTTCCACCAGTGCAGAAGGCCTTGCTCTGGTCACCACCTGCCCCATCCCTGGGAAGGCTGGGTGAAGCAAGGCAGCAGTGACCAGCATCCTCCCGCAGCCTCAGTCCTCTCTCAGGTCTCCTCAGGGGTGGGCTCCAGCGAGAGTGAAGCTGACCCCTCCCGCTGTGCAGAGTGAGCGAGTGAGTGAATGCTCACTGTTGCTCTGTGTACAGCTCTGAAAGGCTGATAGGAAAAAGCAGGTTGCCCTAGTCCAGGGAACATGGTGTTCTGGCCAGGCGGACTGCCCGCAGCAGGGCCTAGCCAGCTGGCGGCACTGGGCGGATGGCAGACCTCATTGTGCTCTGTATCCTCCCTACAGAGTGAGGATGGTGAGGCAGTTGTGAGGGCAAGAGGAAGGCACCTCTCTACTACCCTTTAACCAGCACCCGGAGCCCCGGGAGTGCGGTGGAGATCCTGCTCACTCCTGCGGCTTCTCACTGTCTCCTTTTCCAGCCACACATGCCAAATGCCCATAAACGCACACTCACATACACATACGCACACACACCCCACAGATGTCATACACATACCCATGCACTTACATACACATCACGCTACACACATCTACAGACACTACACCATACATACATACAAAGCACACACTCACACATACCACACACACAGACACAGCCCACATCATACCCCCCCACACATGCAAGTATGGATACATATCACACACACCACACACACACGCACTTACACACATACCATGCACATACACACCATGCCACACACACACATCAAATCAACCAAAAGGTCTCAATAATTCATTTCCTAAACATCTCTCCCTCTGTCTACCTCTTTCCATTCCTGCTCTACTAGATGCAGCCATCACTGTCTCTCCCTAGCTAGAAGTATTATTATATTTTCCACCAAATGTGATTTAAATTGCCCTTGAAAGTGGGGACTGAGACAGAGGTTGAATCCGTGCACCTTCTCTGCATGCCTCACCTGTGTATAATGTTTGTTCTCACTGCAGCCCCTCCTGCTCCATAGGAGATCCTGGACCCTGCTTTGAGACTTTCAATGCAAGGCACACTCCTTCACAGGCACACAATACAGGCTGCAGTGGCTTGGCTTTGCACCTCATGGACTGGGGACTTTCTCATCAGAGAGTACCCTGTGTTGCCCTGCTGGGTGTCCTTTAGGGCTCAGAGCCTCCTGGGGATGGAGGCCTGAGCTGGCTGATACCACAGAGCTAGGAGAGACTGACTTTTGGACAGAATTCCAGAAGGGGCCAGCCTAGTCCTTGTAGTGCCTAGCCTCCAACAGTTAGTAGAGAACCATTACTAAAATGGCTCTTTGGAGCAGCAGACATAGAGGCCACTGGCATTAGTTGAGGTGGCTACCTTAGTCTGCTTGGACTGCCATACAAAATACCACAGACTGGGTGGCTTAAACAGCAGTCATTGATTTCCTCACAATTCTGGAGCCCGAAAATCCCAGATGAAGGTGCTGGCAGGGCTAGTTTCTGGTGAGGGCTCTCTCCTCAGCTTGCAGACAGCCGCCTTCTTGTTGTGCCCACACATGGCCTCTTTTCTACGCATGCATGAAGCTAGAACCAGTGATCTCTGGTGTCTCTTTTTCTTCTTATATGGACACAAACCCTATTGGTTTAGGGCCCCACCATTATGACCTCATTTATACTTAATTACCTCTTTAAATGCTCTATCTCCAAATGCAGTCATGTTGGTGGCTAGGACGTCAACATAGGAATTTTCAGGGACACAGTTCTGTTCATGACAGTGGTGAAATTTTCAGTGAGGCTCCACTGGTTCTTCAGGTAGGCCCTTGCCCACCTTAGCATCCCTGTTGTCCCACCTGCACCTTCTCTGTAAGTAGACCCAGCTCCGTAGAACTATGAGTGTGCTGGGCTGCTGTGTGGAGGAACCCCTCTGGCCTCCCGAAGCTGCCCTTCTCCAGCTGCCTGAAGAACTGCACCATCTGCACCACCTTGCAGGCTGAAGGTGGTTCCATAGAAGCCCTGGAGAAGATCTGGCTGTGAGTGCCTTGCACTTACCCCTTCACCTCTCCAAGTGTGTTTTCTTATCTCTGAAGTGGGGAAGACACACTCACCTGGTAACAAGATGTTACTGGGTCTAATTAGATACATTTTGTGGAAGTCTTTAACGGACTAAGAAATAGTTATACACAGGAAATGAATTGTTGTAGCTGTTATCACTGAATCACTGATGTGCATAAATAAAGTGCTTTTGTTTGTGTATTATTTAGGAATCTGTTCAGGTTTGAGTAACAGAAAACTGACCAATGAGTGTGGCTTGCTTTTCACTCACAAGGAAGAGTCTCAAGGTTACTGGCTTTGGTGTAAAGGCTTGACCCATCTAGGCTGACCTCTAATTCTCTGGACCACATGGCCACAAGGTGGCTGCTGAAGCACTAGCCATTGTGTCCTAGTTCAAGGGAAGAAAAGCTGGTCAGTACCAGCTGCTTCTGATACTATTTTATTAGGATTGCAAATACTTCCTGGAAATCTGCTGGGCAGGTTTATGCTTAAGTTTTTTTGGCTGGAACTGGGTTTCTGCTCAGGTTTTATTGCACTAGCACTAACTGCAATAGAGGCAGGGAAAGCAGGAAACAGTACTGTCACCATTGTCTTACAGTAGTCTATATCCATTGCCCAACGCTAGACGCAGTAACCCACCACTACCGCTCAAGCCAGATTCTGATGGGAAGGCAGAAGAAAGGGATTGGCATTGGGTAGACAGCAAAGGATGGTCATGTATCTCCCAGGATACACTTTACTTCCTAAGAGCTGGAATTCAGAATCGCCAGTGGTGAAAGGATACCAGATTCTATTACAGGAACGTTCCTCAGTGTTCCTTAAAAATAGTAGCACCAGGGATGCAAATCGAGAGCAGAGTTTCAGCTGGTTTGAAGTCAGTGTGTATCTCTCTAGTCAGAATGGAGGTGTTGGAAGCTGACCCTGCAGTCTACACTGTGCTTATGCCTGCTTCCTCTCCTGTCAGAGTCTGTCTCATGGTCCCCCAGGCACTTCTTGGTCCCTTGGCTTCTCAGTGATTTTGCTTTTCAGTCTCCACTTTGAGCAATTGCCCAGCAAGTTTAAAAAGGAAAGGCAGGAGCCACACACGATTAGACAATGTAAAAGGAAGCAAGCCCCAGCCTCGCCTAGCCTGTGTGGGGCCTGCGCAGCCTGAAGTTGGACTCCTTCAGTCCAGCTCTGTAGCTCCCTACTCCAGGCTTGTCTGCTAAATGAAGTCCACACTTTGGCTCTGCAGATGTGAGGCTCAGGGGAGGGAATATGCATCTTGTTTCATTCTTTTGTCCACTCTCACACTGATGTGAGTGCTGCTGTGGATGGAGCCTGGTGAGGCCTTGGATCATGCTGTCTGGAACAGTCAAGAATATGAAGCAGAACTGATGTCATGCTCTGGCATCCTTAAAAGGGAAGTGCATCAGGGTCTCTTACACTCAGACTTCTAAATATGTGAAACAAGGTCCTAGGTAAATGTGGAGAGTGACCCCGAGGCCAGGGCTGACCCAAAAGGAGGTGGTGTCAAGAACAACGGTACAACTCAAGCTCATGCTGGACCTCCGAGTCAGGCACCTTCTCCTCTTTCCAGAGCCTGTTTTCTGAGAAGCTTGTCGCGGCTCATGCTCTGAAAGTGCTCCTGTGAATGAGGTCTGTGCTGGGGAAATGCAGTGGGTATCACTTTTGAAGCTTAGTTGTGTTTCAAGAAGCCCAGCGCTCCATACAGGGGCTCCTGTAATGGAAAGGCAGTGCTGCTCAAGTAGGAAGATGGTTTTGCTGTTTTATTTCATTGCTTTGACAGTTCATCCTGGCACTTGCTGATGGAGTGTCAATTCTTGAGTTGTGTTTTAGTTGAAACCTTGTGAAGGAAAAACCTGGTGAGGATTTGTTTGTGTGTGTGTGTGTGTGTGTGTGTGTGTGTGTGTGTGTTTGGCATTTGTTAGCTCAATTATATAACAAAATATTATGTTTTGGGGTTTTCTCTCTTCTGGCCCCTCCTCTATGTAAAAGTGCTACGTGCTCTGAGTGTCGCTAACTTCAACTGACAGACGAAACTGGCACCTATCAGCAGCAGGGAAGCTTCCTCGAGGTTATTAAATACAAGAAACAGCATATTGGTAACAGCGGCTCTCTCAATTGGATGGTTTCCTCTAAATTCCTGGGAAAGGTTCAGGTCAACAGTCTGTGAGGCTTCAGTGTATTTGTGGGTTTTTTTGGGGGGTTGGGGGAGTGGAGGTGGTTGGTATATGATTTCCATTTTACTTCTTTAGGAATGAAAGCATCTTAATCAAATATAGCATACTAATTCCTGGAAGACCAGCTCCAGGGGGCTCTGCTGATGGTTTTAAACCATCTCAGGCAGACAAGTGTTACTGAGCATAGCCGTAGTGTTAGGCAGGGACCCTTAACCCACCAAATCCACGACAGGCACTTCCCAAACTCTCCCTCTATAATCCTGCCAAAACTGGAGCTGGGGATCTTAACTGCCAGCTCCCCAGGTAGGAGACTGGGAATTTTTCTGCCTTTCCTGTGGCATGTCTTGTGTGCAATTTGGGGGACAGTCAAAGAAAATAACATGTACGAGTTTAATAAAAGGAACTTAGAGTTAAGAATGTCATTGATCACGTTCATCAACTTTAATGACTTGTAACTCATGCACTCACCTGTGTGAGCCCTTTCACAGGTGTGAAACACATGCATGTCCCTGTGAGACTCTGTCTCTTGGGAGATGGCAGTGAAGAGCTTGGGGCTCAGCAATGGGGAGATCTAGTGTGAACCATAGCCAATGTGGGCAAGTTAGTTAGCTTCTCCGAGGCTCGATTTCACCTGCAAAATGGGAACGGTGTTATTGACTCTATTGAGCTTATAAGGGGATTCCATGAGGCCATGTTTATAAAAAGACTAGTACATTGCCAGGCACATAGGAACTGACAAATAAGGGAGAATTGAACAGATTGAATTGAAATAGCCCAGAGGCTTACAACATCTCCAGATGGGAGAGGGAAGAGTGGTAGAGTGGCACATGTGGCCAAGGCCACCCCACTTCTTGGAAAAGTGAATGAGTACACATCCCCAGGACGTCAGGTGATGGCTTAGGATGGGGACAGTGTCAGGGCACTATGTGTCTGCTGCCTTCATCCCCAGGGTTGCAGACCACATGTCCATAGTGGATGCCCCAGAGGCAGAGCACGGACGGCAGAATACCTTTCCTGTGAGATACTCAGTTCTCCTGCTTACCATTTATATTGGATTGTGAAATGCTCTGTGGTCACTTTTGTTGATAACATATTTTGATAAATTCTCTCTTTTTAGCTAGAGGGAACTGTTTTCTATACATAATCCTGGGACAAGAGACTTTGGCTGTGCTACTTGATGGAGGGACAGTGGCTGAAGGATGGGATGATCAGCCTTTGACCCCCAGGACCAGCAGTGGTCATTGGGGGTCCTTGTTGGCTTTGCAGCAACCCACTAGACCCTCCACGAGGGGTCTGCATGGAAGGATGGGGTTTAAGTAAAAATTGTAACAGGCCTTTTTAATGACAGAAGTCTTGAATGTCTGGTTCAATATATTAAACAGACTACATTCTGCTTTGACTCATTTTCCAGTGATTATAAGAGGCTGGCTTGGATGATCTCTTCTTAAATGTGTTGCCAATAACATTGGTAGCCCTACTGATTCATGAGGAATCTCTCATTAGTGCAAATGTACTTCTGAAAGGCACATAAATGACACTCCAGGGAAAAGTCCTGTCCAGAGATGCACCAATTATTGCAAGATGAGCCATGTGCTTTTTGCATTGAATGAGACCCAGAAAATGATATCAACTGAAGCAAAAATCTTACCCTAATGCTTAACAGTAGAAAATGATCTTAGTTCTCTGGACTGAATAAACTTCCAGAGGTTTCAGGATTGGAAGCTAACAAGAGTTTTGCATAAAACTCTTGAATTTTATTGCTAAGATTATGATAGATTAGTTGGAATGTAATTCCTAAACTTGTAGAAAATGTACAAATCTTTAAAATATATTTTGTTACAGTTCCATATAGAAACCCCCTTAAAATGTGTTTTAAATAATATGGCCTTGTGGATGTTTTGCAAAACCACAGTGCCTTAAAAACATTTATATTACTCTTGTCTCCTCCCTTGCTTGGTTGCTGAGAGTACATTTTAATTGGTTTGTGTTAATTGATTAAATGTAGATATTTGTAGTTCTTATTGTTGGGTTTTGGAGGAGGAAGATCTCCGGAGAACTCAGGCTGTCTCTTAGCTGTCTGCCTTGAAGCGGGAGTCAGGGACCTCAGGCAGCTCCCTGTGCAGAGAAGCACACCTTCTCCTCCTGCCCTGTAACTCTCTTCACATTCATCTGGATTGAAGTAAAGGCACTGAATGTGATGTCAGTGGGTCTTAGATTTTGCCAACTACAAATCTGTCAGTTCCAAATATGCCTCTCTATAAAGACAGACACATTTTGATAAATCACAGGCCTCCCTTTAGTGGTGATGTGGTTATATTCTCTCTGGCCCTGTGCAGACAGGGAAGTTATCTTTTGGGGTGGATAGAAGAGAGGGTTCACGCGTCAGGCCCTTCCTGCATACAGGGCCCTGTGAGGTCGGCTGGCATCCCAGGCATTCAGTGGGCCCTGGGGAGGGTCAGGAGGAGCCCAGGCCTGTCCTTTGCCAAGGTGCATCTACAGGAGCCTGCCAGTGCAGGCCATTGCCAAATTGTCCAGCTCTCTAGGTTACCAGGTTGGTTACACCTGCCTTTTCTATTTCATTACAAATCAGGCTCACTACTCCTCCCTCAGCACTTGGCAGCCTCTGGGCTGATGGGCCTCTTTAGTGCTGTCTTCCAGCCTTCCAACAGATCCTAGACCCTACAGGGAAACTAACTCACCCGACCTGTTGCCTCTGCAGGGGCTGTGTGTATGTGGAGATCGGGCAAGAAAAGGCCAAGGATGGCTCCTGGCTGTTCTTTGTTCAAGATGCCTGGCCAGCCGAGGAGCTTCTGCACACAGCTGCTTTCTGATGCCTGTCTTCTTCCTTGCCTTTCAACACGGTGCCTGGGACAATTATGATGTTATTATGTGCTGTACCCATTATTTCTTTAGCAATTGCTTCTGCACATGTTGTGAACAGTTCTCCTAGAGCTTAACAGAAATAGCTCAGTGGCACTTAAACCAAAGTGGTCTATATAAACACAGGATTTAGCTTTGTGCCAGGTGGGTTGGTTTGAAACTTATCACTTGTCATGGGTGCATCAGCAGGTGATTTCCAGCCCAGGTGAGATGATGTTTATGGAACCCCCATGATGACAGCTCCTCTGGGGAAGGAGAGTTTCTTCGGTTCCATCTAGCATGGCTGGGATTGGCCATCCCTGCCCCACCCCTCCCCAGCACAAGAGAGGTGTCGGTTTCTGAAGTCTGCCATCATTCACTGCACCAGCCTTCAGACTTGTGAAGTCGAGGGGCAGTAGGAGAATGAGGCAGAAATTCTCAGACCCCTCACAGCACTACATCCTGAGGTCTCCATGGAGGAGAAAGGGGAGGAGGGGGCTTAGTCCCTCGGGAGGGGTTGGTCCAGAAAGGAGGAGGGAGCCAGCCCTGAACTTCAGGGAGAGGTTCCTGGGTCCCTTTAAGGACATTCTAATTCAGGGAGTTGGGGGACCCGGGTGTTTCCAATGAACCATAAAAGTAGGCACTCCATCAGAGCTGTGGTTTTAAGGTTGCGTCCAAGAAGCTTTCCTGGACATACGTTGGTAGCAATGCCAGGGGGAGCTGCCTCTTCCTATTGTCCCACACATTTTCTCTTCAAGGTATTTTATATCTTGAAATTATGTTTGTGCAATTTCAGTTGAAGAAAGGGTCTGTTCCTTGAAGGTTTGGAAGCCATCCTGAAGAGTTAGGGGTGAATAGTAGGTAAAGGCTGAGGACTGTGTAATGATTAAATTGATTAACTTCAAGCAAGACCAAATATGTTTTGTTTCATCCCCCCTGTCATCCTCTGCTCCCCTGGAGTTAGGGAGGCATCTGATGTACCCACCAATAAGGGGATTAAGCTTGTCATCTGGTATCATCACCTTGATCTGAAACCATGGGGAAGGAAGCTTTGGGCTTTTTAGCAGATGTGCTCAGCTGGGATGAGAACTTATTGTGAATTCCATCTTGCATCCTGAAAGATGCACTTGTGGGTGGGGCCTCCACTGGCTTTTCACCTTGTCCCCTACCCCACCAGGGCTGTTTGTTTGCTCTGGAGGTCACTGCATTAAAGCGTTGCTCTCAGATGGTCACAGTGGAAGGCACTTATGTGACTCACTGCAGCGATGGAAACTTTCTGAGAACAGGGTGACACACCTCAGCCAGCCAGTCTTCCGAGTCATAATGAAAAGACTGTGACTTTAGCTGTGGGACTCAGCAGCACTTATGGAAAAGAAGTGGAGTCTCTGCTCCCTGTGGAGCTCCTGCTAGCTGAGGCCTTGAAAAGGGTGCTTCCCCCAGTGTTCTCAGCAAGACAAGGGCAGAGGCACCCCTGAGCCTTCCTGGACAGCTTGGTCACTGTGCACAGAGTGGTGTGTTGGTGGTGTATATGCTGGAGAATCAGAGCCATCAGTGTCTTGGGGACAATAAGAAGCAAGCTTAAAATATACAATCTTTAAGGAATGTTTTGTGAATAGGTAAGAAATGAAGGGAAAGATGATATTTTAGCAAATAACTTTTTTTTAAGGTTGTTGAAGTGATATAGATTGATACGGCAAGATGTTTTTATTCTAGTGCCCTGGGCAGCAGGCAATGTGTCCTGGAAATGTGAAAATGCTGTTCCTAGTCTGGAGTTTGCTGCTGAATGACCTGGTGACCTGGGCCACTCTGAGCTTCTGTCCCCTTCTCTGGGGCATGATTATTGGTTATGTGGATTTAGTGGTTTTCAACTGTGTTATTTTCATTTGTCTGGGAATGCTCTGCTCAAGTGAAGTCTTACCCACAAAAGTCGACAGACAGACCTGCCCCTTGATCCTTCTCTCCCTCAGCCAAAAGGTCACTTAGAGGCGCCTAGAGGCCTGGGAGAACCTCCTGACTGGGTGAATTCAGAGATTCCTCTCCTTCCACGTCACTGTGGAGCCTGACAAACCTCAGCAGTGTTTGCACCAACACTCAATTGGGGTTCAATTCAGGCCTGAAGAATTTGACCTGAAGTAGTCCTTGTAGTATTTTTATATCAAAGAGATGGTAATTGCCTTTCAAAGACTGAGTAAAAAAAGGAAGTGACTATGACTTTATTTAATTATTTTCTATAAAATAAGCCGGTCTATTAAAAAAGATGTGAGATGTTAAATGTACCTCAAAGCGTTCTTAATCCCACATCTCAAATGTGCTATTGCAGCACTGAATTTTAATAACATCAAATTGACTCCATAAGTAGTTACTTATAATCTGGATATCAGCATATAATGAAGTGTAATGTGAGAGTGAATATTATTATACTTTATGTGGTGGTTAATACTGAGTGTCAACTTGATTGGATTGAAGGATGCAAAGTGTTGATCGTTGGTGTGTCTGTGAGGGTGTTGCCAAAGGAGATTAACATTTGAGTCAGTGGGCTGGGAAAGGCAGACCTACCCTTAATCTGGGTGGGCACAATCTAATCAGCTGCCAGTGTGGCTAGAATATAAGCAGGCAGAAAAACGTGAAAAGGAGAGACTGGCCTAGCCTCCCAGCCTACATCTTTCTCCCATGCTGGATGCTTCCTGCCCTCGACCACTGGACTCCCAAGTTCTTCAGTTTTGGGACTCAGAATGGCTCTCCTTGCCCCACAGCCTGCAGACGGCCTATTGTGGGACCTTGTGATCATGTGAGCTAATATTTAATAAACTCCCCTTTACATATATATATATACACACACACACACACACACACACACACACACACACACATATATACACACACATATATATTCCATTAGTTCTGTCCCTTTAGAGAACCCTAACTAATACACCTTATTTTTTTGTGATTTCATGTAAAACCCATAACAAAATGGGAGGTAACTGCACTCCTGGTACATGGAGCTTGCAGGATACTAAAGTAGTGTCACTTGAGTGTAATGTGTAGATGCGTACACCATGTGTGTCAATTATGCTGTGTGAATGATGGTTCTTTGGATCAGTCTATATAAAAATATATAAATAAAAAACATAATTTTACATTTATTTATCATGACAGTATTTTAATTTTATTTATTTATGTAAAAAATCAGTCACATATCATAGGTTTAGGATTTAAAGCCATCCTGATTTCTCTTGGCTGTTAGTGGTGGATTGAAAATAATTTAATAGTAAACCTCATATTTCTTGCATACACACATACACACAGCACAATGTAGAAATGTAGCAGAAATAAGCTACTTTAGCACCCACAAAGTAGATGATGTTTCTTTTCATTTTTGTTTTGTTAATCGATACTTTAAAATGTTATTATTGCACCAAAAATGCAATTTTATGCATTTTGAGAAAATGCCTCTGTATCTGAGGTGATGTGCCCGCTGCTGGCCTAGATAGTGGCAGCTCAGAACCAGCCCAGAGTTTGCCCAGAGCCTCTGCAAACCAGAGCCTCTGCAAACCAGAAGGGCTGGGTTCTGGCAAATTGTTTTCTGAGGCAGTCAGAGCCCTGGCCACCTGCCATCAGGCTGGGAGAGTTGAGTTAGTGCAGTTCCTGGTGTTCCGCTAGACCCCAGGCCAGGCCATCTCCTGTGAGAGTAGTACACCTATCTCTGCCCTTGCACCTGGCCTCCCAGTTGCCTGGGGTTCGAGGCCGACTCAGCAATGCCCGCTGGCCCTGGCACACACCATCCTGCCTGTGTTGAGTGTGTTGAATGTGCTAGTGATTGTTCATTAGGAGGACTAGTTGCAGTGTGGAGTTTCTGGGAATATCTACTTTCCAGAATGATCTGTGGAAACCTGATTCTGCTTTTTTTTTTTTTTTTTTTTGAGGCTGCTGGATAATGCTCTACATTAAGCTGCGTGTGTATTTTCTGTAGGTTGTTGTTTCCTGCTTTGTTTGTTTGTTTCTGGCACAGCATGCAGAGACCCTGAGAGCATGCCTCTGAGACCCATGGAGGGATGCCCATGTGCACAGCAGGGGCTGCAGGAAATCCACAGCAAAGGGGGACCTGTTTGTAGACGCTGCCATGGCTGCTGTCAGCAAGAATCAGCAAAGCACACAGCCATCCACCTATGAGGGGTCTTAGAATAAATAAGAAAAAAACAAAAAAACGCTGGGGCTGCTTCTCCTCCACTGTGAACTAGGTGCAGTATCACCTTCCCTGCGTCTCCTTCTGCTCATTCTGGTGGTGAGAAGCTCTGTAACCCAGAGGGGCCTAAGAATGGGAGGCTGGATGAGACCCGGACCTGGCTCTGTGCAGCAGAGCATGGGAACTTGGGGCCTCCAGGAGTGACCAGGGGACACCCACCACAGTAACCAGCCACAGAGGCCATTGGGTAGGTTGGCTCTCCTGTCCCTCCTGGCTGCATCCTGATGGCCCCACAGCATCCTGGGGAGTCCCGACCTTCAGGAACACACAATGAGCTTGAAGCTCAGTGTCCTCGATTGGCTGCTGGCAGAGTGCATGGGGGTGGTGAGACCATGGGCCACCAGGACCCTGGGCATAGGTGCCTGGCCTCTCCTTGGCTGGACCAAGGTGCACATATCTGGCTGACCCTCAGGTACAAGAGTACAGGCCTCCCGGGCTTTTTGCCTGGGAGCAGAAACATGCTGCGCGTCTAGGTGAGGCCAGCCTGGGCTCATTTCCAGGCTCTAAAGCTCCTACTTGGTGAGCTGACGTTCATGGGAGGACTTCTGTGTTCATATTCCAGGGTGAGTTTTCAGTGCACACTGAGTACCTTGTGTTATTAATAATCATCTGGCCACAAATGGGATGTGTGCTCCTAATATCACTGCCAGATTTCTGCCTGAGTCACAACCTTATGCCAGCCTTCTCACTTTCTGCGGTTTCTGGTGTAATAAACAACCTTCTTGTTTTTGCGTCTGAAGTGTGGTTTCAGTGATTAGAGCATAATGTGTGGTTCCCCCCATTCACCTGAAGAAAAGTTTGGGTTGCATGTGAAGAGATCTTTAACTCAGTGGTGCTTCCCCCGTATCTTCAGCCTTCTGTCCCACCACAGCCTGTGAACCTTGACTGAAGGGAAGCCCCATGTCCTGGGTCAAGCAGCAGCCAGGCATTGAGAGCAACTAGGTGTGAGCCAGAAAGATCTGGATTCCAGCCTGTCTTAGTAAGCTCAGGCTGCCATAACAAAGTACTACAGAGTGAGTGGTATATGCAAGAGGCATTTATTTCTCACAGTCAGTTCTGGAAGCTGGGAAGTCCAAGGTCAAGGTGCTGGTAGATTCCATGTCTGATGAGGGCCCTCTTCTTGACCTGCAGGTGGATGCCTTCTCCCTGTGTCCTCACATGGCCTTTCTCCTAAGCATGCACGTGGAGAGAGAGGGGACAGAATCTCTTCTTATAAGAGCACTAATCCTATCATGGGGGCCCCACCCTCATGACCTCATCTAAACAATTATCTTCCAAAAGCCCCACCTCCACATGCAGGCACATTGGAGGTTATGTCTTCAACACAGGGATATGGGGTGGACAGAAACATTCAGCCCCCAACATAGCCCCAGATCCACCACTTAGGAACTGTGTAATGGAGAGACTTGCTTCCCTCTCTGAAAGTGTTTTCTCATCTGCAAACTGAGAATGAAACTGTGTTATTCTGGGGCTACCGTCTGGATTAAGGAGACGCAGCCATCTCCATGGCCTGCAGGCCCGCACAGCCCACTGTTCATGTCCAGGTGCCCTCCTCTCCCGTGTCTTTGCTGGATTCACCCCAGCCACTCCAGCCTTCTCTCTGTTCAAGGATCCACCCCAGACTCACTCCTGGCTTAGAACATGTACACTTGCTATTTGCTCTGCTCAGAAATCTCTGTCTCCAGATAATTGTGTGGCTGCCTCTTGGTTGTGGGGCCCTCTCCACCCTGGCCCCTCCTTGAAGGCCTGTGACCCCTCTTCCAGTAGGCTGTGTCTCAGAGTTCTTTTTGAAAGTGGTGATCTTGAGAGGTGAGATTGCAGCTCCCTGCAAAAAGAGGAGAGATCTGCTTTCTGCCCACTAGCAAAGCAATGGGTTCCCTAGGCACAGAGCTCCTCAGCCATGACAGGAGCCCCCCCCCAAGCTGAGCCTCCCCCTGGCTTCCTTCTGGCCTCTGGGGCCGTGGGGGCTGGGAACCAGAACAACGTAGCTGATGCCCTGCTGTTTGCTCTGTTATAAGGGTCAGCTGTCCTGCTGGGGTCCAGTGAGCCTCATTGTTTACTTTTGGCACTTAAGGTGTTGGAGCAAGTTGACTCCTGGTTATCCTCAGTGAGGTTTTGGTTCTTCCCTGGCAGGTTGGTGCAGCATGCAGGGGAAATTCACTGTCAGGCCCATGCACTCCACTTCCCTCCTTGATGCTGCCTGGTCATCTTCAGAATACTCGTCAGTGCCAGAGCTGCCTTGTTCATTTTATGTGCTTTTGCCTTTATGCCTCTGTCCATGAGCATGGGCATCTGCTCTGACTTGTCCATGGCCACACCTGGACACCTGGACAGCAAGCATGAGGGGGCATCGGGAGCACACCACAAACACTTGAGTGAAAGATTGAACTGTATGCAGGACAGCAGGCAGCTCACGGGCACAGCATTTATCTCAGTAACTTTGGCTTCAAATGGGGCCACCCTCTCTCAGAATTTTGGGGAAGATCACATTTGTTATGGACTAAATTGGGACCCCCACCCCCCCACAAAATGCCTGTGTTGATGTCCTAACGTTACCCAATACCTTAGCATGTGACTTTATTTGGAGATATGGTCTTTAAAGAGGTAATCATGTTTAAATGAGGCCCTGTGGGTGAGCTCTAATCCTATATGACTGATGTCTTTATAAGAAGATATCAGTCACTGGGGATGTCCACACACAGAGCAATGCCCATGTGAAGACGCAGTGAAAAGGCGGGTGTCTCCCAACCAAGAAGAGAGGCCTCAGGAGAAATCAACCCTGCTGACACCCTGATCTTAAACTTCACACCTGCAGAACGGTGCAAAGTGAATGCCTGCTGTTTAAGCCCAGCTGTTTTTGGGCATTTTTTGTGGCAGCACTGGGACACTAATACAACGTTCCATAACTGATGTGCTGTGATACTTCCTCCCAGCACCGGAGAAGCAGCACACACAGGGACCACTCGTTGGGGCAGTGGCAATAGGAACACGTCTTTGCTTTTTGGAAGGGCACTTAAAATTCTGTAAGCATGCGTCCAGGCTTAGGATAGAGTTTGGGAGTGAAGGCGGGCGACTCCCTTTGGAGTACAAAGCATGCGATTTGCAGGTGTCACCTGAGGAATGGGGGCTGTTCCTTCAGGCAGCCTGCATGGTGGGGCCTGGGCCCTCAGTGAAGAAGGACAGGGCAAGGCCCTGGCCTCCTGGAGCTTGTCCTCTGGGGGAAAAGACAGGCTACAGGGAGAGGGTGCTGAGAGCAAAGCCAGAAACAGAGCAGCTGTGCTTAGACTCGGTATTAATGGAATAGGTACTCGTCGTTGAGAGGTGACCGCCAGTCTACATTCCCTTCACTGCCAATAAAAATTTGCTGCTTTATGGAACCTAAAGAAGGAAGGTCCCTATGAGTAGAGGGGTTTGTGTTCTGTTTTGTGACCAAGATACATAAAAAAAGATCACTCAGCCATCCTAAGCGAGAAAACACCTCCACCCGCCCAGCTTTTTGGGGAGGGTTGGCAGTTTAGAATCACGTCTCAGAGGCAGCGCGGGCTCCCATGCTCCTGAGTTCAAGGGGCATGACACCAGCGAGGTGCCATCATCCACTAGGGCAGCTCTGAATGAGGAGCTCCTGGAACATCTTAACTGATTTATTTTGCTTCCCCCCGCACCCCCATGCTTGTGCAAGTGCAAGAGTAATGTTTGAGGCCAGGTGCCGTGGCTCACGCCTGTAATCCCAGCACTTTGGGAGGCCAAGGCGGGTGAATCACCTGGGGTCAGGAGTTCGAAACCAGCCTGGCCAACATGGTGAAACCATGTCTCTACTAAAATATAAAAATCAGCCGGGTATGGTGGTGCATGCCTGTAATCCCAGCTACTCAGGAGGCTGAGGCAGGAAAATCACTTAAAACTGGGAGGCAGAGGTTGCAGTGAGCTGAGATTGCACCACTGTACTCCAGACTGGGCAACAGAGCAAGACTCTGTCTCAAAGAAAAGAGGAATGTTTGAAAGCTCTGTCTAAATATAAGTATGAAATAAAAACTGGAAGCAATAGAAGAGCATTGGGTCACCATTGACTTGGTGGCTACTTTTTTCCTTATGCTCTTTTACATTAATTGTGTAACAATCACGGTGATTAAATTTTGTTTCAATCTGGCTAGACCGTAATATCCAGAAATGTGGTCAAATACATCTGAATGTTGCTGTGAAGGTAATTTTTAGATGAGATTAATATTTGAATCAGAAGACTGAATAAAACTGATTGCCCTTCTTAATGTGGGTGAGCCTCATGCAATTATTTGAATGCCCAATGAAAAAAGACTGAGCTTCCCCAAAGAAGAAGGAAATCAGTCTTCAGACAGCCTTCAGACTCCAGCTGCAGTATCATTTCTTCCCTGGGGTTCCAACCTGCCCATCTGCCCTGCAGATTTTGGATGTGCTAATCCCCGCAATCATGTGAGCCAATTCCTTAAATCTCTCTAGAAAGATAGAAGACAGATAGATGATAGATAGATAGATAGATAGATAGATAGATAGATAGATAGATAGATAATGCATAGATACATACATAGATACACACACACACACACACACACACGCACCCCTTACTGGTTCTGCTTCTCTGGAGAACCCCTAATGTTACAGAGACTCAAGTTCACTGCATATGGTGGTGATCCCTGCTGTGACTCTCTGCTTCTAGTGCATCTCTCCAAGCCTTAACTGAGCCTTCTATGAAACGAGGATGATGCAGGGTCCGCATGAACATTTCAGGAGATGAAGCAGTTAGAGTGTTTACCTAGGGGCCAGGCTCAGAGAAGCTTGAACACCATGCTTCCGGTAGGGCATGTGGTGTGTGTGACTACATTCCTGTGCTGTCTTTCTTTGCCCTACAGGGATACATATGGGCCTGTTCCTCACTTTACAAAGAGGAAACTGAGGCCCACAAAGGCCCAAGCATGCTTCCAGTCACCCAGCTGTGGAGTGGCAGCCTGCCTGTCTCAGGTGCTGTGCTCCTAGCACCAGTGTTCTTTAAAGAGAGAGCAAAATTTGCATTTCAGGAACGTGCAGGCCGGGGAGAGTGGCTGGGTGTGTAACTGTACTGTGCCTCATATTCCCATGCCCCACTCTCCATGGGGAGGTGTGCTTACTCCATGGCATCTGCCCTGGCACTCCAACCCACTGTTCTCACCTCCCAGAAAGATAGAAGAGATCAGCCAATCATACTGCTAGCTACACCTCTCCGATTTTCTCATCCCCCAACTCCAATTCTCTCTCAACTCAGACCTCTTTGGAGTTTCAGAAACCCACTCCTCCAGGTCAGCACTCCAATATTCACAATGGCTGAGACCCATGAAGAGGTCTGAACCAGGTTTTTAGGGGCTGCAGAATGAAAGTGCAGCCACTGATGGTGCTAGCGACTCTGTTCAACCTTCCCGAAGACAAGGGCCTAGTAGATGAAAGCCTCAATCATACCGTGATTCCCACTGACTGGGAGAGAGGCCAGCTGCAGAGAAATTTCCTGCATAAAAGTCTGTGCATTTCACCTGTGGGCCCCAAAGGAACTGAGTCTGTAACCCAGTAACCTTTTATCCTAGGATTCGAATGAGCAGGCAGATCTGAATTGTCTGGATTTCTTTAAGGCCCAAGTTACTTTCTTCAAAGGATAGTCTCATTTGTAATATTAAAAGCATAATGAGAATAACTAGATTTTATTATTTAAAAGATTTATAGCCGCAGTAATCTTATTTTCATTTTTATAGATCTCTATTCAAAATCAGACCAATGACTAAACTCTGGACAACAAAGGAAATGACCTGTTATTTTACTTAAGCTAAATACATTGACTTTTATTTTAAAATTAAATCTTGAGTAAATTAATTCATATATCTGGGTTGATTGTAAACCCCAGGAGAAACAATAACTGTATTTATTTGCAACTTAAGATTGGCTCTCTTCTTATGAATTGCTCACTGGAGGAGCCCAGGTGGGCCCAGTAGGGAAGGAGCATCCCCCAGACGGTGGGCTGGGGGGCGAGGTGGATGAAGCGATTCTCTGATTTCTGTCACTCAAATGTAAGTCCCATAAAGTTAGGATTTTTTTTTTTTTTTTCACTATTCTATTCCCGGCCTTTAGAACAAGGCCAGCCAGCACTTGTAGGTGCTTCATTAATATTAGTTGAATGAATGAATCAATTAGACATTTACTAATTTGTGGCTTTCTCCCACCCTCCCTCCCCCATATTATACCTTTGATGCTTGGTACTTAACAAAAATAGGAAGTGACAAATTTATATTTGAATATTTGAATGTATCATTGAGATTGTCACATTGCTTTCTGCTTCATGTGATAGGAACATTAAATAATCTCTTTTGAGAAATAACCATCAATGTAAAGAGGAAAACTTTGACAGATATTAAGGCATACTGCATACTGCAAATCTATAGTGATTGAAAATGGTGGTCCTGATGTAAATACAGACAAATGGGCCAATAGCACAGAATAGGGAGCTTAGAGACAGATATTTGTGTGACTGAGGTTTAATACATGTTAAGGTAGAACCACATATCCACAGGGTAAGCTTCTATTAGGGAAAATTTTCCATATAGAGAAAAATGAACCTAGAGCCATACCAAACACTACATGAAGGTTAAAAATAGAGGTTTAAATGTGAAAGATAAAACTATAATGTTAATCAAAGAAGGCTTAGATGTAGAAGGGTTTTTAAAATTAAACTTCAAAGCACAAATTATAAGGCAAAAATAATTAATTTGATCACATCAAAATTAAGAATTTCTGATCAACATAGGCTTCCTTGGTAGCATCAATAGACAGATGACAGCTTGGGAGACCATCTCTGGAATACCAAGGCATGATGTACAAGGAACTCTTCAAATCAACAGCAACCAAGAAGAGCCTACATGGAAAAATGGCCAAAGTGTATAATCAGGCATTTTACAGAACAGGAAAGCCACAGGGCTAAAAAGCAAAAGAAACATGCTCCAAGTCATTTTTAATCAGAGAAGTGTGCAATGGAAGGCAATCAAATGGTCTTTTATGAATGACAGTACGATGGGACATCTCCTTCCATTAAGCCTTCCACTGGTGGCTCTAGCTGCAAACCCAGGAGGACTTAAGAAAATGGCACCTTCGTACCCCTTCCAGTATTGTAATTTAAGGATGACGGAGAATGAGAAGGAAACATGTATTTTTGGTTTGTAGGAGGAGACATACAAAATAAGTAGAAGGAATGCCTTCTAAGAAGAAGATAACAATGGACCATAGAGGAGGGATGGGGGACTCAGTGAGGAGAGAGGACACAGGGAGACCAGGTTGGGGCAGGAAGTGCACCTCTGGCCCAGTGGGAAGCCATGGAGGCTGCAGGAAAAAGCCTTGTGTGATGCTCTTGGACACAGTGTGGGGTTCTCCTTCACCTGGGGTCAGATAACCCAGGAGGGCATCAGTTACTACCAGGCCAGAATCAGCCCAGAGGGTAGGAACTGAAGAGGCCAGAGACTCCTGATGCTGATGCAGGCAGGGGCAGGAAGAGCAAGTTCTGCCGCATTATCAGAAAGGACATTCCTGCTGCTTCCGGGGAAGGTGCATGGGGGGTTGGGAAGCTGGAGGCAGAAGCACAGCCGCACAGTCTCCTGAGTGCTGTGTGTGCAGTGGTGTCATGGGTCGAATCAGTTTGGGGCTCATTTCCTGTGCCCACACGCCATCTGTCAATTGGTGTGTGGTGTGAGGCACGTGGTGTCTCCCGTGGCCGGCGGTGAGGAGGATGAGCATCTGCATGGCAGTGTGGCAGGACTGCTTAGAATCCCCAGGCATGCCAGGCAGGGGGGCAGCCTGCCACTAGTCTGTATCCCTCCCACCCTGGGGTCTGCACAGAAGAGCTCCCTGAGGACAGCCCCTCAACCCAGCCCTTGTGTCCCACTGGGGCCAGTCACTGTTCCCTGAGGCATAGAGGTGAACACACAATGGAGGACTGTGCTCAGAAGCCAGTGGGGGATGGCAGAACACACATACACATAAAGAAGAATTTTATCTGGTGGTGGTCACTATTGTGCAGAGAATGAAACAGTCTGCTGTGAGAGAGAGAGACTGAGGACTGCCTCAGACTGAGGAGTCAGCAAGGGTCCCAGAGGAGAAGAAAGTCAAGGTGCAACCTGAATAAAGGTGGGGGCCAGACAGAGGGAATACAGGACAAAAGAAGCTCCAGCTTAGGACTGAGTGTGTCTCAGTGCAGGATGAACAAGCTGGCCCAAGTCAGGGAATATGGGGAGAGGGGAGGGCAAGGGATGCTATGGAGAGGGCGGCAGGACTGGAGCAGGTGGAGGTCCTGTGAGCCTGGCCATGGAGTATGGGTTTTGGCCCAAATGTGATGGGAAGTCATTGGGAGGTTTTAAACTGGAGGTGATGGCATCCGGTTTCTGTGTTAAAAAATGACCCTTCCTGCTGTGTGGAGAATCGAATGTAGTCAGGGGTGTCAGTCAGGAGACACATTCAGGCAGCCAGACAAGAGGTTTTATGAAGTAAATAAAGTGGCAGAGAGATGACAAGAGGTGGAGGGATTTGAGATGTGTTCTGGATCTGCCTGCTGATTGCACATAGTTGCTGAGGAGCGGACGAGAAATGCGGAGGGCTTTGATTTTTGGCTTAAGAAACTTGGTGGGTGCTGAGAAGAAGGAAGTGGGAGAGGGAGTGGTGGTAGGAAGTCAAGAGTCCTGGTTGGGCAGTACTTGGTTTGCAGTGAGTAGGCATGTGAAGTGGGGAGCTCGGTTAGGACTGAGTATCTTCTCTACATCATCCAGGTGCTATTTAGAGCCTTCATGGGAGTGCATTTGGGGAGGGCATAAATGGAGATGAGATGCAATCCAGGCTGAGCCCTGCATTCCATGACATTTGTCAACAGGGTCTGAGGAGCAGCCAGTGATGAAGGAGGAGGACCAGGAGAGGGTGGGGTGTCAAGACAGCCAAAGGAAGGCCATGTTTCAGAAGGAGGGAGGGGGCCAGCTGGATGGAATTCTCTTGAAGGCTAATTAATATAAAATACACTTCATGAATGATCCTAGAAACCCACATCAGCACAAAGGCCAGCCAGCACAAAGCTGAATAGAAAGCCTCTTAGATGCTGGGGTTGGTCCGGGACGTGTTGTACCTTACTCATCCATCATGTGTCTGTGTCGCATGCGTCCCTTTAGTTGAGCTTTCCCTATTCTACAACTAGAAGCAGAGATGTGGGCATTTCATTGACCCTCCTACTCAAAAGAGGGACACAGCAAGAGAACCAAAATAGAAGGTGGGATGATGGAATACAAAATTTGAAGAATCCCAGAGGAGTCATCAACCCACTTCTTATATTTAACAAAAAAATTTCCTAGGAACCAAGCAACTCCCTTAAGATGACTATTAGTAGGGCTGGGCGCGTTAGCTTATGCCTGTAATCCCAGCACTTTGGGAGGCTGAGGCGGGCAGATCATGAGGTCAAGAGATCAAGACCATCCTGGCCAACATGGTGAAACCCCGTCTCTACTAAAAATACAAAAATTAGCTGGGAATGGTGGCATGTACCTGTAGTCCCAGCTACTCGGGAGGCTGAGGCAGGAGAATCGCTTGAACCCAGGATGCGGAGGTTGCAGTGAGCCGAGATCGAGCCACTGCACTCCAGCCTGGCGACAGAACAAGACTCCGTCTCAAAAGAACAAAACAAAACAAACAAAAAAAGATGACCATTAGTTGTAGGTCAGGACTAAAACTCAAGACTTGCACCTCCCAGTCCACTATTTCTACCATGAATACTGTGGAAAAATGTCACTTCCATAGGTGTCTCCATTGTCAAGTTCTCATCCTAACCTGAAAAGGGGACCTCAGCCTGTGACTCTGTCTCTCAGGCAGTTCCATAAAGGGGGCAGCCTCTCCTGCATGCTCTGGGGCCCATCATGAGGCAGCATCTATAGCTCCCAGGGCTGTCATTCATGGATTGAGGGCCAGAGGCCCCAGAGGAGGTCTTCAGGGCACAAGAGATGGCTGCATTTTCTGAGTTGTTTCCATGATATTGGCTGGTGGGAGGCAGCTCATTAATGGGTGCAGAACCAGGTCACAGGCCAGGTTCACACCCAGAAATTCCACCCCAGGTTGGACTTGTGCCCTGCCCACACACTGCAGTCTTCAGGGAGCTGTTTTGTTTTCTCTGTTAAGGGCATCTATTTAATCTCTTTCTCTTTTTATCCTTCCTTCCTCTTCTTTTTTATTTATCCTGTCTCTTGATAAAGCAATTCTAGTTTTTGAATCAAAACACCTGGGTTCCAGACATGGCCTCTCCTTTTAGGGCCTCACTGTTCTCATAACATGAAGGTTTTTAGCTACATCAGGGCAGACGTTCTCAAAGTGTGGCCCCTAGGCCTGCAGCATCAGCATCAGCTGAGAACTTGTTAGAAGTGCATGTTGTTGGCTCTTGGGGCCTCCCCAGCCCCACTGAATCAGAGTCTCTGGGGGTGGCCCTGCCGCCTAGTTTTTACAGGCCCTGCAGGGATCCTGACGCCATGTAGGAGCCATGATGTCAGAGGGCTCTGGTTGCTGTTGTTCCTGACACATCTAGGAAGTGTGATGTACTCCCGTCAATGTGACTTTATAGGGCGGTGGTGGCTCCACATGGTAGAATCTGGAGATGGACTTGGCCTTGTGGAGTTTAAATTGTATCCTCTTCCCTCTCCCAGTTGTTGAGGATCCTGAGGCTTGCTAGGCATTAGTCAGCCAGTCTCCCCGCTCTGGCACCCTGTACCTCTAACTGCATAACAGTGGCAGTGATGGGCAGGTAGGGCCAGGCTGGTGGGTTAAAATGCAGCATTGGCTACTTTTGTATTTTTAGTAGAGATAGGGTTTCTCCATGTTGGTCAGGCTGGTCTTGAACTCCCAACCTCAGCAGGAGAATCGCTTGAACCTGGGAGGTGGAGGTTGCAGTGAGCAGAGATCGCGACATTGCACTCTAGCCTGGACGAGAGTGAAACTCGGTCTCAAAAAAAAAAAAAAAAAAAGGGCAGCATTGGATTTCCACAGTTCTACCTCTGCCCCTCCCAGTAACTGCAATTTTTCTTGCAGAGACAGATATGTTTCTATTGAATGTGCCACCCTGCTGAGATCAGAATTAAGCCATGAGTGAAGATGCCCAGACTGTATGAGTGGCACGATGTTGAGCCTCAACAGCACTGAACTGGACAGGAAGCATTTCAATTTTGGGAAACATAATTGTGGAGGAGTGAAATGTGTTGCCCTTTTCATGTCAGAACATTCATATGAAAATCATCTGGCTTCAATTTTTATTTCTAAAATTAACCTTTAGTATTAGAAACATTTACAGTGTTAAAATTTGGGGGATTACTTTCAGACATCTTGGATTACTTTCAGATGATTGCATTTCTTGGGGAACACCACAGTGGGAGAGGAACCAGAAATATTCCCATCTGATTGAACAGAGGCTGGATGTGACAGGCCCAGCAGTTTCTCCTGGTTTCTACCCTGCATGAGGAAGGTGTGGGCTTGGAGGAGATGCTCAGTCAGTGTTGCTTAGAGTGGCTGCTAGAAGACATTCTGTGTCTATTACATAGCACTTACAATGGTATATCTCCCCTCAGAGTATTAAAAAAATGAAATTTATTTCCAACTTCTTCAAGACTTTAGTGATGCCAGAGATCTAACTGGGTGTAAGATTATGGTAATGGCTGTAGGACAACAATCCAGAGAGACTGAAGATAGAATGGAATCTAGGGTTTGGGTCCTGGCATTTAGGAATCCTATGGCCTTGGAAAAGTCACTGCACCTCCTTGAGCCTCAGCCTGTTCATATGCAAAATGAACATTAAAAATAAAGCCTTACCATGAAGGATGGAGCAGTTAAGATTATATGAGTAAGCTCTTTCTAAACTACAAAGAGCTCTGAAGTATCTACTGTATGCTGTGGATAGCTTTGGGGTACCTTTCTCAATGTCTCTGTTCTAAGGGTACCTTTTCTCTCCTCCATTCACATTGCTGCAATGTTTATAAAAAGGGGCCTGGCCCTTCCACCTCCTGCAGCTGCCACCCAGTGATGGGTACCCTACCCACTCTGGGGCCAACACAATCCCCACCTGCAACTATGGATGATTGGCCAAGATGGGCTACTTGACGGTTAGGGCATTCTTTCATGGGAATGTGAAAATAGCTTCTCAGAAGAGTCCTGTATCCTTGAGTAGGTTAACCTGTATCATCGAAACTAGGTTGTTCTCTTTGCCCATCAATAGCCATTTTGGAGTGAAAACAAGAAAAGAGATGAGAAGGAGGAAAGGACCATCCATCTGAAGACATGGCAAACATGGCCATGGTTCCCGCCCAGTCATGAAGCCCAGATCTATTCTGATCCTTGGAGTGTCTGGCCTTCCCTTGTTTGCTTATGCTAACTTGTGGGTTCCTGTGGTTTGTAGCCCAAAGAGTCCTTTGGCATGATGACACCATATCAGGCACATTAGTGCAAAGTCTTACGCATATTTCTTAGTGTCTACAAGGCTGATTTAAGGCATTCATAAACAGAAGGGAAAAAAGATGTAAATATTGGAAAGACAAAAACAAAACTTATTCCTAGAATCAATATAATTTACCTAGAAATGCAAGAGAACCCATCTGTTAATCCAGTTACTCAAAAATTAATTATTGAGTGCCATGTGGGGTCTGGCACTGTGGAATGACTTAGAATTATGAGAGTGTACAGTAAAGTGGCCAACTACAAGATAATTGTATAGCAGTAAGCTTTCCATGTTAAATAAAGCATGTTACAAATTCTTTGATGTTAAACAAAGCTTGGACCATTACTGGAGGATTTCCTATGTTAGATATATTCCTAGGGTCTTATGCCAGTGTGAGCTCCCTCCCTGATTTCTCTAAAAGACTGAACTGTTGCCTAAAGAACTTCCTGTGTTCTATTCATTGAAAGGAGTTTGCACTGCTATGAATTCTATGATACATATGATATTGCCTGCCATTTCCAATGCCTCCTGTATTGTTTTTATTCAAAGGGTTTCTCACCATTATGAATTCTATCATGTACTTTGAGGCTTAAGTCAAAAGAACTTTCCACACTTATCACATTCAAAGTCTTTCTCAGTAGCCTAAGTACTTTGATGTTGAGAAAGTTGTTGATGTGCACTGAAGGCCTTCCCACACTAGTCATGTTCATAGGGTACCTCTCCACTATGAACTCTCTGATGTATTTTAAGGCTGCCACCTAGGCTTAGCATTCCTTGAGGTCACTGAATTTCCCTCCATCTTTAACTCTTTGATGGAGAGTAGGAGATGTATATTTTTATAAGTGAACATTTTTCGTAGCTGATTAGCTCCTATCTTGGTTCCAAATTTGGAAAATTTATAATTCGTATTAGAAAACCAAATGCTTTCTTGCTGTTTCATTTAAGAATTAAATTCCAAGGTAACCAATTAGCCCTACTTGGTGAGGCAACCAATAACTGTACAGTCTTCATGCTTCTTATAACCATCAAGTGCCCTTTTCCTTGCTCCAATAAGGCCATCACATCTGGTTCAGAAAAACAGTGTCTAGCATTGAGATCAAATTGCCAGTTCTCCATCATCACATCCTGGTACAACATTTCTGGAGCAGGTTCAAACAGCCTCGTCTGTGGCCACATCTCTGGCCATGTATGCCATGTTGTTTGATGAGAAAAAGCTGACTAGTCCCCTTTCAGTGTCTCCACTAAGAAAGCCCAAAACATACCTAGAGCTAAACATTGACTTTTATATGTAAAGCAACATTTTCCCCTCCTCCTTAGGGTCTTTGTTTTGTAGAACGACAGGCCTCACACACATTTCATAATGAGATGGAATGAAGGGGGGCGGTTACAGTCTGTCTGTGATATCACTGCGGGGTCCTGGGTCAGAACTCTGGGATGCTTCGACTCTGAGCCACATAGCTGCCTTCTCAGAGCTCCTGAGGGGGAGACCTGCTTACACCTCCCTTTCCCAGATCAAGGCAACTATACCTGCTTGCTGGAAGCCTCCATTCTAGGACTCACTACCTGGCTTCCTTCTTAGGGACACCTCTCTGCAGGCATCTCACGTAACAATGAAGTGAAAGGGTGGAGGGGCAGCAGGGCATGAGGGCCACAGAACCCAGTGACACATCCCACAGCACCACACGCCCACAAAGCCACACACCCCTCACCTGTCACCAAGCCTCACCCACAGCTTCCACATCCACACCCTGTCCAGGCACACACCCTGTCTCACACACAGACGTGCCACACACACAAAAGGAGGTTCCAGTAATGAGACACTCTGTCCACATTCCTGGCCTCTTTGCCTTAAGTGCATAGGCAAATTTGGCAATAAGACTTGTCGGAGGATAGAGAATTTGTTCTACTGGATAATAACATTTATTATAAATAATAATAGTAGCTAATATTTAGTGCTTATCATATGCCCAGCTGTATTAGTTTGTTTTCTGTTGCCTAGGATACATGAAAGTAGGTAGTTTATAAAGAAAGGAATTTATTTTTTACAGTTATGGAGGCTGAGAAGTCCAAGGTTGAAGAGCTGCATCTGGTGAGGCCCTTCTTGCTGGTGGGGACTCTGCAGAGTCCCCAGGTGGCGCACGGCATCATATGGCGAGAGGGCTGAGCGTGCTGGCTCAGGTCTCTCTTCCTCTTCTTATAAAGCTATGATTTCCCCTCCCATGATAACCCATTAATCCATGAATGGATTTGAATGGATTAATCCATTCCTGAGGGCTCTGCCTCTTAAAGACCCCACTTTTTAATACTGCCACATTGAGAATTAGGTTTCAACATGAGTTTTGGAGAGGACATTCAAACCATAGCACCATACCTGCTTTGTGTGTTTACATGTACTATTTAATTCTCTGGCCAAGGAAGGTGCTGCTCTCCTCACTTTGTGGATGAGGAAACTGAGGCAAAGTATGTTTATCTCACTTGTCCAAAGCCACACAGCTAATCTATGGCTTAAATAGGGCAGGCTCTCACTGCTTTGCAAACAGACCCAAGTCACATGCCTGCTGCACTGGTTGGGGTACAGCAGGAATGTTACAGTCTGGAGTGGTTGCTTGGGGGCCAGAGTCAGAATCATGGAAGGCATCAAGTTTTGGGGGGCACTGCCATCTTCACCAGTAGCTTCCAAGTTGGTCAGGATAATAGGTGTTGCCCTTGTACTACAGTAATGAGAGAAGGTTGTGGAAGGTGTGGGGAGCTCCAGAGGCCAGGTCTGGAAATGGGACACACCTTTTTGCTGTTCCTCTTTCATTTAAAAAAGAAAGAAAAGCTAGTATAATCTTGGAGTGAGAGAAGCAGTTTCTAAACAGAAAAATATGAGACATGTTTCAAATAAAAATATCTACAGATTAGAATTTATTTTTAAAAATTCAAATGTACCGAAAGCTTACCCAAAATTCTGAAAGGACCAGCTGAGAAAATGTATCAATGCATACTTACAGGGTTTACATGCGTCAGTGTGTAGTTACAGGGTTTAGATGCATGAAAGTGTACTTGCATGGTCTGGTTCCATCAAAGTGTACTTGCATGGTCTAGATCCATCAAAGTGTACTTGCAGGATTTAGATCCATCAAAGTGTACTTAGGGTTTAGATGCATCAGTGTGTACTTGCAGGGTCTAGATGCATCAGTATGTACTTGCAGGATTTACATGCATCAGTGCCATACTTGCAGGGTATAGATCATGTGTTCGTGTTATCTGTATGCCCGCGTTTAAGAGATAAGCACAGGTGGGCAGTGCCGCTCCCTTCTGAACTGACCCTACTTTAACTCCAGCCTCCCCATTCTGCCTCCACACCTTCCCCTACTCTTTCTCAATAAAACACTCAGGAGAATCATCTACCTTCACTGTGCCATTCCTCACCTTCTATTCATTCTTTTTGAAAAAGTAATAAATTTTAATTGTGAAACATTTCAAGCACTCAGACAATACAAAGCCCGCTGCTTTTGGAATGCCCTCCTTCTCTTTGGGTTTAACTTCCTTCTTCCTGAAGCAAATGCTTTAGGATGCTGGTTCTCAAAATTTTTGATGTCAGGTTCCCTTACATTCTTAAAAATTATCGTGGTGCCTAAAGAGCTTTTCTTTGTGGGGTATGTCTGTTAATATTTACTGCATGGGAAATTAATACTGAGAATTTATAAAATACCTATCAATTTTAAAATTACAATTATAAACCTGTTACATGTAAACATAGATAAGCTTTTATGAAAAATTTTTCAAAAACAAAAAATATCACGAAAAGGATGGCATTGTTTTATGTTTTAGTAAATTTCGACTGGCTTAATAGAAGACAGCTGGATTTTCATATCTGCTCCACAATCCATGTATTGGGGTGTGTTGTTTTAGTTGTAGTGTGAGAAGCAAGTCTAACCTCATACTGCTATGTAGTTGGAAAGGGGAGGAGTATTTCAGTTGACTTTTCAGGTAATTGTGGATATCTTTGACACTACATCTGAATTCAACAACAAGTAGTTTCTTAAAATTAGTTGCCACATGGAATCTGAAGCCACATTGGTAAACTTTTCATACTCCATTATATTACAGTTCTTTGCCCTGTCTTGCACTTATCTACATATGATCTGTAACATGATACACTGATCGCTTGGAAAATAGTGGTCCATTGAGTTAGGTGGCTCTTCTAAGCATTGTCACATTTCATTACACACTCTCAGAAAATCACATTCATTAATATCACCACTAGTCTCATCAGAAAAGTCTCTGAGTATTGGGAGCAGTCAGATTCACAGTAGTAGATACAAGAAGTTTCATGGGGAAGCTCAGATTTTATCATCGATAATAAAATACTATTGGGATTCTCTTTAAAGTGACAGGCTCACTACATTCATTTTCAAGAGGATGCTTGCCAGACACCAGTGTCTGAAAAATGATCGTTTTCAGTTATTCTTTCAAACCCTGCAAGTATGCTTTGATGAATAGAAGGTGAGGAAAATGATGTTCCATGGAAATACAGCTAGTTCAGGGTGCAACTCAGGCAGTCATACAGGTGCTCTGCCTCAGGACCTCCATCGCTCTTTGGCATACAGCAGAGATACTTAGAATATCAGGAACACTTACACACAAGGGTTGCTAGTTAATACAATTAATACTTTTCACTGCTTCATCAAAGATATTCTTAAACTGTTTTCGGTTTCTGTTTGGGTTTTGTTCTTTGGCTTTTGTAAGTTTGAGTGTTTGATGGTGAAGAATATGAAGACTACTGGCACAGTGGTTGCTATTGCCTTAATTTGTGCGGCTTCTTCCATTGCTTCGATACCATGAATGTCAACACAGCGAAAAGCAAATCTCTCCTTAGAATGATCATTGAATGATCATGAAAATAGTCTTGACCTTTTGGAACCTCTGCTTTGGGATTCCTGCATGACATTAAAAGGTAAGCCCCTAGACGGGGGAGAGATTGTCCCCTCCACACTCCTTCAGCAGCAAGTATTGGTGTTAAGCTCTGATTTTCCATTTCTTCTGGTTTCTAACAGCTGAGAAATTCTTTCCTTTGTTGCCAGTCTTCTTTAAGCATTCTTTTCCCTTGATCTCCAGAATGCCACTGCTTTTTGGTTTCTTCCCGGCTCAGTGGCTGTTCCCTTCCCTTCTCCTTGCTGGTTTATGGTATTTCCTTTTCTATCTGACCTTTAAATGCAGGACTTCACAAAGGCCCAGCCCTGAGTTGTGTTCTTTTAACTCAGCTCTTGTTGGGTGGTCTCAAGTTCCACGGCTTTAAATACCAGTTTTGTGCAGGTTCCCCAAGCTACACCTCCAGCTCAGAACTTTCTGCTGAACTCCAGTTCAGTTTACTAGTTGCCCAGTTGATGTCTCCATGGTTTCCACAGGGACCTCTGATCCTGCTGTCAGCCAAGCTCTTGCTCCAGGCCTCCTCTTTTTAGAAGTGGCATCTTTAATACTGAGATAATCAGAAAATTTGAAGTCATGTTTGACACCTTACTCTCTCTCTGTACCCCCAAGCCAATCAGTCATGAAGTCACGAGAAGTTATTCACCAAATTACTTTCTTTCCATCATCATTACTGATCTGCTGCTTCCTCTCCTGGGTCCCAGCGCCTCTGGCCAGTACTGCTGCCGCCACCCTTCACCAGGCCTGCAGGGTCACCCACATCATCTCCCGTGCCCCTGGGTGTGGCTGTCCCTGCTCACTACCCCTCAGGGCCTCCCACTGTGGTTCCTGTGAATCCTAGCATCTGCCTGTGGCTACAGGCTCCTGCCTAGTTTGGCTTGTCCTTGGCTTTCTGACCTCAGTTTGTGTCTCAGATCCAAGCACACTGACCTTTGCCGTATTCAGGGAACATACCTAGTCTTTTGCCACCTCTGGGCTTTCCAGGACTGGTTATGCTCTTCTGTGATATTCCTTTGGGTCCAGTTTAGAGACCGGGATTTGCTCCTCCCAGCTGCTCCTGCACACCCTCTGTTGATGGCTGTCTCACATTACTCTTGGCACCTCCCTCAGTACCACAGGCCCTTTGCATTATCAGCTACCCTGCCAGGTTCCCCTGCAGTGTGAGCCCATGCCAGCAGTGCCTGCCTGTTCACAGCAGCATAGAGGGGTTGTGTCACTGTGCGTCACGTCTGAGGACACCCCTACAGAGCACCTACCAGTCTGTTAGAAAAACCCATTCCCTTACGTGACTGAAGTACTGGGATAAACAGTTCATAAAAGAAAAATAAAAGTGAGCAACAAGCTTTATAACTGTGTTCAATTCTCACTAGCAATTGATTTCAGGAAAACCACTTGGCAGTATCACCAAGATCCTGAAATCTAATACTCAGTCTCCCACGATTCCACGTTTAAGAATCTTTCTGATGGAAATGGCTGAAGATAGGATACAGATGTATATGTGAGGGTATTTATCTGATAGTAGATAAAGTCAGCCATTTTCATTGGAAGCAGTGAAAGTGTCCCTGAATAGGATGATGGTGAAATCAGTCAATGATGGGTGAGATTAGTGGCTTTGTGTGGCTCGAGCAGAGATGGCATCCCTGAGGCTGCAATCACTATGTCATGTCCAGCCATAGGGGGCACTGGATGCCAGGTGAACAGTCAGAAGAAGTGTGACTGACGGAATTTAAGGAGAGGTGCTATCTGAGCCTGGGGTGTGCATTACCTTTGAAGATGTATACATTGGTGCAGTCAGGTTTCAAAATATGTTTGCATGAATGAGATTGCAAAACTTAATGGTTAATACAACCTTGGATTCAGACAGGGTGCAGTGGGATGGCTCCTGTGTGGTCCATGATGTCTGGGACCCCAGCTGAGAAGCCTTGAAGACTGGGGCTGGGCTCATGCAGAGGCTTATTCTGGAGCTGGGTCTGGATGACTCAAAGATGGGGACTGCTAACTGGAGTGCTCACATGTGGCCTCTACACGTGGCTTGGCCTCCTCACAGCATGCTGACCTTGGGGTCATTCTTAAATGGAGCTTCAGGACTCCAAGTGTACATGTTCTAGTGAACGAGGCTGCATCACCCATCCTTAGCAGTCACACTGCATCCTGTCTGCTGTATTCTATTGATCCTAGCAGTCCTGAGCCCACTGAGAAGCAAGGGCATAGGTCACAGAACCCCTCCTCTCACTGGAAGGGCTGAAAAGGTCACATTGTGGAAGAGACACATTGCTGGGACCATCTTTAGAAAACACAGCTTGCCACAAGGGCCATTATTTAACTGACTAAACAAGAGGCCGATGTATAAACCCACTTTCTAAATTTGCCATACAAAATATAACTGCTCAGTACATCAAGAATATTTGTACCTACAGTCACTGTATTCCTTCCCCTGTGGAAAGTTGACAGAAGCTGTTGACTTTTTAGAACATGAACATGCAAGACATTGAATGGCAGTGGCTAGCGTCTCCAGCCATCAGATCCAATGACAGCCCTCTTTTCTATAGAGATGTACTTGGCAAGCAAAGTTGATGGAATACTCAGAGGCTCCCTTTGCCCTTTCTCCAATACAGAAGGCAATTTGAGAAGCTCTTTCTTGCTTCTTGATCTTATTAAAGAAGATCTCTTTCAATAACTCACTTTAGCTCATCTTTTCTCCCCATATGCTGTACTTCGGTGGTTTTCTGTGAGAAATCCCTCGTTAGTGTCTTTCCCAGGTGGTGGTGTCTTCAAGAACCACTGAGTGCTGGGGCTGCGGAGCCCACAGATCTGGAGTCAGGTAGCCACCTTCCCACAGCTCCCGCCGGCTCCTGCCAGCGCTTCTAAGTATTGAGTAGAGGGCCTGCCTACCTGCCAGGGAGGCTTGATTTAGGTTTTTTATACTTTTTTTATTTTAAATCAGAAATTTAATCTATAGTAAAGTTGATTTTCTCCTCTTAATTTCCAAAAGACAGCCATTTCTTAACTTTGTAGAAGAAGCCCCATTTTAAAAATGCATATATACATGTAAATAAAATACGAGCTAGTTTGAACGTTAAATGTTTATTGTGTGTGTTACTGGAAGTGAAGAAAACAGTGGGAAATCTCTTGATGTGAGTGAAATTGATGCATGGCTGCTTTATTTTTAAGTGATTCTGTAAACCAGAGGGGCAGATACTACAGAAAGAGTCATTTCCTGACAGCTGTCGCGGCTGGCCTGTCTGCTTCTGCCATCCTTGTTGGTTAATCACCCCAGGCACTCTCTTCTTGGTTTGAGGATGACATGCTCCCTCCTTGGAGGGAGCAGATCCCAGCACTTTGTCCTGGACTGGGTTGTGAAGGCTTCTGGGGTGCACTGAGAAGACTCCAAAAGCCCTTACCAGAAGCAGTCAGAGTGTGTGATTGCAAATCACAGGTTGAGGTCGGCAAGAACCTTGGAGAGAATGAGTTCCAAACCCCCATCTTACCGACAACAGATCCAGGAGGACCAAGGCCTTCCTTGGTGCATGGTACCCTCTGCACCCACCTCCTCCATTTCTCTCTCATCCACCCCTAGGGCTCCAAAGTGGCCCGGAAAGAAGACTCTGGTGTCCAGATCCTAACAGTGACAACCTAGGCCGATGTTCAGGAAGTTGCACTAGGAGCCAGAAGCTGTGTTGTACAAGGAAAACAGTACATTGAGATCCTTTCCCAGGCTCTGAGATCCAGACTTTTTTCAACACACAAAGGCCACGGAAAGGAGATTTCTTCTTCTACCTGCTTCTTTACCGTCAATTACCTTGTACACAGGAATGGTGCATTGTTTTTTATTGTAAAGCAAATGCTGTTTATATGAAATAATTTGCTCCATTACACCAAGATAGTTCTAATGTAACAGGTTGGCAGTGTGAGAAACAGAGGTGTCTCCTGTAGCCTCTAAAAATGTGGATAAAAAGCACATGTTGCCTGGATGCCTTCCAGTGAAAGTTTATATCAGTGAAGCGTACTTTTCAGATTGCATTAGTGCCAGCGTGACGATTCCTGAGGAGAGCTGTTTTTCAGAGTTCTGAGCCCAGTTTTTGTTTTGGGTGATAGTGCCATAAAGGAAATGGAACCCAGGGACTCCAGGAGGTGCCCTTGGCCTTTTGGTTAAATAGGGCACCTGGGTGAGGAATGGACAGTCTTAACTCTGGAGGGGAATTCTGGAAGAGTGTTACAGAGGGAAGACAATCTTCTAAAATGTGACCCAAGCTCTGCTGTGGAAATGGAGTATTTAGATATATTAAAAATTCCTAAAATAATGTTTCACATTCATCAAGTAGAATTTATTCATTCAAGATGTAGCTGTTTCCCCAAGCTTCCATTTCTGTTTAGTTTTTCTTCCACAGTGCTGAAATACTGCATTTTTACCCCAAGAATTCATGTCTGCATTGATCTGCATTCCACTAATCATGTTTAAATCATTAAACGGAATAGTGAAGACATTATACTTGATGATGGGGCTGGGAGCGGGGAAAGGAAGAGCAGAGAAATAAATGAATCCCCCACTCGGTGTGTGTGTGTGTATGTGCGTGTCTGTGTGTGTGTGTGTGAGAGAGAGAGACACACACATCTTGTTTACTTTTTCAACGAATTAATTTCACTTTTTCCTAATGTCCCTTGGCTAAGGAGAGGCTTTTCTGCCCAGGCAGGCACTCCACGAATCCACACACTCAAACACTCTGTAGCCTGCAGACCAGCACCTGCAGCATTGGAGTGGGCATCCTAAACACTAGGGCTGCCTCACGAGGGACAGAGCCCCACTCCGTGCCACTGTGTGCATTGTATGTAGTTCAGGGCATTGGTCAACTAGAGCATGTGCTATTTCGTTAGGTAAATGGAAATTTTTTTCCATCTCTCTTTCCTTTGGATATACAATTTGCAGTGAGTGAGTTTGCTATTCCTGGTCCTTCCCATCACTTTGAGGGATCCAGATGGAATCCCCCAGCTGCACCCCATGGTATATTTCTCCTCACCTGTTGTCTCTCTCCATGGTTTTACCTGTGAAGATTATTGCTACAAAGTGACCAGTCAGAGCCATCCCTGCTGACCCCCGGAATTCCTGCAGAACAGCCTTGTAGACAAGGTATGGGCTATTGAGTTCCTTGGGTATGGTACTTGTACCCCTCTCTCTATGCGTATTCTTGGGCTCTTGTCCTTAGAATTACTCTCTGCACATTCGGCCATTCCCATGGTGCTGATGACTGGGCAGATCAATCCCCCAGCCCAGGCCTCTTCTGGAGACTGATGATACCCCTAGATCCTGCTGTCCTACCCATGGCCGGCCACCAGAACCGTGTCTAAGAGCCGCTCCATTTCCTCCCATCAGCCCATCATTTCCACCTGTGTCACCCGCTGTGCTCATCCTCTCCCTCACTGCCCTCTGCCACTGCCTTGGGTGCTTGCAAATGCAGCCGCTTGTGTTCTTTGCTCTCAATTCTGCAGCTGCCCCCTTGCCAGGCTCTGCCTTCAGCCTCTTTGCACACAGCTTTCAGAGTTTGTGGGCTGCCCCCAGAACTCCCTCACTCAGCCCCCTTTAGGCAGAACCCACGCACCCACCTACTCCAGGGGCTGCCATGAGATCTCTTCCATGTGCATCCAACATGGAAGCCCCTGCCTGGCTGCCTGGGGGCCTGGGCTGAGGGTGGGGGATGGGGGGCCTGCAGTAGCACCCCAGCCTCTACACTGCACTCCACACACACTGCCTGCTCTGTGCTGGTGCCCGCAGCCCAGCTGCCTTCATAGGGTGAAGAAGGAGGACCCCTCCATTTTCTGTCCATCCTGAGTGCCAGCGCTGACCCAAGATCCTGGCAACCCCACAGTTCATCCAGGGTCCACATGAAGGTCCTAATGCCCACTGGGTAAGGATTGCATTTAATTATGGTTCAGCGTTGACCATTTGGATAACCTTGAACCAGGAAGTACAAGTCATTGGGGTACTATAGACTGAATATTTATGTCCCTCTCAACCTAACCCCCAAGGTGATGGGATTGGGAAGTGAGCCCTTAGGGAGGTGATAAGGTCATGTGGAATGAGATTAGCGCCCTTGTAAGAGAGGCCTGAGAGAGACCCCTTGCCAAAAGGCTGTCATGTGAGGATGCAGGGAGAAGTCACCGTGTATGAACCAGGAGCAGGGCCCTGTTCAGACTTACTCTGCCAGCACCTGATCTGGGACTCCCCAGCCTCCAGAACCATGAGAAATGAATGCCTGTTTATGAGCGACCCAGTTTATGGTATCACATTACAGCTGTCCAAATGCACTGAGCTAGGGGGCAGGTGGCCTTGTAACAAAATGCTCCATTTTTTTTTTTTAGAGTTAGATTACTTTTTAGCATTTTTTTATTATTATTATACTTTAAGTTTTAGGGTACAGGTGCACAATGTGCAGGTTAGTTACATATGTATACATGTGCCATGCTGGGGATTAATGTTAGGAACCTATTAGATAGCAAGCCTCCCTAGTATGCGTTTAAAGCCCAATTTCACTTACTAGCAAATGCCCACTTTCAGGGACAAACTAACATGAACAGTTCAGCTCACACCCCTGAGGAGTAAGGACCCCCGGTTCCTTCAGACCCTGGCAGTCACAGTACACTGCAAAGCTGTTGACACACAGGCATGCATTGTTTTCCTCAGTATTCCTAAGTCTTGGGGTCTTTGCCTTTAATTGGGTTGTAGCTTTAGTAGAGGAAGGCAGGTCTCCACTGAATTGGGATGCCCCTGTCCCCACATACCTGAGGCTGAATGCAAGGAAAGGTGAACCTTATTAGGACAGGGCAGCTGCCACTTCTTACCAAGGAAGGAGAGAGTCGGGAGGGGCCATGTGCTGTCAGATCTCCAGTCACACCACAGGCTGCAGGCTGCCCCTGTGCCTTGCTCCCACTCTCCCCACAGATTCTGGCAGCCACCATCCAGGAAATACACTGAGCAAGAAGACCCAACCAGAAAGTCACACCAAGGGCTTGGCCCTTTGGAGCATTCCCGCAAAGCCCGAGTGGTTAGGAAGTACATGTGTCGCTATCTGGAAGTCCCACACTGGAAGTATTATGTGGAATAAGCTTAAGACACAGCCAGGCCATTTGCCAGGCCCTACTGGGAGCGGTACCAGGCGGTAAGGGGACCTGGCCTGGGGCAGCTGTCAGGGGCAGCCCGAAGCATAGGCCCAGAATGCACCTCCCCTCTCCCTGCACAATGACGGGGCGCCTCTGCAGTGTGTGGACAGGTGCAGGTGGCTGCGTGGCAGTGGCACTCTGTCCTTGTACTCTTCCCTGTGTGTCTTTCCCTGGAAATGTTCATCAGTTCTGTGTCTGTGTGTGTATGTGTATGTGCGTTTTAACCTCAGATATTAATTTGGTGACTTCTGGACTGAAATTAAGCTTTGAATGCACTGCTGCTGGAAATCAAACATGAATTTGAGAAATCAAGGCTCTCCCCTGGATGTGGCTTGGCTTTTCCAGCCCCAGGTTCAGCTGATTCAGAACCTGTCCTGAGGGATACACTCACATTCTTCCCTTTCTCGCCTCCTGCCCCTGCTGCCATGCCCATGTCTACACTCATTCCTTCAGGCGTCTAGGAGCAAATCTTTTCCCCTTAAACTACAAGCCCATTTAGTAGAACGGGGTTAGGAGAGTAGTATCCTCTGTGGGGAAAACAGATCACGTTTTGTTACTTAAAAAATTCAGCTTCAAAGAGTATTTTCCTCCTAGATATCTGCACAGTTGATCTTCAAGCTTTTGCACAAATGTCATCTCAATGAGTCTCTTCAATTTTACAACCCACTCTTCAGACACCCTGTCCTGCCCAGCAAGCCAGGTCTTCTGTTGTAGTCACAGCACTTACAGACTCATAACCTATTGTTTAATTTATTTATTTTTTTCTCTGTTCTTATTGGAGTATAAACTCCACAAAGGCAGAGGTTTTCATCCACTGATGTGTGCTGAGCACCTAAAATAATCCTCATTACATAATTATTTGTTGAATGAATGAATATGTGGCTTTTGTTATTTTTAAATGAATCTACAGTGTTGGTCTTAAAACTGCCTTGGGTCCATATATTTTGGCATTTTATTTTCTTGAGCAGCTGAGTCTTTCAGAAAGTGAATAAAGATGATTAGCGTAGTCAAAGTGAAACTCCATAAAACTTTGGAATGGGTAAGTGTTGAAGAGGGGAGGGGTGTGTGTGTGTGTGTGTGTGTGTGTGTGTAAATGCATGGACATGGGAGCGTACACACGTGCATGCATAGGTCAGAGGAGAGGATAATGTGTTTGGATGTGATGTTGTGTCTCTTTTTACAGCAGTATCACTTTTTTTTTTTAACTATCTTTTCAATCAAAACTGTTCCACCGAGAAGGCATTGGGTCGTCCTTGCCTGATGAGATGGCCTGACCCCCACGAGAAGGCCAGGACAACGTCACAATCCACTTGGGTGGTCTGTGGATCCCCCTGGGTTGTTGACTCTTAATTCTAAAAGACAAGTGTTATAAGCTTTTGCTGTTATGGTGAAAATACATCTTCCTTTCCTAAATTAAGGGGAAACTTAAGTGGCTGATAGTATTTCCCAGACAACTGGGATCATGTTTGAAGCCTTGATAAAAAGTGTGCAGAAAAATCTCTGGATGTGGCACAGAAACTGATGTTGCTGTAATCAGCAACTAGCAGTAAGTATCTGAGATCCCCCTCTGGAGATGCACCTGACTGTGTTTATGTGCCTGATACTAACATGTCCTCATTAACAGAGTGTGCTGGAGCTGGAGCTTTATTTCAGAGTGGCAAGTTCAAGCCAGAATGTTTCATGGCAGGCAGATAGTCATTCACTTTCCTTCTGGGCTGGTCTTTCAAAGTTCTCTTTTTCTCCTCCATAGAGGACAGTATTTTCCAAGGTGTTCAAATGTTTTGGTGATAAGACATTTTAAAGCAGTCTAAAGCGTCATGAAGAGCCGGCAGGAGGCCCCTAGGTGCAAGGCACAGGGTGATCGCAGGGCTGGTTATGGAGCTGTCCCTGGGCTGACTGACTCAGCTGGCAGCCTGCTTCAGCCTGTTCCTGGGCTGCAGAGAGCACCTTGCTCGTCAGAATTTGCTGCTGTCCCATGGCTTTTTGTATGGCCCAGGAAACCATTGAGCAGCCGTCAACTCCAGAATGCATTTCCATGGAGCTCAACTGGGAGGACTTTATTTGGGGAAGAAAAGAAGCCTCTCAGACTATTCTCTCATAGTGCATGGCTGTGTGGCTGCTCTGGGCATGTCTTCAGATAGCCTTGTTTTTACTTTTTACCCACTGTGCCATTAGCTTCATTTCAATGACTGATAAAGTGTTCTTCTTGACAATTAAACAGTGCATTTGCTGATAATTATTTCTTTTTGTTGTCAATTTTAAAGGTGCTGGTCAACAGATTGTGAGTCGATTATAAATTGCCTCTCCCAGCCTCCCACCATCTCATTCACTATTTGTATGGCATGTTAAAATGTTTTGAGGAGTGGAGCATTTACATAAGCATCTGTTGGTCGACTGCAAATGTGTGTGTGTATTTCATATATTTAAACCCATCAAAAACTCCAGCATCCAGTTTGCTGTTCTCACATTTCAGATGAAAAACTGAAACACAAAGATTAACAAAGTCCCCTAAATTTATATAGATGGTTAATAGTGGAAGCTGGGATTAAACTGGTATTACAGATTACATGTTTGTATCCCCTCCCCCAAATTCATATGTTGAAATCCTAACTCCCAAGGTGATGATATTAGAAGGTGATGCCTTTGGGAAGTGATTAGGTCATTAGGGTGTATCCCTCATGAATGAGATTAGTGCCCTCATAACGGGGACCCCAGACATTCCATTGCCCCTTCTACCATGTGAGGATGGGGAGAAGGCACCATCTATAAATGGGTAGCAGGCCCTTATCAGACATGGAATCTGCAGGTGCCTTGATGTTGGACTTCTTCCCTCCAGAACTGTGAGAAATTGTCGATAAGCTACATATTCAATGGTATTTTTGTTATAGCAGCCTGAACTAACTAGACTGAGTGTGGAAGATGTTGCTTCACCAGATAATGAATTCTGTCAAAGGACATATCACTCATCTTAGCAAATGTCAATATGTAAATGTTTTATATAAACAAAACTCCATCTTCAGTTTCCTGCATTTTGTCATTTAAATGGAGTACATGCTAAATAATAATCGTTCATTAAATGTTTATAGAATTTATATTCATATATACAGATACATAGATAGGTTTATATCTACATATTAAAATATACATATCTGTAATTATATTAGCCAGGTAGTATCGAGTAACCAGTAAAATCAGCTAAAAATTGAAAATAGTACAGAAAAACACCACTTTCAACATTGTTAATATTGAAACAAAGTGTTCCTGTAGCATTACTTGACATTATATACAAACTTCTTTAATACATTGCAAATTAACAGGTAAAAATGGTTGTGCATATTAACCACAGTTAGAATTTAAGATAGCACGTCTAGATATATTTGGGCTTATAAAGTATATTGTAGGTGCTATTTGAACTTCATATATGTTTAATATACATAAAAGGAATATATTTTTCTTTTTAAGAGTTTGTTTTTATATGCTTTTATTTCAAAAAGTAAATGTCAGCAGTTCCCCAACTTTGCTGCACATTGAAATCAGCTGGGGGGCTTTCAAATGTCCTAGTGTATGGCTGTCAGTCCCAGCCATTCTGATTGAATAGGGTTTAATCTGTGTATTGGGATTTTACCAAGCTACCTAAGTAATTCTAATGTGCAGCAAACTTTGGGAATCCCTGGTGTATGCAGTGCATGGAGAATCGTCAGATTTAGTGTCTGTGTATGCCCCACAACTCATCATTTTTTTTCGTTTATTCCTTTACTCACTGTACCCTTGCCAACTATCTGTCAGGGATTATGCAAATGCTGGGCACATAGAGGTGAATGAAAAAGGCATAGCATTGCCCTCCTGCAGTTTTAGTCTATCAGAGGGATATAAACAGTTTACAGGTAAATAAATCAACACTCTAAAATATTTTTTTTTTTTTTTTTTTTGAGACGGAGTCTCGCTCTGTCGCCCAGGCTGGAGTGCAGTGGCGGGATCTCGGCTCACTGCAAGCTCCGCCTCCCGGGTTCACGCCATTCTCCTGCCTCAGCCTCCCAAGTAGCTGGGACTACAGGCGCCCGCCACTACGCCCGGCTAATTTTTTGTATTTTTAGTAGAGACGGGGTTTCACCGTTTTAGCCGGGATGGTCTCGATCTCCTGACCTCGTGATCCGCCCGCCTCGGCCTCCCAAAGTGCTGGGATTACAGGTGTGAGCCACCGCGCCCGGCCCCCACTCTAAAATATTTTTTAAACATTGTGGAAAGTGAGAAGGAGGTCATGAACAAGAGGCTGTTAGGGAGAATAAATATAGGTCCAGGCATCAAGACAACATGGATGAGCACTACAAGTCAGGAAGGAGTTTGGCAGGCTCTAAGGCCAAACAGAAGGCTGAAGTGTCCCATGGGAGAGGCTGAAGAGGTTGGAGAGGGGGGTCTGGTGCAGGGGCTTTGAAGCCATGCTAGTGACTTTGGACTTAGACTTCAAACATTGTGATGCTGTTGGTTATTTTAGGCCAGGAGGCTGGGGTCAGGGTGGAGGTGGAGATGGAGATAAGGTTCTAGTTAACCATTTTAAAAGTTCTTTGTGGTGGCTGTTGCATTCATTCAAGTAAGGGATGATAGTAGCCTGGAGAAGAGTGGTGTAGTAGACGTGCATTCATGATGTATTTGGAGGAACCCACTGGCATCACTGGTGAATTGCATACGTGATGCAAGGAAGAGAAAGGAATCAAGGACAATTCCAAGCGTTTGACCTAAGCAATCACGTAAATGTTGATGTCATTTGGTGGGAAGGGAGATGGTTCATGGGCCGTTGCCAGTGGATGTGGATTTGAAAGTAAAGTCGGTATTTCTATCTGGCATATTAAGTTTGAGATGCCAGATAGACATCTAAATGGAGCTGACAAATAGATAGTCCAATAAACCGGTACCCAGACCAAGAAACAGAACATAAGCAGCTGAACAGAAACATTCTTCTTCCTCTTTCAGTATCTACCCTTCTATGACCTTGTTAAACTCAAGTGTTAGTTCTAGTAATTTTTCTGTACATTTTTTATAATTTTCTAAAAAACTCATCTGTGAGTAAAGTCAGTTGAGATTTATTTCTTTCCAATATGTATGCCTTTAATTTGTTGTTCTTATTTCATTGGCCAGAGCCTCTGGTACAATGTGGACCATGAGGGGCAAGCGCAGGGAATCCTTGCCTTGCTCTTGATCGTAGGTGCAGAGCATGCACACTTGCACCGTCAAGTCTGATATAGGCTGTGTGTTTTCAAAGATGCCCTTTGTCAGGTTGCGGGAGTCCTTTTATATTCTTAATCTGTTGAGAATTTTTTATCATGAATAGATGGTAGATTTTGTCAAAGGCTTTCCTGTATGTTCTGTATCTAGTGAGATTATTATTTGGCGTTTTCATTTATTCTGTTAACATAATATCATTATTTTCTAATGATAAACCAACCTTCTATTACTGGAATAAATTCAAATTGGTCATGGTGTATCTTTTTAAATATGTTGCTGAATTTGGTTTGCTCATATTTTGTTAAGACCATTTATGTCTGTGTTCATGAAGGATATTGGCCTATAGTTTCTTTTCTTTGTCTGGCTTTGATATCAGACTAAAGCTAACTTCATAGAATAAGTTGAGCAGTGTTCCCTCCTCCAGTATTTTATGAAAGCATTTGTGAAGGATTAATATTATACTTTCTTTAAGTCCTTGGTAGTATACACCAGTGACACCATTTCAGGGTGGACTTTACTTTGTGGGAAGAGTATTGTTACCAGCTTAATTCCTTTGCTTGTTATTGATTTATTCAGATTTTCTACTTTCTTTTTGTATAATCTTTGGTAATTTGTATATTTCTAAGAATTTGTCCACTTAATATGAGTTTTCTGACTTTTTTACATAAAGTAGTTCATATTCCCATGTAATTAATACTTTTGGTGTCTGTAGTTTTGATAGCAGTGTCCCCTCTTTCATTCATGATTTTTGTGATTTCTGTACTCTCTTGAATTATTGGTAATCTGACTAAGGGTTTGTCAGTTTTGTTAATATTTCCAAAGAGCCACCATTTGATATTTTATTTTTCTGTTTTCTGTTCTGGTCTTCGTTGTTTTCATTGTTCTGCTTTTGTGTTTAGCTTGCTTTTTTTCTAGTTTCTTAAGGTGGATGCTTAGCTTATTAATTTCATACCTGTCTTTTCTAATATAGTTACATTTTTAATTTTATTTTTTGAATTGGCATACCGCAAAATTGACTTTTTGTTGTATAGTTCTGAGTTTAACACACATATAGATTTTATTTAACCACTATCACAATCAGTGTGCAGAACAATTTCATCACCTGGCAAAACTCCCCCAAGCTGCCCGTTTGTAGTGAGCCCTTCCTTTACTCCTAACTAACCCCTGGCAACCACTAATCTGCTCTCTGCCCCTATAGTTTTGCTATGTTCAGGGTGTCATAAAAATGGAATCATATGCTATGTATTATGTTTGGACTGGCTTCCTTCACTCAGCATAGCAGATTTGAGATTTATCCTTGTTGTGTGAAATCAATAGTTAATTCCTTTTTATTGCTGAAAAGTATGTCATTGTGTGGATGCACCACCGTTTGTTTATTCATTCACACTGTGAAGGATATTTGGGAGGTTCTAGTTTGGGATTATCACAAATAAAGTGGCTATGAACATTCGTGAACAGGCATTTGGGAAAACTAAGTTTTCATTTCCCTAGAATAAGTATCTATGAATGAGATTGCTGTGTCATGCGTAAGTATATGTTTAATTTTATTTAAAAACTGCCCAACTGTATTCCAGGTATTTTTTGCTTCATGTAATTTGAAGCTCTGTTGTTAGGTGCATACACATTTGGGATTGTTTTTTCTTTTTGGTGAATTGAACCTTTTATCATTACATATTATCTCTCTTAATCCTTGGAATTTCCCTTGTTCTAGTCTACTGTATCTGATGACAATATATCTGATGTTAATAGAACTACTGTAGCTTTGATTCCATTAATGTTTTCATGACATATCTTTGGCCATCATTTACTTTTGACCTATGTATTTTGTTGAACTTAAAGTGGATTTCATAGAGAAAGCATATTGTTGAGTCTTATTTTTAAATTCATTCCAATAATCGATGTCTATTAGTTGGCATATTTCAGCCCTTTGCATTTAATTATTGATTTGTTTGTACTTAGATGGACAGTTTTTTGTTATTTGTTTACTGTTTGTTCTTTCTTTTTTGTACCTGTTTCCCCTTTCCTATCTTTGGGATGCTTGAATTTTTTTAGTATTCTATTTTAACTTTTCTGTTTTTATATTCTCTTTGTATGCTTTTTGGTGATTGCTCTAGAGATTACAATATTCATACTTATTTTTTCACAGTCTGTGTAGAACAACATTTAACTATTCAATATGGAATGTAGAAACCTTACCACCATATAGGTCCCTTTACTTCACCCCCTTTATGTTGTAGGTGTCTTATGTATTACATCTGCAGACGCCGAAAGTGCCACCAGTGTTATCACTTTTTTTTTTTTTCTTTGTGATGGGGTCTCTGTCACCTAGGCTGGAGTGCAGTGGCACGATCTCGGTTCATTGCAACCTCTGCCTCCCAGACTCAAGTGAGCCTCCCACCTCAGCCTCCCGAGTAGCTAGGACCACAGGCATGTGCCACCATGCCCAGCTAATTTTTGTATTTTTGGTAGAGACAGGGTTTCGTCAAGTTGCCCAGGCTGGTCTCAAACTCCTGAGCTCAAGCGATCCACCTGGCTTGGCCTCCCCAAGTGCTAGGATTACAGGCATAAGCCACCATGCCTGGCATCACTTTTACTTTATAGATATTGTATAGAAATTGTGAGGCCAATCCACGCAGCCCTCTATGCTATACAAGTTGGCGGCAGAGCCAATGGTTGTGCCGAGACTCGCCGCTGCCCGGGCTGCTGGGTCTTGAGTGTCACCTACACTGCCATGGATGCCACCGGACGCTGACAGACCTGTGGAGAGTCGGGTTGTGCCTCCCGGGCCTTATCGGGCCACCAAGCTGTGGAATGAAGTTACCACATCTTTTCGAGCAGGAATGCCTCTAAGAAAACACAGACAACACTTTAAAAAATATGGCAATTGTTTCACAGCAGGAGAAGCAGGGGATTGGCTTTATGACCTATTAAGAAATAATAGCAATTTTGGTCCTGAAGTTACAAGGCAACAACTGTTGAGGAAATTTCTTAAGAATCGTATAATTGAAGATATCAAAGGGAGGTGGGGATCAGAAAATGTTGATGATAACAACCAGCTCTTCAGATTTCCTGCAACGTTGCCACTTAAAACTCTACCACGAAGGCATCCAGAATTGAGAAAAAACAGCATAGAGAACTTTTCCAAAGATAAAGATAGTATTTTTAAATTACAAAACTTATCTCGTAGAACTGCTGAAAAGCATGGATTACATTTATCTCAGGAAAATGCCGAGAAAATAAAACATGAAATAATAAATGAAGATCAAGAAAATGCAGTTGATGATAGAGAACTAAGCCAGGAAGACGTTGAAGAAGTTTGGAGATATTTTATTCTGATCTACCTGCAAACTATTTTAGGTGTGCCATCCCTAGAAGAAGTCATAAATCCAAAACAAGTAATTCCCCAATATATAATGGGGCCAATACAAGTAAACATGGAGTAGTTATACTACAAAACAAATCAGATGACCTCCCTCACTGGGTATTATCTGCCATGAAGTGCCTAGCAAATTGGCCAAGAAGCAATGATATGAATAATCCAACTTATGTTGGATTTGAATGACATGTATTCAGAACAATCACAGATTATTTTCTAGATCTCCCTGAACCTCTACTTACTTTTGAATATTACGAATTACTTGTGAACATTTTGGTTGCATCTTCATTTTTGTTTCATTTCGTGGTAGTTGTTTGTGGCTACATAACAGTTTCAGATAGATCCAGTGGGATACATAAAATCCAAGATGATCCCCAGTCTTCAAAATTCCTTCACTTAAACAATTTGAGTTCCTTCAAATCAACTGAGTGCCGCCTTCTCAGTCTGCTTCGTAGAGAAAAAAAAATAAAGAAGAATCAGATTCTACTGAGAGACTACAGATAAGCAATCCAGGATTTCAAGAAAGATGTGCTAAGAAAATGCAGCTAGTTAATTTAAGAAACAGAAGAGTGAGTGCTAATGACATAATGGGAGGAAGTTGTCATAATTTAATAGGGTTAAGTAGTATGCGTGATCTATCCTCTAACAGCAAACCAAGGTGCTATTCTTTGGAAGGAATTGTAGATGTGTCAGGGAATTCAAGTAAAGAGGCATCCAGTGTCTTCCATCAATCTTTTCCGAACATAGAAGGACAAAATAATAAACTGTTTTTAGAGTCTAAGCCCAAACAGGAATTCCTGTTGAATCTTCATTCAGAGGAAAATATTCAAAAGCCATTCAGTGCTGGTTTTAAGAGAACCTCTACTTTGATTGTTCAAGACCAAGAGGAGTTGTGTAATGGGAAATGCAAGTCAGAACAGCTTTGAAGGTCTCAGAGTTTGCTTTTAACAAGTAGTACAAGAAGGAATAGTTATTATCAATACACCAGTGGCTGAAATTACCATGAAACCAAATGTTGGACAAGGCAGCACAAGTGTGCAAACAGCTATGGAAAGTGAACTTGGAGAGTCTAGTGCCACAATCAATAAAAGACTCTGCAAAAGTACAATAGAACTTTCAGAAGACTCTTTACTTCCAGCTTCTTCTGTGTTGACTGGCACACAAAGTTTGCTGCAACCTCATTTAGAGAGGGTTGCCATCGATGCTCTACAGTTATGTTGTTTGTTATTTCCCCCACCAAATCATAGAAAGCTTCAACTTTTAATGCGTATGATTTCCCGAATGAGTCAAAATGTTGATATGCCCAAACTTCATGATGCAATGGGTGCGAGATCACTGTTGATACATACCGTTTCTCAATGTGTGTTATGCTGTGCTGAAGAAGTGGACCTTGATGAGCTTCTTGCTGGAAGATTAGTTTCTTTCTTAATGGATCATGATCAGGAAATTCTTCAAGTACCCTCTTACTTGCAGACTGCAGTGGAAAAACATCTTGACTACTTAAAAAGGGGACATATTGAAAGTCCTGGAGATGGACTATTTGCTCCTTTGCCAACTTACTCATACGGTAAGCAGATTAGTGCTCAGGAGTTTGATGAGCAAAAAATTTCTACCTCTCAAGCTGCAATTGCAGAACTTTTAGAAAATATTGTTAAAAACAGGACTTTACCTCTAAAGGAGAAAAGAAAAAAACTAAAATAGTTTCAGAAGGAATATCCTTTGATATATCAGAAAAGATTTCCAACCATGGAGAGTGAAGCAGCACTTTTTGGTGACAAACCTACAATCAAGCAACCAATGCTGATTTTAAGAAAACCAAAGTTCTGTAGTCTAAGATACTAGCTGAATTAAAAAGTATGTAATACTTGTGGAACTTTGATAAATGAAGCCATATCTGAGAATGTAGCTACTCAAAAGGAAGTCTGTCATTAATAAGGTATTTCTAAATAAACACATTATGTAAGGTAGTGCCAAAATAGATGTTTATCAATGTGAGACTCCTAGGAAACTAACTAGATCTCAATTGAGAGCACATAACATATACTTTTTGTTTTTAACACAGCTATCCAGTAAGGCTATCATGATGTGTGCTAAAATTTTATTTACTTGAATTTTGAAAACTGAGCTGTGTTAGGGATTAAACTGTAATTCTGTTTTTTAAAAAAAATTTATCTGCACATGTGCAAGTTCTGAGATATTAGCTAATGAATTAGTTGTTTGGGGTTACTTCTTTGTTTCTAAGTATAAGAATGTGAAGAATATTTGAAAACTCAATGAAATAATTCTCAGCTGCCAAATGTTGCACTCTTCTATATATTCTTTTTCCACTTTTGATCTATTTATATATATATGTATGTGTTTTTAAAATATGTATATATTTTATCAGATTTGGTTTTGCCTTAAATATTATCCCCAACTGCTTCAGTCATTCATTTGTTCAATATATATATTTTGAATTCTAATTTTCATAATCTATTAGAAGATGAGGATGTAAAAGAAGTATAAGGCAATCATATATTCATTCAAAAGATATTTATTTAGCAACTGCTATGTGCCTTTCATTATTCCAGATATGCGGAGACAATGATAAATAAAACATATAATCTCTTCCATAAGGTATTTATTTTTTAATCAAGGGAGATACACCTATCAGATGCTTAAAATAACAACATTACCCACTGAAATCAGGGCATATAGAATCATTCAGCTAAAGACTGACTTCTATGATGATGGAACAGGTCTCTAAGCTAGTGGTTTTCAAACTGGTGCACGTTAGACTCACCCGAGGAGTTTTAAAACAGCCTATATGCCCAGGGCCTAATTTATACTAATTGAATCTGAATTTTGGGGATGTTGTATAGGGATTAGTATTTTTTTTTAATCTAGGTGATTCCAATATTCATCCAACTGTGAGAATCAATGGCCTAAATGCTTTTTATAAACATTTTTATAAGTGTCAAGATAATGGCACATTGACTTTATTTTTACATTGGAAGAAAACGCTTGCCAAGTATAAATGACTCTCATCTTAAAACAAGGTTCTTCAGTTTCTGCTTGATTGACTTGGTACAAACTTGAAGCAAGTTGCCTTCTATTTTTTACTTCAAGATTGTTTCATATCTATTCCTTAAGTGTAAAGAAATATATAATGCCTGGGTTGTAATAAAATCTTAATGTTTAATGACTATTCTCATTTCTCAATGTAATTTCATACTATTCCTCTATAAAATGATAGTGTTCCATTTAACATTACTGATTTTTATTAAAAACCTTGACAGAAAATTATGAATTATAAATATGACTTTATCCTGGCTATAAAATTATTGGACCAAATTGAATTCTTTCTAAGGCATTTGTATACTAAAACTTCTATTGCTTATAGATATGTAAAATGTGGATTATGTTGCAAATTGAGATTAAAATTATTTGGGGTTTTGTAACAAAAAAATTATGAGAAGAATCTATTATATTATCCATATATGTACCATTTCTGTTGCTTTTTATTTCTGAAGTTTCAAGTTTCCCTCCCGTGTCACTCTTGTCTGAGAAACTTCCATTAACATATCTTTCAGAGCAGCTCCATTGACTAATTCTCTTCATTTTCTTTCATCTGAGAATATCTTTGTTTCCTCCCCATTCTTGAAGATTATTTGTACTTAGTATAGAATTCTGGGTTAACAGTTCTTGTCTTTCATTCCTTTAAAAATGTTGTGCCTCTGTGGTTTCTGATGAGAACTCTGCAGTCATTCAGAGGGTTGTTCTCCTATTTATAATGCGGTGATTTTTCCTTGCTGTATTCAGGCTTTTTGTCAAAAATCTTGTCTTTGGTTTTTCAGCCACATGATTATGATTTGTCTGGGCCTGGATTTCTTTTATTTTCTTTTGCTTGGGGTTCCCTGAGTGTCTTAAATCTATAAATTTGTCTTTCACTAAATTTGGGAAGATTTCAGCCACCGTTTGTCAAATTTTCTTTTCCACACCAGACTCTTACTCCTTTCTTGGGACTTTGGTGACACAAATGTTCAACCTTTTGAATTCTTTCCCTCAGTTTCCTGAGTCTCTTAATTTTTTTCATTTTTTTCTCTCCGATGTTCCAATTAGATAATTTCTATTGATTTCTCTTCAAGTCCAGTGACTTTCCTCTGCTATCTCCATTCTGCCATTTAACCCATCTAAAGAACATTTTTTACATGTCAGCTATTGTATTTTTCATCTCTAAAATTTCCACTTGATTCTTCTTTATATCTTTTTTCTTTACTGAGACTTCTGTCTTTTGTTGTTGTTGTTGTTGTTGTTGTTGTTGAGATGGAGTCTCGCTCTGTTGCCCAGGCTGGAGTGCAGTGGCACGATCTCTGCTCACTGAAACCTCCATCTCCTGGGTTCAAGTGATTCTCCTGCCTCAGCCTCCCCAGTAGCTGGGATTATAGGTACATGCTACCAGGCCCAGTTGATTCTTGTACTTTTAGTAGAGATGGGGTTTCACCATGTTGGCCAACCTGGTCTTGAACTCCTGACCTCAGGTGATCCGCCTGCCTCAGCCTCACAAAGTGTTGGGATTACAGGCGTGAGCCACCGCACCTGGCTGACTTCTGTCTTTACATTTGTTTATTCTTACGTCTTGGAGCATGGTTATTATAGCTGCTTTTGTCTGCTTTTGCCAATATTTTTGTCGTCTCGGAGTAGCATATGTTGTTTTTCTCTTTTCTTGTAGTAAAGATTTTCCTGGTCATTTGTGTACCAAGTAATTTGGATTGAATCCTGGACATTTGGAATATTACGTTATCAGACTCTATGTCTTATCATAAGGAGAATATTGATTTTGTTTGTTTTATCAGGCAATCTACATAGCTAGGTTCAGGCTTCAAGTTCTGACCCTTTCAGGGATGTGGTTCCAAAGTTGAGTCTGTTTTCAGAGCTTTCGCTATGCTATTTGGATCCTTCTATAGCTTACGCACCACTCAGTGGCAAGCCTGGGACCTGGATGATAGCTAGTCCTATAGTTCTATAATCAAAGCCTTTGGTGTACTGTTTAGGGTTAGATTCGTGCATGCACAGCTCAGAGGTGAGCCAGAAGATCACACCTCCCTTTACAGGGTTACTTTCTTGAGCTCCTCCTCTTCACAGTCTTTCTGGTTCTTTATGCTCCTTTCAGTGTCCTTTGATCAGATAGCCAGGGCTTTAGTGTCCCTGCTTTGTCTTGTACTTTATGACTTTATCTGTGTGGAGGTTAAATGGTGGGAGGACAGAGAAAAAAAGCAATGAGGATTTGCTCCAAGCCCTTGAGACCACAGCTCCTGTGGGCAGAGAGGAGAATTCCCCTCCCTCAGAGTTTTAGGAACATGCCTGGAAGCTGTGGCCACCACTCCTGCCACTGCAGAATTGCTACCACATCATTGATTTTACTGTTAGTTTTGAAAAACCAATTTGGTTGAGATATAATTCACATACCATAATTCACCCACTAAAAGTACAGTTTATTGATTTTTAGTATATTCACAGATATATGAAACTATTCGCACAATTTAATTTTGGAACACTTCATTACCCCAAAAAGAAATTCTTACCCATTACCAGTGACTTACACACATGCCCCCCTCTGTAGGCAACCATTAATCTATCTTCTGTCTTTACAGATTTATCAGGGCATTTTATACAAATGGCATCATATAATATATTATCTTTGGTGTTTGGCTTCTTTCACTTAATGTTTTCAAGGTTCATCCATGTTGTAGTAAGTACCAGTACTTCCTTCCTTTTCATTGCTGATTGATATTCAATTGTATGGATATATCACATTGCATGTATCTGTTAATCAGTTGATGGATATTTGGGTTTTTCTACTTTTGGCTAATATGAGTAATG